>NC_000003.12:60313030-60616060 GCF_000001405.40 Homo sapiens | reverse complement strand
TATTACTGACAAGGGTGTTAATAACTCATAGACAGATCAGAGTTTCGATAAGGAAAGCAGGGACATCTCTCAATGTACAGCAATGAGGAAGACTTCATTTGTGCACATTTGTCTGACTTCCAAAGAACAGTTTCTTTATCTCTTTTTCTTCCACATCTCACTCTATTCTTATTGGTAAACTTCACTCGAACCATCCAGGGAAGAGTATTCTGGGAAATGTAGTTCTTGCCATCAGCTTTGCAATGCAGAGAGCTTAGATGGAGCCTTATCTTATGGAATCATATTTTATTTGAATAAGACTTCTACAAAATGTCTTTTTCTCCTACTGGATTACAAGTTTCTTAAAGGTTAAGATTGTTTCTTTTATGTCTGAATATATCTTGCAGCATCTGGCAGAGGGTTGTACACATAGTAGGTATTACTCAAATATTTGCTTAATAAATTAATGGATGATATTACTTAAAGTACTGTTATGATCAATGTAAGTTACCGCATAGGTGAATTGGACCATCACTTTGCTCTGACGAATGGCTGTAACTAAAATGAATAGCCAATTTAAATTTCTGATTTATTAAGGCCTTTTTACTGCTGTTCTTTTACTGTAATACTCTGGTGGTTTGCACTGGTCATTAACTTCAGTCTAGAGTATTGAGATGTTAGTGAAGAGTTGGTACATTCAGCCCACGGAATCACGTTTCCTACATGATCATAGCTGGTATGTCTGAGAGCAGTTGAATAGCTCCTCTAATGATTGTAGAACACTAGAGTGAATGACAAATTATTGGTGTCTGATATTATATGATTGGTAAACAACCATTATGCACTTTGTTTCCATCCCTCCAGGAAAGCTAGATTATCCCCAGATAGTAGATTGCTGTATGGAAATGCCAATAGTTGCTCCCTGTTAATCCAAGGTAACAATTCAAGAACGGTCATTTGATATAAGAAATTTTTACTGTAATCCCAGCACTTTGGGAGGCCAAGGCAGGCAGATCACGAGGTCAAGAGATCAAGACCATTCTGGCCAACATGGTGAAACCCTGTCTCTACTAATAGTACAAAAATTAGCCGGGCGTGGTTGTGGGCGCCTGTAGTCCCAGCTACCCGGGAGACTGAGGCAGGAGAATTGCTTGAACCTGGGAGGCGGAGGTTGTAGTGAGCCGAGATCATGCCACTGCACTCCAGTCTGGCGACAGAGCAGGGCTCCATCTCAAAAAACAAAAAAAAAACAAAAAAAAAACAAAAAAAAAACAACTTTTGCAATTTTTTACAAATCGATGGCTAGTTAAGAATGACTCTACCAGGCACCCTGTTACGATGGGGTTCACCTTCAGGTCCAGTAGGATGGGTTTAATAAATAATTTCTATGCTGTCAATCCACTGTAATGTCCAAATAGAATACACATTTTTTGGCACCCAAATAGACTTAGGTTATTTATTTATTTATTAATTTTTTTTGAGGTGTTTTGTTCTTGTCCAGGCTGGAGTGCAATGACGTGATCGATCTCGTCTCACTGCAACCTCTGCCTCCCGGGTTCAAGCAATTCTCCTGACTTAGGCTTCTGAGTAGTTGGGATTAGAGGCATCTGCCACCATGCCCAGATAATTTGTGTATTTTTATTAGAGATGGAGTTTTGCCATGTTGGCCAGGCTGGTCTCAAACTCCTGACCTCAGGTCATCCATCCACCTCCAAAGTGCTGGGATTGTAGGTGTGAGCCACCACACTGGGCTGGTTTAGGTTATTCTTAAGTCTTAGAACATGAATTCTGTGCTTCCAGAGCGATATTAAGCAAAACCAAGAAATATCTACTCATTTCTGTACATGGTGCTGCCATTTAACTGGCATACCTCTTTTCTTTTGTGTCAGGTGTTACAAAGGCATAGTTCATCACTTTGGTTTTTACTCTCATTCTCAGTGGGCACCTACTTCCTAATATCCATCTTCAGGTCTGTGTCCAGTCATGGCTGCTTATTAATGCTGCCACTTTGCTTGCCTTGTATTTCTCTTTCTCCACCCACCCACAACCTGTATCACTTCATGTTTCATGCTGTTCTCTGCTCTGTTGATTTTCTGCCAAGCTTATTTTGACAGTGTTCCTGGACTTTGTTGATCCTGTTGAGCTGATATACTCTTTTCACCTCTGCTTCCTACTTCATTGATTTCTTCTCTTGGGTACCTGAGCCCTTACCTCTGCTGTGTAGCATCCAGGAGTCTCAAGCCCCACTTTGTCCCTCCAAGACACCTGTGTGATATGTTGCATGGGGAGAAGCTACTAGTAGCCCCTTAGCCCTTATAAGCTCTTAAAGGCCAAGGAGCTAGTGAGCAGGGTTGTCTAAAGCTTAGACAAAGGAGAATGAGAGAAAAAGGGAAATGTAGGAATGACTGAAAAAGAAAGAAATGGAAGTTAAAGAAAAGGAAGTAGGGAGAGAAAGATGAAGGAATATAAAGGGAGTTGAAAATGGAGCATATAGGAAGGAGGGAAGGGCTGGAGGGAGGAGAAAAGAAAGATATAAGCAGAAAAGATAATCCAGGCTCCATGCAAAAGGTACTCTTCATTCAGGAGCTAGGGTTTTCATGTTAACTTGCTAAACCCTGAGCTTCACTCACTTTGTATCATTGTGCTTTTGGACTCCACTCTTTAGATCCTTTTGTCTACCTTACTCCCCAGCCCATCTCTCACTGCACTGCCACACTTACCTTTCCTGTGTATCACCAGGCCATCCCTCCCTGCCTCAGCAGTGGTGGCTCTCTTAGTTTCTGTTTCACTCCATGTTCCCAGACAGGTCTCAGGGTTGTACTCATTCAGTGAAGTGAGACTTGGAAATGCCACAAATTTTGGCCAGAACTCAACCTGAAGACCCTTCTGACCTGTAAGTATCCTTGAGAGTTCATAAGGAAGGAGGGGGCAGAGGAAGAAAAAGTCAAGCATTAGAGTGATGAAAAAGAAACTTCTGGAGAGTTTCAAGCTTGAAATCCCCTACTAATATTCAGAGGCATGTTCCTGCAGGCAAGATCCCTTTCTATTTTATTTAAATAATGACACTGTGACATTCTTGGCTGTTAATCCTCTAAATGGCAGTCAGGGTAACAGTCAAAGTCATAAAGCCAGGGATTCCAAATACCTTTTATCATTCATGCCAAATATGATTCGTTGCTGGCAGTTACCTGAGATACTGCATTGAGAGCCATTTGAAGGCTGTGTATAGACATAGTGGGAAGGATTCTGTTATTGATTAATAATGTCTGCCACAGCCTGAGGAGATGGGAGTGGTGGTCTGTGTGGCATGCATTTGTTTATCTAGTCTCAAAGTTCTTATAAGAGCATTTTCTGTTCTTACAGATAGATCTTTTACAGAGTTATCTAGCCAGAGATGAATGATATCCCTTCTTTTAAAAATTCTGAAATTTAACTAACTTTTACCACCACTTCAATTTATTTTCTTCAGACTTGGAATGGGTGACCTGGCTATAAGAAGGGCACAAATGTTTTTAAGCAATAGATATACCTTTTCCCCTAAATTGAAAAGTATCCAATAACCAAATATTTATACTCTGCTGCTAAAGCCAGGCATAGATTTCCTGATAATAGTGTAAAAGAGTATTTTTGTTTTGCTTTTTGTTTTAACAAGGTCAAGTATCTTTTGTGGAGTAATCTAGTTGGTACTAATTGGAGAAAGTGAGAAGATTCCTTTAGCTTCTATAATAGATATATATTTGCTATGATGATTCATATATGTATATCCATAGAGTCTCAGAGTTGGGAGGCAATTTAGATGGCTCTCAATTTGTGTGATTTGGGAAATGGAGATCAGAGAATATGTGACTTATTGAGAGTTTCACAGTTAGCTCATGACTCATTTTTCTTTTGTATAAAGAGTTGACCCTTCTCTTTGACCACTTCACTAAAGGCCATGGAGAGCCCCCCTAGGATGCCAGTCAGGGAGGTAGCCCCAGGTTTGGGTAAGAAGTCAGGATAGGCAGGTATTATTTCTGGGCCAGTTCAGTGATTGAGCATCATTAGGTAGAGCAGGTGAGGGCTAGGTGAGGAATGGGACATCCTGCTGAGAGTTTTGAAGCTGAGCAGAACAGTGACAGTATCAGGACCCTCTGCAGGAGCAAAGTAAGGGGGCCCTACATGACTGCCTAGAACAGAGCCAAAATGTCCTCCCAGCTGCTCTGTACACACACAGGTAGTTTTCACTAACCTCCATATCTGTGACATGTGGGTAGAACAAGTTTAAAGGTTTAGGACAAGTATGAAATCAAACTACTGGATAGTTCCTCCTACGAGGGCATCTTTTGTTAGCCATCTTATCCTGTTATTGGGTTACAGTAGTTCAGTGACAGAGGTAGTGATACTCAGGTAGATTTTTGGACCTGGTCTAGTATAGAGCCGAGCGTTAGAAAGTCCTTGTCCTACACTACATAAAAATCATCACAGATGGCAAAATACTATGTAAACAACACGTATTGCTCTCATGCTGATGAGGAACAATGGTTTCTTTCCATACCTTTATAAGGAAAGGCTTGGACTAAGGGGCCTTCCCTTCCTTAACCCGTTTATGCCAGAGGTTTCAGTTTTTTGAATTTTTGCATGAGTGAAAAATCAGACCTTGGTGATGACCTTGAGCTGTAGGTTATAAATAACTCCCACATGCTTAGCGTTCCTATAATGGAACACTAGGCATTAATGTCCTGCCATATATTTCTGTGATACTTGGCTCGATGTTAGCTTTACCATAAACATCTACCTAGGAATGTTTTGTTAAAAGGCAAATCTAATCCTCTTTTTCATTGGACCAACTGGACTTTGTGTTGCAAACTGGACCTTCAGTGTTGTGTTCCAGGTTTCTAGCCCATGCTTGGCACCCCCATCAGTACCCAATAAACATTTGTTAAATAAATGAATCTCAGCAGGATGAGAAGACAACTATGAGATGAGCCACAATTACTGGGCTAAATGAGCCTGAGATCACAGTAGCCAAAGGAACAGCTGGACCCCTTGGCTAGAGCCTTATGGTGTTGTCTCATTTAATCCTCACACTAATATCAGAGTAGCTGTGATGACTCCTATTTTACAGATGAGGAAATTTAGGCTTAAGAGTACATGGCCTGATGTCATTCAGGGAGTATGTAAAAGCTGGGACTGGAGCCAGGGTCGGCCTGCTGCTAAGCCCTTCTTCTCATCATTGCACCATGCCTCCTCCCAAGAGAAAAGCAAAGCTCTCCAGACTGGCGTAGGGTGAGAGCATTGTGTTCTTGCATAACTGAAATGACAGGAAAGAGCAAAAGAGAGCTTCCAGTAAATTACATCTTAAAAATGTGCAGCGATCTAAAAGAGCAGCCGCAAGGTGTTTTGATATTATTAATATTTTTTCGAAGTTTGCTGTAGTTGTCTGAGTCCTTTCAGGCAGGCAGTATGTGGGTACTTAATAATTTTTCATGTTGATTCTGTGACTGTCCCTAATAGTTCTCTCAAGAAGCTGAAATAAGGTCAAGTTGTTCAAATACTTACATAGGGCTTTGGAACCTATCGCACCCATGTTCAAAGCCCCTAAAACACTTAGAGTTTTATTAATGCTGGTATGCTTCATTCTCTGGGGAATTGCGTAGAAACTCTAGCATGAAACTACATTCAGGGTGATCATATCAGATGCTTTTTTGTGCATGAATTTGTTCTGTTTCTATTTCTGTATTCTGTAGAATTAAACCCTAATATCATTAATTAATAGAAACAATGTCAGTAATTGAAGCACTGTATAAATATTTAAATCAATCACAAGATTGTTTGGCAAATGAAGGTGGGTACATCTGGAAACTTATCACATAACTTACCCTTGGCAATAAAAAGGCATTTTTTAACTCTTCCCACTATGCAAGTGCACAGCAATGGTTTAATACAAACAAATTAGGAGGGGAGTGGAAGTGAGTATAATTTTGACACAAGCAGAATAAAACTCATATGCATAAATATAATAATAATGTAGTTTATTTACTGTGTGGTCTCTAGCTACAGCTGCATTCTAGCTGCCTTGTAATAAAATTAAAGCAACCGATTAAATACCGATTAGCTGGTTAGAGACAGATCAGATTATAGCACCAATTAAAATCAGTGTAGAACAATGTATTCAATCAGTCTAATCTTTCTTCTGTAAACAAAGTCTTGTTGTAATAAACTTTATTTTATGCATGTGCTTTGGGTATGCAGTATATTGTTGAGATAGCAGGAACTCCGGATTGATAGAAGGAAGATTAGAAGTTTTACTCTGCTTGGCACCTAAGAAATCAGACCTTTGAGGCACATTCCAGGAACAAAGACATCATGAAGAAGGGTGCCCAGATGGAAAGGCTATTTGAGAGTTAGGGTGGTACTTGCCTAAGCCTAGTGAATAAAACAATGAAGAATGCTTTTCCATAAGAAGCAAAAGGCTAAGGGCTGGGCGCGGTGGCTCATGCCTGTAATTCCAGCACTGTGGGAGGCCGAGGTGGGTGAGTCACAAGGTCAGGAGTTCAAGACCAGTCTAACCAACATGGTTAGACCCCATCTGTACTAAAAATACAAAAATTTAGCTGGGTGTGGTGGCACACACCTGTAATCCCAGCTACTCAGGAGGCTGAGGCAGGAGAATCACTTGAACCCGAGAGGCGGAGATTGCAGTGAGCTGAGATGGCGCCACTGCACTCCAGCCTGGGCGACACAGCTAGACTCAGTCTCAAAAAAAAAATAAATAAAAAAGGAAGCAAAAGGCTGAACTCTGTGCAGAAGGGAATAGGCAGCCTTAGACAGTACCAGAATAAAGGCAATGCTGGCAGATTTGTTGGATGGACATACTTATGCCTCCCATACATGAGAAAGACTTGAGTTCATGCAGCTGTCAGGTGGAATGCTATTTTCTTTTGAGACAGTTTGGAAGCAACAGGAGTCATGCATCAATCCCCAAAGTGGCATGAAAATGATCCATGTCCATTCAGAGTAGGAACAGCAGAAAATCTACCAGAAGTCTCCAGGACATTTATATACTTTTTTTTTTTTTTTCCAAATTGTGCGTGACCAGCATATGCATTCATATATTTAATATTTATTTGAATCAACTGACTTTTAAAACATAAATTTGTTTTTAAGGGAAACTCTGCCACCGTTTTAAGTAGGAAATCATGTTACCTATTATGAAGAGAAGGGAAACACAAAAATACTCAATGAGAAGAAATTGTTACAGACTAATTCAAGATAGTTATTTCCTGATAATGACTAGGTCTCTCTCTTTACATGACTTTGACTGACTTGCAAAACCAAATAACGATGTTCATAATTTAGGATTTATTTTTTCTTTTGTATTTATTATTCCTAAAATATATTCCTAAAAACAAAGTCTAGATTGTGGCATTGGGATGAAGGGGGACCTTGCAGTATTGTTGTAATGATATTGGGCCCAGTTCCTGTTTGACCCAACTCCTTTTTTTCCTGGTGGGAAAAAAAATAAAGGAGGCTAAATAAAAGCTAAGTCAACTTTCGTTATTAGCTGGGTCTTTGGACCTTCTGCACCCATGTAGCACCCCAGAGAGCTGGACTGAACCTCTGGTGAACACTTATGTACATATTAAAGTAGCTTCAGGGGCCTGGATCTAGAGCAGTTGATCCATTTCTCTTCAACTGTAATTGAGTGTCATATATCATCTGAGCAGTGGAAGGGGAGAACAGTCCAGAACAGCCATAGCACCTGAGGAAACAGCTAGAGAATGAGAGTGTTTGTGTTTACCCCCGCTGATTCTGGTCTAGAATAATTGGCTCAGGCCTACTCAGGCTGGGATGTTACCTTCAGAGCTGGTGGCCACTAGAAATGAAGAGGAAAGAGAGAGAGAAAGGAGAGAAAATTAGATAGGGAAAGAAAGAGGGTGAGAGTGAGAGTCTTGTCCTCTGCGTGAGCAGACGAGGGAAGATGGACATTACAGTGTACACCCCTGAGGGCTCCATCAGAAAGAGGCAGAGTGCTCCAGATGGAGCTGCTGCTTCTCTGGAATGGGAGAAGTACCTGCCCTTAATCCTCACTCATTGAGAGAAGATATAAGGCAAGTGGGAGCAGGGAGGAGAAGACTTGAGTTTCAGCAAGTAAGGGGCTTGAGTATTAGGTAAGAAGTGCCAAAGGGAATAGACACTATTCTCCATTCATCCTTTTTATTTCCCCTCTGATTTTCACAGCAAGCCAAGTTTCTGGCCTACTTCTCAAGAATATGAATATATATACATATATGTTTATATGTGTGTATATATGTATATGTGTGTATATATGTATATGTATGTATTGCAGACAAAAGTTTTCCTAAATTAGTGAAATTAGTACAAAATGAAAACCTTGTTAGGATGTCAGAGAAGAGGGAATAATTGAAGGGAGAAATGACTTGGAATTGTTTGCAAATGTTGAAGACACATCTATCACGCATGTGGTGTGGGAAATTGTGATACTAGAAACGTGAACTCAGTACACAATGAATGTTCAACACCTCTGCTACCTCAATCAGAAAGAATCTGTCTCACCCTGATGAGTTGCTCTGAAAATAACCACCAATTACCCCAACTTCAGTAGGGAAGATAATATACTTTTAATTAGTGGCAGACTAGATAGAAATATAAATCCTTATCATCCTAAAAAAGAATTCTACCATTTGCCAACCCTTGCAAGTAATAAACATGAAAGTGCCCTCTTCGAAAGAGGCCCACCGAGGAAGTGACTGTTTAGTTCCCTGAGACCATCTGAAAATGATTAATCTGCTCATCGGCAATTCAAAGCTTCTATTTCTGTGGTGTCTGAAAATTTATATTATTCTAGAAGATTTATAAAAACCCTGGTGGTTTTCAGCTGGGAGAAGGGCTTTAGTGGTGTGGTTATCAATGATTATTTGCCCTTCCTTGGATACTATAGTGACTGCCATATGGAAGAGGGACTAAAATTTATTCTTTCTAATTCCTGATGACAGACACTAGTAATAGAGAACCCGGCTTTAGCTTGAATTAACAACTTTTGAAACAAATATAGAGGTCCAGCAATGGAATGAGCAGCCTCTCAATGTAGTAATATTCCCATTAATGGAAGGATTCAAGCAGAATCAGAGTTCCAGTGGAAGCAGGTAACAGAGACTGAGGTTAATATAAGTAGAAAAGGAATTTGTTACAAATAGAAGGATATCGGGGAGTTAACAGAATCAAGATGCGGGCAGGAGGGACTAGGCTTAGAAACAGGAAAGTATCAAGATGGAGTCTACTTGGCTATTAAGAAGCCATTACAGCAATGAGTGAGTGAGTGGCATGTCACTCTTCTTAGGATTCAGAGCCCTGGAAGAGAAGGTCCAATTAACTGAGCTTAGGACACATGCTCATCCTTTTTCCATTACAGCAGAAAATATACCAGAAGTCTCCAGGACCTCAAATTCTGGAGTGGAATGAAAAGGCACCCAATTCACTATCCTAATGGTGGCTTATAATAGGAGAAAAGTCCCTAAAAGTGAATCAAGATGCTATCACAGGCTGGGCTCGGTGACTCACGCCTGTAATCCCAGCACTTTGGGAGGCTGAGGCGGGCAGATTGCCTGAACTCAGGAGTTTGAGACCAGCCTGGGTAACATGGTGAAACCCCATCTCTACTAAAACACAAAAAATTACCTGGGCATGGCAGTGGGCATCTGTAGTCCCAGCTACTTGGGAGGCTGAGGCATGAGAATCACTTGAATCCGGGAGGCAGAGGTTGCAGTGAGCTAAGATTGCGTCACTGCACTCCAGCCTGGGTGACAGAACGAGACTCCATCTCAAAAAAAAAAAAAATGCTATTACAATGAGGGAATAGGGACTGAGGAACCAAAACTGAACAAGTGATGTTTGCTATAGTAAACATCCATTAGGAATATTGTAGAGGAGGATTCTTTGTTGGGTAGGAAGTTAGGGAGAAAGAGTTGGTCCCTCTGGCTCTAGCACACTCTGGGGCAAGAAGAATGTCATCCTTGAGAGATTAGGAATTTAGCATCCTTAAAAGTAGTCAGGCAGACTTGGGCGAGATAACATCCCCTGGTTTCTATAATTGTGTCTATGATCAGCTTCTCTTTGAAGGTTTTCATCTGTGACAGAGCAGTCAGATACTATAGTGTTTTTATATACTATTTACAGATACATATAGGACATTCACATGTTCAAAGTTTGAGAATTCCTTATAACTTTATCTTTCCTCCTCTCCCATCCCCTGTGATGGTCAGTTTCTAAACCCTACTTCAGGTATCCTTCTCAAAACTCTCATAGGCAAGAACCAGGTGCCCCATTAGCTGTGTTCCCACAGCACCTCCTGTCCGTACCTCTAGCAGAAAATAAAGCAAAATAGTATATGATGTTAGTTGTTTCCATTACTGGATTGAGAAGAACTCCTGGATGCAAGGACCTTGTGTTTAATTGCTGTAGTTTTAGCCTGCAGCACACAGACCAAGGAGATAAACAAATGAATGAAAAGACATAGGAAGAAATGGAATGAATACATTGAAATATAAATAAATGGTAGAGGTCTTTCAGGGTTCTTTTCTAAACTGGTGCCTTCTGAAACTGACTTCTCAAGTATGTCCTAATCCGTACACTTCTTTGTCCTAAGCGGAGTGAATATTTGATCTCTTGGTATCTGTCAGGTGGAACCTTTCTCTGGAAAGCTAAAAGCATTTTACTCTATTGATGTGTTCTCACCAGAGCTGAGCCATGAGTAGTTAAGTAGGCATTTGTTTCTATTATGACTGCAAATAGTATGATTTCAAATCACTTTTATTGCAGTGATTTGAAGGGATTACACCTTTAATTTGCAAAGCAGTACCCTAGAACTGAACCAAACCAAAGCTGTGGCTATACTAAGTTATTGCCTAAGCTTTCAGTTCATGGACATTAGTATTGGGGAAAATCAACTGCATCTCTCTCTCTCTCTCTCTGTGTGTGTGTGTTTGAGTATAGAATCCTCAACTTAGTTGTGAACAAAGGTACATACTTAAGCATAGAAATCCTAATTTTAAAAAATGTGAATGGTTTAGACATGAGAGAAATCACAATCACAGAGAGGGGAGCCTGAATGAAGTCAGAAAGCTCTTGTGTTAAAATGGACCTTGGGCAGGTTACTGATCCCTTCAATGCTGCTCCTCCCTGTCCATTGTGAAATCTGTGAAATGGGGATGATGATAACAGAATGGAATCTATAGGGTTGTTTTGAGGATTAAATGAACTTGCTTTCTCTCAGTTTGCCCACTATTCTGAAGAGATCCAAGATTCCTGGGCAATAGTAAGTGAGAGGGAAAATGAGCAGAGATCTTTTTCTTCCTGTGGCTGATCACTTAGGACACCAAGAGTGGGAACCTCGGTTTTTTTCCCATTTCATGCTCCTTCCTGCATAGAAGGGGAGCTGATGAGTGGAATAGAGCTATAAGAAATGACATAATTTGTTATCTGCAGTGACCTGGTCAGAGCTGGAAGCAGAAGCAACACTCAGAATAGCAATATTCTTGAGTATGTTATTTCAGCCCAACCCTTTCATACTTAAAACCTTTCCTTTTGGGATTTTATCTGCGGCAAAAATGCATGTCTGGCTCTTCCTAGATCTTATCCCAAGATGGAGGTGAGCTCTGTGGGTGGCCCCAACTCTAATTACTGATTTCTTTGTTAGCATATGATTTGATCTCATTATAATGGTTGAAATCCCATTTCCACGACAACCAGAAGCTGACCAAGGCCTTTATATCTTCTTGGTCGGAGTCCTGCTCTACCCTGGATTCCCCTCACTTTTGTGGTCAAAAGTACTTAATTAATTGCGTGGTTCTGCCAGTTTTTTCTCTTTATGTTTTCTCTCTACACAAGGCCAGACTCACCTGTGCACTTTCTCTCACTGTACTAAATGTAAATCCTTGTATTTTTAAAAGCTGGCCTTGATAGCCTTCTCTTCTGCTGCACAATGTACTCCCATTGCTATAAGTACTTCCTACTGAAGAATGTTATTGCCTGAAAAGCACTTGGAGCAGTGCCTAGTACATAGTAGACACTCAACAACTCTGAGCTGTTCTTAGTCTCTTCGTCACCATTATTATTATTACCTTATAGTTACTGTGAGAATTAAATAACAAAATACCTATAAAGTATGGTGGCATGCAGCCGGGCACATAGCAAATGCTCAGGAAATGTTAGGTACTGCTAATTAAAGGAGCCTAAGCCAGAGATCTATTTACAAAAATGAAACAGAGCCTTATAGTGTTATTGCCTTGGATACATTCTACTCATTCTTACGTATCATTCACTTCTAGTGTACTTTGCAATGAGGGTGGATATTCACAATGATGCCTTACCCAGAGAGGCACTTTATGATGTTGCTCATTGAAAGAGATACATTTATACTCACTGTGTCAGAAAAGTGGTGTTATATTTCATGTATTCCTTTTTAGAGTGGTGATTGTATATTTTTACAAGTGACTTATGCTCATCATTAAAAAATGTAGGCAATATACAAAATTATACAGAAGAAAGCAACACAATACCCTAAATCCCACCACCGAGAAATACCCTCTGAACAGTTGAAGAGCATCGTTCTAAACATCTCTTAATACACATGTACAGATAGGAAGATAGTAAAATGGATAGATAGTAAGAATTAACATTGTAAGGATGAGAATAATTCAGAGATCATAATATATCTGCTTTATCAATAAAGATGTTAAATTTAATTTTACCTGAATTTAACAGAAGAAAAAGAAACTGAAAGTGAAATCCAAGGAATTGTTGAGCTTCAGCTATGTATTTTTTCACCATTAAAGCTATTTGTTCCTAAAGACTTTTCTAAAGGTTAAGAAAAAATATAAAAACATTCAAAAGTTGGAGTTTTTATGAGTTTTTAACTACACCAATTTTAGATGTTATTCACTAGGAGAGATTACATGATTGATTTCTAATTTCTTTCCAGCTACCTCTCTTACTACCTTCAAACTATGTTGCTCATATTATTTTTACCCTGACAGGCTGTCCTAGTCTGTTTGGGCTGCTGTAGCAAAATACCATAAACTGGGTAGCTCATAAACAACAGAAATATATTTCTTGCAGTTATAGAGACTGGGAAGTCTAAGATCAAGGTACCGGCAGATTTGGTGTCTGGCAAAGGCTTGCTTTCTCATGAGTAGATGGTACTTTCTTGCTATTTTCTCACCTAGTGCAAGGGGCTATTAGCTAGCTCTCTGAGGTCTTTTTTATACAGGCACTAATCCCAGTCATGAGAATGGAGCCCTCATGACTTCCACTGCCTAATACTGTCACCTTGGAAGTTAGGATTTCAACATATGAATTTGGAGAAGACATAAGTATTCAGTCCATTGCACAGGCTCATAACATCCTCATTCTGTTTTGCAAATGTCATTCTCCCATTTGTTTAGTCCTGGTTGTATTTTTATTTGGATCCAGCTCTGGTAGTCTTTTTACCATGGTTTCTAGATGCCAGGATTGTTTCTTTTTATTTATCTCTTAGCTGGGTACCTTTCATCATCAAGCAATTTTTTTTCTCTCCAAGAAGGTTTCATGAAGGTTATATTCTCTGAGATTTTTCACTTTTGAGAATATCTACCTATTACCTTTATACCTGAATAACAACTTGGCTGATAGGACATTCTTGGGTCACCTTTTCTTTTTCTCTGAAGTTTAGACATTGCTCCATGGTTTTCCGAGATTGGCTGTTGCTGTAGAAAGTGTGAGGCCAGGCTGATTTTCTTTTCCCTATTGTAATTGACTTGCTTTCTTCTTAGATGTTTGAACAGCTCTAGTTTTATCCTTGATGTGTAATAGCTTAATTAGGATGACAATGCTGATCATTAAATTTTTCTCAGGATACTGTATCATTTCCACCCATGGATTCAGTTCTTTCTTCACTTTAGATAAATGTTTTGTGTGAAAACTGAGAATTTTTCTTTTTACGGTCCAGTGTTTCAGGGACACTGATGATGATTTTCTTGGCTTACTCTATCTGTCTTCCAAATTAATGCTTACTTTGTTTGCTTGAACAAGTTCCTTGCCTTTTTTCTCAGGTATTCAGTGAAATTATTTTGAGTTTCTCCATCATGGTAATTTAGTTTTCAGCTTTGACTTTTTCTATTTCTGTTTCTAATGAATTAATTAAGTTTTTATTGGTATGTAATATATTCAGAGTACTTCCTTAACTCTGGAATTTCCTTTTCAAAACCTTGTTTGTGTTTTATCTTCTCAATTTTGAGCTGTTATTGAAGATTCTTTTTAGTTTCCTTAATATTATAAAACACTTATGAGGAAACTGTTGTTTAATTTCAGTTACATTTTCTTCCAGCTGAGTTCTTCATCTGTCTTTTACATTCTGTTATTTTCTTTCTGCCATTCCCCACCCTCTCCTCATTCAGGTAGTAAGTTTGCATGGTAGTCATGCCTTTTATTTTTATCCTGCTCACTATTAAGATGGGTGTTTTATGTTTTTGTTATTGTTGTTTTTCTTAACTGGTGTGAGTTGATCTTCATCTTCCTTGATTTCAAGTTCCTTGACACTAGTTTGTCTTCCCTATTCTGAGCTATGGTTTGAGGGCTAGCTGCTGCTTTTTACATACTTTTCTAAAGATGACTGATTTTCAGAATGTGGTCTTCAGACCAGCAACATCATTTAACAGGGGGAATCTGTGGGCCTCACCTCATACACATTGAATCAGAAACTCTGGAGATGTGGCCCAGTAACCTGTTTTATCACAAGGCTTTCAGGCAGCTCTGAAACATGCTGACATTAGGAAGCCACTGCGGTAGGAAATGTGGAGGGTGAGGGTGGAGAAGGCTGTGGGGAAGCAGGGTGCAGCCCACACTGGGCGACCTGATCCCTGCTGTATCTTCCGAGATCCTATTAATATTCTGTCCCTGGGCCCATTCCTCAACCAGCATTGTTGCAGTCTTTGGGCTTTCAAAGGTTCTGTCACTTGGCACATTGCTGTGGAAGTCAACAAACTCTGGGGACCCTTCCAGCCTCTGCTGGCAGGGCTGCTGTGAACTGCTGCTGTGTGCAGGTTGTCCTTGAATGGAGAAACATAGGTGAGGGGCCCGGAAGGGGAGCTCAATTCCAGTCTGTGCTCTGCCTCCAAAAAAGCATGCTTGGTGCAGGGCTGTTGCATCCGCTCATGAGAGGGATGCATTTTTCTAATTTGGTCTGCCCAGAGGGGGCATCTTCTCATAAAAAGAACATCTATAATATGTACTGTAGTCCTGATAAGGTCTCAAAAGGACATGTAGGAGCTTCTATAACAAAGTTGTTTTTCTCGAATTTGTCTGGGTTTGCCTCATCACTCCCCTTCTGTCAGTCCATACCTTTTCATATTTAGGGTAGTTCTGAGAAACTTCAGAAATCTGTCTACTTACCTTCTTTGATTAGTACCGCTTCTGGGTGTGTGTAGGGTTGGATTAGGGTGAGTTGGTGGGGCTGACGTATCAGAATCTTTGTTTTCTTTTCTTAGGCTTTCAAAATTTATAGCAAAGCTTATACCACTTTATTGGTTTTATAGGTGTTGGGTAAGGTATTAGCTTTTTAAAATCCTTATCATTTTCTTACTTTTAAAAATTAGTTTCTTGCAGGGTGGAGGTGGGGAGTGTGATTCTGTAATCCTGCCTTACTCTACTATTAGTTTATGACAGATGCACTATTTTTTTCTTACACAAATGAAAACAATTATTTTTGCTGCTTATTTTTTTTTAATCAAGTAGGCTTCCTTGTTTGTAAGTAGCAGACCCAACTTTGAATAACTTATGGAAAAAAGAGGTTTGGGAGAGTGTTGTGTAGGATATGGAATTAAAGAACAAGTCCCAGAGAAGAGCTGATCATTGGTGCCTTTAGCAGGATGGATCTGTGGATATTGGGAAGGCCATGGCCATGAGATTACTGAGCTCTAAGTGCCTTCTGGGCATATGATGTGAATGGCAGCCCTACCAGTACAGTGAGGAAGTGGCTGCTTCCTTAAAGTTGTGTTTCTCAAAAGGGAGTGATTTTATATCTCCCCTTTCCCCATCTGAACACATTTAGCGACATCTGGATACATTTTTGGTTGTCACTACTGGGAAGGAGATGCTGCTGGCATCTAGTAAGTAGTGGCCATAAATATCTTAGAGTACACAGACAGCTCTTCACAGCAAAGAATTATGTGGTCTAAAATGTCAATAGTGCTGAGGTCAAGAACTCCTGCCCTAAAGAAAGGGAGTTTAGATGGGCAAGAACGATAGCTGTTCATTATTATACTTCTCAGGCAGTAGGTGAGCATTCTCATTGATGTGGGACAGTGTGTATGTGCTGGTACCATTAGGACTTCTGGTAGTATTGCATTCCTTTTTTTTTTTTTAACTTGTCCTTTTTAGCATTTTACTTCCTTGGGAGTACAGTTGTGATATTGTCTTACTGTTGTACCAACATGCAGAAGTCAATTTTAATTCACTAATGAAAGCCATGTTAATCTTCCCCACAATGGTTAAGTTTATAACTGTGATGATGTTTCTGATATTTGACTCCGACTTAATAGTCACCTTAGGAAATATAGAAAACATTGATTTGGTAACAAATAAAAATTTTAGATCCGTACTCAAAGTATCTTATCTTTGAGCCTCACATCCTTCATGCAAAACTCACTGGTAAGAACTACCTTTTGTTTTCTTAATTCTATTGATATTTGCAGGTGACCACATTGTTTGTCACTGGCCAATTGACTGTGACTGTGGATATATCACCTAATCTCTCTAGACTGCAGTTTCAACAGCAGGTATATTTTTAAATGAGTTTGGAAGAATAGTGAGCCCCTTTGTGTTCTAACACAATAAAATTATAGACAATGCAAGTTATTACAGAGTATATGAGCTCTCCCTTCTGTAAGATCGAGGATTGGGCAGGTTTCTGATCTGGCGGGATCAAGTTTTTGGTAGGCACCCCAGTACCAATCTTCCTGTAACTTTTCTTTTGCTAGTATGCCCACAGCAAGATACAATGGAACACTGCACATTAATACATTTTAACAGATTTTAAACGAACTTTCTCTAAACAGATAGAAGAAAATTAGAACATTCCTAGGGAAATCCCTTGGCAGACAGCACATCTGTCAGTGATTTGGCATTGCTAGAACACTTTCACCAGACTGCATCAGCAGTTTTTCTCAAAATGTGAACAGTATGTTTGCTAAAAGCAAACACAGTCATGTCTGAATTGCACAAACTTCTCTCAAATACAAGGGAATGTCACTGTCTACACTGTAATCCCTCAAATTATCCTAACCACAAGTTCTTGGGAAAAAAATCCACCAAACTCAGAAGCGGTATCTGAAAAAGCCATTTCATACTATAGAAGTTTCTGCAATCTGTAAGCAAAGCGAAATTTGACTGTTTTTTGGTGCTGATAATATGCGAGGATGTTTATCTTTATTACTTGCTAGCAGTGTGATATATCATTATATAAACTTGCTTTTACTTCTAATTAAACTTTTAAAATGCAGTTGCTTTTCTTTGCTCTTGCAACAACATGGAAGATTAAGTGATTTTTGTTGCCCAGTGGAATTATCTATCCTCAAACACTCAACACAAATTAATTGCTGTTGGTGAAATACATTTTAAAATATTATAACCCTATTCATTTTAGGAAAATTAATACTCCTTGTGAGCAAATATTTTAACCAAAATATGGTAAGTTTATTAATAATTCTGAGAGGAGAGAAAACACAGCTTGAAAAATAGTCAACATTTTGCTTGATCGCTACCTTTCCTGCTAATTATTTTGAGGGATTTTTAAAGCAAAGAACACATTTATTCAGCTGTATCCATTAATCTGGAAAATGCCCTCTCTTTAAATTGTCCCCCCAAATCTTGTTTCTGAATATTAAGTTGCCTATGTGCTCTCCAATATGAAGGCTGGAATTAAATTGCTGCTATCTAACTTCGATGGTGGGTGCTTAGGATGATACATCTTTCCAGACCTTTTTATACTTTCAAGATGAAAGAATATGATCTAAACCTCCTTCGCTCAAATGCCAATTCCTCAATGTATGATTCTTCTTGGCTTTCCTGAAGCCAAGAGCTGTCAACATTCTTTTATTTGGTATCTCTCTGATGTTGCTTATTTCTTTGTATCTGGCAATCTACTTTTGTTGTTCTTCCTCTAACTTACTAGACAGAGAGTCCTGGCTCAATATCTCTCAGCTGCTTAGCTTCTCTGCATACAAATTGCATAGCTTGGTCATTTTGAACTTTAAAACAGGGTTTCAGATAAAGCAAGAAGAATTAGGTTTAGTTAGGTTGATAAGATCGGCTTTTAAACAGTTTGATGAACTCCCATTTAGACTTTATTAGAAGAGGAGCCTGAGTTACCCTCCCATGTTCACACTTGAGGGTCTTAATTCCCTGACATTTCCTTGGCATTAGAGACTGAGACTTAGACTTCACTGTCATTTGGGTCCTCCTAGAGACTGAACTAGAGCTTTTCATGAAGAGCTGGATGGTTTCTTTGCATGGTGATTATTTTCTTACATGAGTCTTTTGGAGAATGGTATGGATATGAATGACAGCGGGTAAGAACTGAGTCTGAAAAACTACAGTTCAAGGTATGGTTCTGCTGCTTTCTAGGTGCAAGAAGAAAGCTCTTAGATCTATATGAGCCCCTGGTTTTAAAATCTATAAAATAACAATGCTGCTCTCCTAAGTATGTATAATGATTAAACATTTACTGCTTGTTAGCTGCTGTAAAACAATTTTATAGCAAAAGTTCTCACTATTATTGGAAATCGATGAAAAGGTTTAGGGCTCTAGGGAGGCAGGGTTTTGAAAAAAATCTCTTCTCCCCCATGTTAATGTTGGGTGAGTTTGACTTAATTATTTTCTGTACACTTTCTCCTCCCCCAACCATTATCTTAATATTTATTCCCATTTTCTTATGGAATAAATAGGCATACTTTAATTCTGCAAGCCTCCGTTGTCCATAAGCACAGGAAATGAGGTGGGGATGGTGCTGTGTAAAATAATTTGGGAAGCAGTATGTCTGCACAAAACAGAATACCAGAGGTCTCTGATAAATTTCAGTTTTGGTGTCATCTAGATAGTTCAAAGCACATTTTTTTTCACTAAAATATCTGAAATCAAATACAGTAGAAACAGCACAGGGGGACAATACTAACATCTGTCTTCACATTATTAGGTTCATTTAATTTAACTCTCATCTCTTGATGATGATGGTAAGAGCCAGCATGCTAGGCGTTGTATTATGAGATAGAAAGTATTATCATGCTCTCTATAGGCAGTCACACTCCAGAGTCTCTACCTGAGATGTGTCTAGTACTATTGTTAGACTTGGAGATATAAAGGTGGATGAGATTTAGCCATTACCCACAAGGAGCTTACAGTCCCAGTGAGAAGTAGAATACAGGGGTGCAGATTCCTTTACTATGAGACTGTGTAGGAAATTGCTGCAGGAGTGATTCAAACACCAAGAACAGCAAACGGGAGCCTCAATCTTGTCTGTTTTGGAGATCCAGAAGGAGATAGCAATTGGAAAGGATTTTGGAGATTAGGTCATGTTTCCATTGCAGATGAGACTGAGGGATGATAAAAGAGGGATGGGCAGGAGTGAAAGAATGAAAAATAGCTGAGCTGAAAAAGGGTGATCCCAAAGGCTAGTGCAGTGTCGGCAAGGCCAAGGTTGGAGAACTTCAAGGTGGTTCAGGAGAGCCTGCAGCCTGTGCGTGCTGAAGAAGGGCATGAGGTTTGGGCTCGAATGACCTTGGAGAGGAATTCTCTAAGAATGGCCTAGGGAAGAAGCCAACACTGTATTTGACTGAGGAGATAGTGGAGACTGGGTGTTTAGTAGATTATTCCAAGAACTTTTTTGGTTAATTACAGGAGAAAAAGAAGTTGATTATTTAAAAGTTCATAATGGGTAAGTATACTTTTATTTGTAAGAAAGAAGAATTAATAGAGCAATAATAATGGAGAAATCAGAAGGGAGGCAAAAATGGAGAGAAGAGAGTTTTTCTGAGCCCTAGAAGAAGCTGGTAAGAGGTGTTTTATTATACTTTGCATGGGATTTGGATGTTAACTATAGACTGTATTGCAAAGGAAAATATATTATGGGACCAGGCATGGTGGCTCACACCTATAATTCCCGTGCTGTGGGAGGATCTCTTAAGGCCAGGAGTTCAAGACCAGCCTGGGCAACACAGCAAGACCCCATCTCTTAAAAAAAAATTAGCCAGGCATGGCGGTGCATGCCTGTAGTTACAGCTACTTAGGAGGCTGAAGTAGGAGAATAACTTGAGCCCAGGAGTTTGAGGCTTCAGTGAGCTATAACTGCACGACGGCACTGGCAACAGGAGTGACACCTAGTCTCTTAAAATACACACATACACACACTATACACACACACACACATATATACATACACACATATATCTACACGTATATACACATACGTATGTGCGTATATATATATACACATATGTCCATATATACACACACATATATATGTGTGTGTGTCCATATATATATACACACACACACATATATACATATTTATATGTATATGTATATATTTAGGACAGAAATGCTTGGTGATCCTCCATGTTCTTTCCCTTTAATACATGGCTCACTGCAATTTACAGGAGCCAAGTATAAAAAAAAAAAAGACTAACATGGTGTCCTCAGGCTTAATCCTGTACAATTGCCTTCTGCCTACTGATGTTTCGCTTTCCCCTAATTTCTCCTCGTTGGCTCTCCTTTGTCCATCCTACTTTCTTGATGCCTGCCACTCTGACCCCTGAATTGGTTGCTATTGGCTCCTAGCTTTTTTCTCTGTTCTCTTTGCATCCAAATCTAGACTGTTCAACTTTGGCTTGAAATGTAATGCAGATGAATCAATCTGTAATGCTCCCTTTTCTTGGTGAGGCCAGACTGTTGCTTCTTTATATCCTGTCCTCACAGTAGCTCCACTGTGCTTGGCCAGGTAGACGCCTTGGGACTGTTTCTGTGCTGTCCCAGTGGCATGTGAGGAACACAGCAAGGGATACAACAGGTGGAAACAAAAGGTCCAGGAAGAAGGAATAGAAATAATGAGGAAAGAATACAGTTGGAAGGACTGGCCTCAAATAGGGGAGAAACAGTTCATCTACAGAAACACAGCCCTTGGAAGCAGGGAAGGATGAAGATGCTGCAGGATGGAGAAGGGAAAAGTTAAGGAACTCCTAGCAGAGGGCCCAGGCAGGATAGAAGGCCCCCAGGGAGAACCAGATATGGGGGAAAAAGCAATGCAAATGAGAAGAAGCAGAGGCTATTCTGGGCTTTCTAGAACAAGGGTGGCAGCCATCATCACATGTGGCTGGTGAAGACTCAAAAGGAAGTAGGGGAATAGAAAACCCTTTATAGTGTTGGAAGGGGAGAGGAGAGGGAAGGGAGGAGGAGGATTCAGGTGTGACCTGACTTGAGGCTGTTGGCACAGGAAGCTGGAGGTGGCTAACCTAGAAGCCAGATGTCCTATGTGATCAGAGTCAGCTTTCACTGGTTGGTCCTGTGTTGGATGCAGGGGGCAACACTTGGGGAAGTTGGCAGTTGTTGATTAAGTACCAACCATTTGGGGCCGATGGCTGCAAAAGTTGTGGTTTCCTCGACTGGTTTCTGCAGGTGGTGGGTCAGTGTTCTATTTTTCTATATAGTCTGGACACTGTCCATTGAATGTTCAGCTTCCCATGGGCTAGAGTTACAATGGTTGTGTTCGCTGTATGTGTGTACTATATTTCTTAGGACATGCTTTGACTTGCGGCCTGGCCAGATTTGAGTTACAACAGAGCTCCGTGCGATTCCAGCTGGCAGTTTGCCAGTGTACTGTTTCCACAGACTTTCACACATCCTCCTTCAGTGACTTCTATACAGAAAACTGGAAACAATATTTTTATAGGTGTTAACTTTTCTGGAAACATTAAAAGTAACACTCAAAATGCTTTTCTTTTGTGTTTACTCAAATATAGTTCTCAACGCAGCTCTGGCTTTCAGAGAAGCCTAATTACTTTCATATACCATGAGAAGTCGATAGAGCATTGGGAAAAGTTATACCTATAAATTTATATTACTTGAGGGAGAATATTTGGTCTTAGAAATATTAATGCAGCCTCCCATCTCATAGGAATTAGTTTTTTTTGTGAAATAGAATTTGATTGACTTTCTGACCCACCAAGCATGTGGCAGGGGAGAAATGTTTTTCCACATTGGCTGTCTCTGAGTTCTTAATTCTAAAGATGTCAGCTTGGAGAAAGGGCAATTTGTTCCTAAAAGAGCTGTACCTGCATATCTGTCTGCTTTGTTCATAGGAGAGATCAATAGAATGGAGGAACAGATAGTCAGACATAGTGTCAGACAATTATTTGGAGGTGGCAGCCATTTGCAGTTAACATACGACTATAACATACTCCAAGAATATTTTCTTCTAAATCATTAAGCTAGTTATTATTTGCATTGAGCAGCAAAAGTTGAAAGTTGCCAATGTAGAAAGCTAAAATAGAGAACCCAGGGGCAGGGGGTGAAATCCTGGCTGTGAATGTTTTTCAACACTAATTTCAAGCCTGTTATTGTCCTGATAGAAACCCCAAATACCTTTCTTCAGTGATATGCATGCAAGTGTAAATTAATGTGCCAGAGAAAATTATTATAGAGAAGTGTCAGGTCACCTGGGCTAGTGCTATTCTTTGTAATATTATACAATATCAATCTACAGTAATACTTTTTTGCAGGCTAGTTGGAGGACAAAAAAGGATCTCCTGTCCTTATTCCTTATCAAAAGCAGTCTTGTATGTGGTGTTAAGGGTACAAAGTGAGAGAGTATAACTAAGTTTAACCAATAGAAGATTACATACTCAGAATGTATGTTCTAGTCAAAATGAAAGTGTGGGCTCTGCCCACTGAATGAAAGCCCACATTTTCCCCCTAGATGTTGGAGAAAGGTCTTCAGGATACCCAGCGATGGGCAGGCTTCTCTTTATGCCTGTCTGTGCCATCAATTTGAGGTCAAGCTTTGCTATTGCTGCTGTTGACTTCTTTCAAGCCAGGCACAGCCACTGGGACCTTTGCTATAACCATCAAGACAGTGCTATATCCCAGGCACAGGAACCCACTGTAAATCTTGCTAGATGAGGGGCTAGAAGAGAGGACAAGATCTCACGGAGGCTCTACTCACTCTCTCCAGACTCAGGCTACTTTCCTACTACCTCTGACGCTTACCTTTCTTGAATAATCCAGCTCTGTTTCTTCTGGGAGCCTGCACAACTGCCTAGAGGAAGGATTACATTTCTAACCTTCCTTGTTTCTAGGTGGGGTTGTATAATCAAATTCTGACAAGTGACAATGAGAAGTGATGGGCGCAACTTCTGGAACATGTCATTAAAGATTGGAAGCCTGCCCTGCCTCCATCCTGCTGCCCAGGCAGTGAATGGCATGGCTGGAATGCCATCTTGGGCTAGGAGAATAAGAACCATCACAGAGGTGGTAGAAGAGAATCTGAAAGCAGCCTGGGTTTTAGATGACCACGGTGCCAGTGGCCAGACAAGTTCTGGTCTGCTGGTCCTCAGACTTACATGAGCAAATTAGACCATGTCTGCTTAAGCCATTGTTATTTTTGTCTGTTGCAGATAGGTATACCTGATTTCTAACAAATAGACTAGATACATATTTTTTATTCGCATCTCCTTTAGTATTCTCAGTAAATTATCATGGTGTATCTATGATTTTATATATATATATATATAGAGAGAGAGTATATATAGTATATATATGGAATATATATAGTATATATATATATAGAGGTTACATATAGAGAATATATAGAGAGATAATATATATATAATAATATATATATTCTACCTAATTTTGATACAATGTGGAGTTCAAAATGTCTTAAGAATACATATAGCTTCTAATTTGATGATTATTTTGTTAAGATAAATCACTTTAACAGCTTTTCATTAAAGGGTAGTTTTGAAATCCGATTTTCTGTTTCTTTTTTCCCCACCTTAAATTCTGAAACACACTGGAAGCTGTTCTGACTGGCACATAGACCATGTAACCCAAATTAATCCCTGTTAATTCATTTTGGTATGGTCGGGGTAAATGCTCCCCGAACTCTCTCTTCTCCCAAAGCCACATGATTTGTGGGACTTTGGGAAGTGTGTACTGTAAGGTAGAGCCAGACAATTCTCCTCCAAATAGCCTAAGTTAGAGTGTGTCAAAACGGAATAATTTCTGTATGGAAAGCACCCTCTTCTGCCGTGTATTTGAACGAACAAACTAAAGAATGAATCTCAGAAGGCTCATTTCATTTTCCTCTCTGCCATTTTCATCTTGTTTCATAGTGTAACATATGGAAGAGCTACTAACTTTAGTCTTCCACGACATGGGGAGGGCCTGATGAATGTACCTGGATTTTGAATTGTTTTCCTATAAGGATTCAGCTTCATATGCTGGTTATTATGTGTGTGTTGGAATTTTATAGCAAGTGGATTTATACAGCCTAGTGGCTGTTTTTCCTTGTTGATATTCTTTGGGGACTTTGCTTGGAACTAGCTCCTGCTCTGGGGCTCCTTGCTGTCAAATAATGTAAACACCAAGGAAGGAAAATACGTCTCAGTCTGTTAAGTCCATCATCTTTCTCTAAGACTATCTCTCATTAGGTTTGGAAATTTTTGAGTAAAGAGAAGGTGGGCCTCCAAACTAGAGGGTCATGCTGTAGTTTAATGAGAGTGAGGGTTATTGGGAGGCAATTAGGGAGCAAAGTCTTCTAGGATCTGTTAAATGTCCACTTGGTTTTTCAGAGTTGGTGAAAATGTATTTGTAATGGAAAATATGTTTTAGTTTGTGGGGTGCTATGCTTTTCCTTTATTCTTATCAGTGGGCTTAGCTTTTCAGAAAGTTCTTTAGGGATTTTATGACATGAGAGCTGAACATATTCTAATCCTGGGCTGACTGTATTTCAGGTAGAAACGGTACTATTGCTGACTTTCATGGGGTTTAGGTGAACTTCTATGATTAAGCAATAGTATTTCCCTAATTCTGTCCATTTTTCCCCCCTGGATGAATCCTTCTTGGAAATCATATCAGTTTGCTTCCTCCTGGAAGCCTTCCCTGATTCCCTCAAGGCTTGATGAGGAGCCCTTTTTCTGTAATCCTGCCATAGCCTGTGCTCTGTCCCTTTGCGTTTAAGTCATCAGTTCAGTTGGCTGTGTCTTCCTAACTCGAGTGCAGGGTCTCTGCCTCATTCACACTTGGAGCTGTGGTGCAACATGTGAGTGTGGAGTAAATATGCGTTGAATTAATGTATTTTTCTAGATGGACTTATTTTACTAATGGAATAAGATTTTTTAGGCATGCACACAGAAGTTGCAAAATAAATATTTGTTGATTGGCTTTCCAGTGCTTAAGTAATTCCCCGCTGCAAGGCAGCCACCTCTAAAACTCATTAATGGTTTTGGATATTATTTATAACATTAAAACAGTTTTCTGAAAGTGCATATATATTATGCCCTGTTTCCTCCTAAGTGCATGGACTCTATGAAAAATAAACAATACATCAATAACATCCTAAGAATTACTGGAAGAAACAGCATGTTGTCTGTTATTCTCTGGGGGTGGAGTGTAAAAGTGGTGGGCAAGGAGGGGTTCTAGTTTGCTGCTGTGGCGATTAGTAACAGCATTTGTAGTATGAATTTTGATTAACTTTTGAATCCATGAAGCAGACCACTGAGTCTGTGAGTAGATGTCATTTGAATTAGATCTTTGATGTCCGCCAAGGTGGTCTGATCTGAAGCGTTCCACAGAGTTCCTCCCTTCTTGCAGACTTGAGCAAGAAAAATTTGGTTCATAATATTTAAAAAAATTTCTAATTGAATTACAATTTTAAATCGTTAACTTATTAGAGAAAAATTATTTTGCAATTTATTTTTAAAACTTGGAAGAGTAAAATTAAAAGAGGACTCCTTCCAGCAGTCTTGTAGATGTGTCCTCTCTTGGAGGCATCACTGTTCACCTGTGTTAGCAGGCCCAGAAACTAAAGTTTGTAAATTTACCCAGAGTTGAAGAGGGTCAAGGCCACAGATTCATACTTACCTAATGCATAAGAAGATGATAAATTAGAATGCCAATGTATTCATTCTCCAGGAGAAATATAGCTGCCAAGTTACATTCATGTTTGCTGGTCAGCACTTTCTCCAGTAAGAAGTCGAAGTGGCAAATTAAATCACAATCAAAAATATACTGCTTTGGTGAAGGTGTGGGGGAAACAAGTAGTATCATATACTATTAATAGAAGTTTAAATTGCTACAACTTCCTGGGAGGGAAAATTTGGCAATATCTCAAAAGTGCCTGTATCCTTTGCCCTTGCCATTTTGCTTCCACAGAGTTATCTTAAAAATATATCCCCCGACGTGGACAAAGCCATATGAAGAAGAGTGTTCCTTATAGCATCATTTCTATTAGCAAAGGATTAGAAAAAGTCTAAATGTTTATTAAAGTGAACTGGTCAAATACATGGACTGTGATGATGTTCAAAAGAACGATGTAAATGTGTATGTACTGTGGAGAATGGCCTCCAGGATATGTTATTCTGGGAAAAGTGAAGGAGAGAACTGTGTGTATAATGGGCTTCCTCCCTTTGTATTAACAGGGAGGAGTTCACACAAATACAAGTGATTGGTTCTACAAAGTGTGTTTCTGAAGTGCCAGAAAGAAGTGGTTGGGCCTGGAAGGAAAACTCACTTTTCACTCCACGTGCTTTGCATCTGTTTGAATGTGTTGCCCTGTGCTTATTACCTTGTGCTTACATTGGGTTATACTTTTTCTCTCTCTATATAAAAAGGTTAATTTGACATTCAAATAGTTTCTCTATTTAAATCTAAAATTAGCACCAAGGAAGGTGGTCTTGTTACATAACCCTGTTGCTGAGTCACCTGTGACTCCAACGGGTGAGTCACCTGCCCGGTAGAACCCATAGGCTCCAACGAGGAGTCTTTCTCAGGAGAATGTCTTTATTCTTTCCTGGACTCATGCAGTCATTGTCTCACATATGTGTCATCATCATATTTATGACCAATTTTTCCTGGAGCTAAATGCTGAATTCTTAAACTTGGGAAACTTCTGACTTCCATAAGCAACACATATACAAGTCACTTCTTAGGGTAAGGTGAATCTGGTGTAAATTACAATCACCAGGACAGGCATGATGGCTCACACCTGTAATCCCAACACTTTGGGAAGCTGAGGCCAAGAGGATCACTTGAGCTTGAGAGGTTGAGGCTGTAGTGAGCCATGATCATGCTACCGCACTCCAGCCTAGGCAACAGAGCAAGACCCTGTCTCAAAAATAAATGAATTAAAAAAATTATAGTCACGAGAGGAGTGTGTGCAAATGCAGTCTTGGATCCCACCCCAGAGGTTCTGAATCAGTTGGTCTGGAGTGGGCTCAGGGACCCCCAGCCTGAGAAGATTCTAATGCAGATGATCTCTATACCCTTCCTTCCCTCCTTCCATTCCTCTCTCCCTCCTTCGATTCTTTTTCTCCCTTTCTCCTTCCCCTCTCTTTCTCCTTCCCCTCTTTATTTTCTTCTCTTCCTTTGAGAATTTTAGAGAGTGGCATTTTTCACATTCCGTACTTAGATTTCAGTCATTTGACTGTTTGTTCTTCCTTTATTGAAGATATATATTTTAAAGAAATCAGTAAATTGTTAGTAACTTCATTTGTTCTGTGTCAGTTGATCTTTAGTGGATATAGGGAGAAAAGAAAATGAAAATATGATCAAGTTCAGCTGCCTTAAGGGCTGAGAGAATGGCCCTTCCAAGTGCTCAGCTTGTAATGAGACCCAGATTATTATGCATAATCATCTCAGCCTAAATCCTTCTTGGTCCACGTGAATGATGGAAGATGGTAATTTGTCTCTAAGAGCAAGGAAGAAAGAACATTTGAGTTAAGTTATGGACAGCTGACCTTTGTTTTTAATCACAACTGCTTTTAAATGGTAATAGCTAGGGAAAAGGCATGACAGAAGAGTGGTGGAAGGGAAAAAAAAAAGGAGAAGGGGCATTGCATGATCTTTGGAGTCAGGCAGACTTGCCTCCTGATACAGATTCTACCCCAGCCAGGCTGTGTGATCTTTGACATGAGACGGAACTTCTCTGTGCCAAGTCTGTGAAATCAGGATAATAAGACAACCGATGTTACCATGGTCAGAGGATAAAATAAAAATATAGGCATACAGCCTAGCATAGTGCCTGGCATTAGCAGAAGCTCAATAAATAGTGGTTAATTATATTAATAAAGCAGCAGGTAATGGAGGTAGAAATAACTACATGGGCTTGTTAGTGGAACTGCGTGGCTTCTAAGGGCCTTCATCCTCACTGTCAGGTTTTACGCCTCAACTGTAGGGACAAAAGACATTTCTCTAAATTCCTTTCTTTATCCCGGTGAATATCAGGTGATTACTTTTTTCTCTTTTTGAGTTTTTTTTAAATTTTATTTTAAGTTCCAGCATACAAGTAAAGAACAAGCAGGTTTGTTACATGTTACATATGTGTGCCATGGTGGTTTACTGAACCTACCAACCCATCATCTAGGTTTTAAGCCCTGCATATATTAGCTATTTGTCCTAATGCTCTCTCTTCCCTTGCTCCCCACCCGCCAACTGGCCCCAGTGTGTGATGTTCCCCTCCCAGTGTTCATGTGTTCTCATTGTTCAGCTCCCACTTATGAGTGAGAACATGTCGTGTCTGGTTTTCTGTTCCTGTGTTAGTTTGCTGAAGATGATGGTTTCCAGCTTCATCCACGTCCCTGCAAATGACATTATCTCATTCCTTTTTTGGCTGCATAGTATTCCGTGGTGTATATATACTACTTTTTCTTTATCTAGTCTGTTATTGATGGGCATTTGGGTTGGTTCCATGATTACTTTTCTGATAGAGAGCTTAGATGGAAGGAAATAATTTTTTAATAAATTTGTAATCCTAGGCAGGATGTTTGAATTTTTTAAAATTTTTATTTTAGGTTCAGGGGTACAGGTGCAGGTTTGTTACATAGGTAAACTCATGTCATGTGGGTTTATTGTACAGTTTATTTCATCACCCAGGTACTAGGCATAGTACCTAATAGTTATTTTTTTTGCTCCTCTTTCTCCTCCAACCCTCTGCCCTCAAGCAGGTCCCATTGTCTATTGTTCGCCTCTTTGTATCCATGAGTTTTCATCATTTAGCACCTAGTTATGAGTAAGCTCATGCAGTATTTGGTTTTCTGTTCTTGCTTTGGTTTTCTAAGTATAATGGCCTCCAGCTCTATCCACATTTCTGCAAAAGACGTGATCTTGTTCTTTTTTTATGGCTGCATAGTATTCCATGGTGTATATATACAACATTTTCTTTATTCAGTCTATCATTGCTGGGCATTTAGGTTGATTCCATGTCTTTGCTTTTGTGAATAGTGCTGCAGTGAACATACTTGTGCATGTGTCTTTATGGTAGAATGATTTATATTTCTCTGGGTTTATATCCAGTAAGGGGATTTCTGGGTTGAATGATAGTTCTGTTTTTACCTCTTTGAATTTCTAAAGTCTCCAGCTGACACTTCTTTGCTGAAGGTGAAGCTCAGGTTTTTGTTGTTGTTTTTATCTCTAACTTTAAACTTTGCTGGATAAGAGCACATCTGTCTATTTTGATGAGTCAATGATCAAGTCATGGAAACTATCAAATAGACTGGGGGGAGGTTATTTCACAGGATTGCTGTCCTCCTACCCTGCTTACCTTTATTTATTCATTTTGACAGGATCTGGAAATAGATGTAAAAGAACTCAGCAGTTTCTATTGCTCATTTTACTGCAGCCAGTGTGCTCATGTGAGAGGGATCTCAGATGATTTCCCCCTTTCTCTGTGGTTCCACTTTTGGTGCCTATATGCAAATCTCAGCTGTGTCTTATAAACCAGCATTCTTGAAAGTGTGCTTCGTGGGATACTAGTCCAATGAGATTCTCCATGAGAAGAAAATTCTTTTGTTTTAAAATGTATGGATAATACTGTATGTTCTAATGCCCTACTTGGAGAGTTCTGATGTACATTAATATACTAAGGGCTCTGAGAAGTCCCCAAGGAGTGAAAACCCACATCTCCCAAATTTATCCAAATCTGGAATTAAAAAAAATAGTAAAACAACTGTAATAATGCCTATAATAGTGTTTCACAGAACCCACTTTGGGAAATATATTTTCATTGACAATGAAAGGGTCCTAGGTAATTGATTCTGTCCTATGACTTATGAACAGATCAAGAAGGAAAAATAGATGACCGGAAGGTGTGTTTCAAAAAGAAACTGGAGTTAGAATTTACATAGTGAAATGTTAACTTTATGTTGAGTTGTGCCTTTGGGTACCAAGCCTGGTTGAATTGGTAGGTCCACTCTGTTGACTCAGTATTGATAGGTCTTTCTTGCTTTCACTGCAAGATTTTTTAAGTCTTGGAATTTCATTAAATATTTTGTTGCAGAATGTGTAACAAGCTTTGGATCTGAATGAAAAATAACATCATGTGAGTCTATGAATAAATAATTGAAATTGTCTATGAATAACTTAAGGGTGACTACCACTACAGCTTTACAATGTAAAGAGTTTCAGTAAACTCTAACAAAATGCACCTGTGTCTGACTCCAAAAATTGCTTTCTGAAGATTGTAGAGGTAGATTTATTTGAATCTACGTATCTCTGATTACGCATGAATGTGTTGTATCGTTTCAGGAGCATTCAAGTCCTGGATATCCTTTTCTAAAGCTTAGAAATTTTCAGAATTAGTTATAGGCCACTCAGCTTCAGCTTACTCTCACATGAACTATTGTCATATTTATTGACAAATAGGGAGGGATATAATCCCTTTTTAGATATTCCAGCTCACCTAGTAGCTATAAATGTTCTCTTTTATTTTCTAATCTTGCAGAAGTAGAGGGAAAGGATTGTATTAAAATAGTTTTGTTGATGCCTGAAGTGATGCAAAACTAAGATGAAGGCAGCAAATGCAGAAAAAATAAATTCAAAATGATTTGTTTAGATTAGGTTTATGGGCTCATGTAGTTTAGTGGAGTGAGACCAGGAACCAGAAATAATCAGAGAGCCTCTTGCTTAAAAACAAATAATATATAGTTCAGGAACATTAGAACATTGCTAGATATTACATTGTAAGGATCTTCATTCAGTAGTAGCAAAAATAAAAAAGGGAATAGGCTCATGGATAATTAGCATGATGCAGAAGTGAAAATGGCACCTCTTGGATCACAGTTGTACAATGCAGTGCAGGACTTTGTAACTTCTTTCCTTTTGTCCATGTTAGATGAACACATAAAATTACAGAAGATAATTGAAGATAAAAGATTCTGATAAATTTCTGATCCTATGCAAAAATGATTGAACTCCTTAGTCTCCAGTTGACCATATTTAATATAAAAGGGGAATGCATTTGGGATTCCAAAGGGAGTAGTAACTCAAGGATGATCTAAAATGGTGATTAATCCTAAATACATTTGTTTATTACTTGGGGAAATTCTTTCCTTTCCCTGAACCCACAGTTACTGCCACCGCCACCGCAGCTCACAAGGGTTGTATGTGTGTATGTGTAAAACAGATCTAAGAGGAGTTTGTCTGTTGGAAAGGGGTAATGGATAGAGGTATGCTGGCCAATGTTTAACAATTGCTCTCAGAGGGGAAAAAAAGCCTAATTTGTAACACTTGTGAATACACATTTCTGAATTTCTGTGGTGCTGATGCTCCCACCATGGCCAATTTCAGGTTATCAACTCATGTCAACTGGCTCACAAAATGCTGAAAAATATAATGAGTTCTTCTATGAGCTGATAGGAGATGGCTCTAGCACACCCCTGCTAAGAGCTTTCTTAGGTCCTGGTCATTCTGTGGAGCTATTTTCTCTAAGGAACTGTACCTATACCTGTATCTGCAGCTGTGAGGAGCTTGGAGGCTCTGGAGAATGCCTTTGGGAAATGACAGCCCTCTGTGACCTTCTGGATCATTTTCAGATTCCAGATTCTGTAATATTTCCCCAAGAAGAATATTTCCCAGAGTGCTGATGTGATTTAACTGGGATACTTTTACTACTGAGAGAATTTGTATACAATAGCAAAAAGTGGTTTGGGGGAAGGCAGCTGATTCTGAAATACTAGCTGATGGTATCTGGGGATACATTTGCTCTTTGAGCATGGAGCCATTGCTAGATATCTTTGTGACAAGACCTTTGCGTTATGGCAAATGAATACAGGACACCTTATTCAGGACGGGGATTGGCAAATTACCACCTGCCCACTGAATCCAGGCCACAGCATGTTTTTATGTGGCTCATAAGCTAAAGATAACTTTTACATTTTTGAATGGTTGAAAAAGAATAGAAAGAAGAATAATAATTGGTGACACATGAAAATGATGTGAAACTCAAGTTTTAGTGACCATAAATAAAGTTTTATTGGAATCCAGTCTTGCCCTTTTTGTTCATATCGTCTGTCATCTATATCCTCACATCATCTCTGGCTGCTTTCATGCTACACTGGCAGAATTGAGTAGTTGCAGCCAAGACCGTGGGGCCTGAAGAACCTGAAATATTTACTATCCAGCTCTTTACAGAAAACGTTTGACAACCCCTGATCTAGGAAATAAGTCTCTGAGGAATATGACCAGCTAGTCCAAGGTTCTGTACAGCGGCTGAAGACATAGCAATGGGAATGCCAAATTTATTTTTAATGGATTGGAAAGGGTTTGCATAAGAAATGAAGAGGAACCAAAAACAGTTTGTGAAAACTGTTAAAATATAAAACCAGTAAGGAGAATAAGGAATTTCTCATTCTGCCCGAATCACCTCCTTTCAGTTTCTTTCATTACCTAATGCTGTGTAAAGAGAGTTTTTTCCTCCTGTTTTCTTGTGTTGACATGTTCTGATTTAGACGCTTGTCTTACGCATAGGGACCATGTTGCTTCTCACTCAAGCAGTAAAGCGGTATCATTGGTGATTGCAAGGGCTGGTTTTGAAGTCAGGCAGATAGGGTTCAAGTCCTAGCTCAGCTACTTTTTTGATATGTGGTATTGGACACATTTCTTTGAACACTTCTCAGCTTTAGTTTTCTTACCTATAAAATATAGATTTGTTCTGAGAATCAAGTAGGATATTTAAATTGCTTAGTACAGGATCTGACACACAGTAAACCTATAATAAATGCTACTTTCTATTTGTTGTTGTTATGTTTGTACACCCCAGGGTCTTCCATATGTGGATGTGTTTATCTTTTGGGTTAAGCTTTTATCCTTTTAGTTTTAGCAGACAGAAATAAACCTTTAATTTGGCAGTATCTTCACATAGAATACACATTTTTTTTTATCCCAAATACTCCATCTCCCAGAAATTGTCTTGAAATGAAACCCATGTGAATGCCACAGTCTTAGTCAATATTTTAAACTTTGGTCTGTTAAGAAGGTTGTATCCGCATTCATTTCTTCCCAAGAGGAGACTGCCCTCCAGTGGAAATAATTCTGGTAAGGGGAGAAAATGATTTTCGTAGTTCAGACTATCTACAAATGTTTTATAAAATTTTCTGTTAAAATAGACTTACTTATGAAATTTAAGCTTAACTTCAAGGGAGAAAGTCTTTGCTGCTCTCTGAATGCCACCAGTCTGCTCTGACGAGGGCATTCATCAATTAGACATTCATGCCTTTAATGACTAGTCGCCCCCCACATGGGACAGGTATGCCTATATTCAAATGATTCTCAACCTTGGTTATACATTTAAAAACTAAGAAGCTTAAAAATATCCTGATGTCTCGGTTGCACCCCAGTCCAAATAAATCAGAATCTCTAGGGGATCTAGGCATCAGTATTTTTTAAGTCCCCTCTACACACTTGATTCCAAAGTGCAGCCTCCAGCCAAGGTTGAGAATCACTGCTTCAGACCCTTAGGTTTTGAAGCACACTTTTGTTTTTTTAAACAAAGTAAAGCAAAAATCCTGCCCTCACATTGCAATGGTGTTTGCTCTTCTTAAGTGTGCATCGGTGCAGCATCCACTGTCACCTGCTTATATTGAAATCTCATCTCCAGGGAAATTTACTGATCCAATCTTATTTCATTTGCTTGCTAATAAAGAACTTTTAGGTAGTAAAAGAGTATGATGAAAAAAGAATCTTTGATACTTCTCCCACTGTAAATCCCACTGATGGATTCTGTTTGGGACCAATAATCACTTGGACTTTGATAACCTCATCACTAAACTCTGCAGAAACATTTGAGTTTACCTGTCAAAAATGCATTTACATAGGATGAATTTATAAAAGAATATTTTTATATATTTACTCTTAGCCTTATGCATATACATGTTGCTTTTATTAGCCTACTGTTCTTTGTGTTTAGTTCATTATAGATATGAATCTAATGTTTTACTTAATAGGAATCACTATGGTTTTACCGAGATTGAGACAGTGGAAGGATAATTAATTTTGTTATCTGTAAAACAAAAATATTACCTACCTCCTAGAGTTCTTAAGAAAAGTAGAGGAGATAATATGTACAAAACAGCCTAGTGGCTGGCACTAAGTAAGCAGTCTAATGTTGTTACAGTATCAAGACAGCATATGATAGAGGTCAAGAGCAAGGTACTAGAATTAAGTTCTCTAGGTTCATCTCTCATCTAGACTACTTGTCAGCTCTGTGATGTTAGACAAATTACTTACCCTCTTTAAATCTCCATTTTCTTACCTGAAAACTTCTAACTACCTTTTGTGGGGGAGGATGAGAATTACGTATTTAATGTGCTTGTCAGTATTCTTGGCATATGTAAGCACCTTTTCACATACATAAAGTAGAAATAATGTGTGTGCGAGTGAGCAAGAGAGAATGAGAGGTTGAGATTCCATATTCATTCAGAGCTGCAAGGGACTTTGCCTTGCTTCTTGTGTACTCTCTAACTCCGCAGCATCAGCACCACCTGGAATCCTATTAGAACTATGCAATCTCAGCCACCGCCCCAGACTTAATCAGAATCTGCATTTTAAAAGCTTCCTGGTGATAGATGCACATTTGAGCAGCCCTGTTCTAATCTACAATTGCCAAGTACAGGACAAAATTGCTACCACTTCGCTGTCATACACCCTTGGCAGGCATCACTCATCAATCATGGCACTCCATCCCACCAGCGTCCTGCCTAATTACTCCAGACAGCCTCAACTAATTGATAGGAATTGTCATGAGAGGTGAAACCTGTAATGGAAGAAACTTTTGTAAGGAAGAAGTGACTTACCTGAGTGACAAAGGCAGTGCATTGCCAAGACAGTACTCAAACTTGGGATTTTTAATCCCCAGTTCAGTGATGCTGTACATTATTTTATATTGCCTTCAAATTCCATTCAGCAGCACACAACTATTGTATAGCTGGCTTTGTGCTACAACCAGAAGGTGCAAAAAGGAAATTAATATTAACCATACAGATAAAATGAGATGAAATATTAAAATGGAAGTTGAAATAGGTTTAAATCAGCTAAAGATGTTACTGGGATTAAAACTCAAAGTCTAGTAGTAATTCCTATCATCATAATTTAGGTATTGTGATTTTAAAAAATCAGGGATGATTGAAAAAGAGATTATTCATTAATTTCACTGAACTCCAAAATTTGTTTAAATTTTTTGTTCACTTAAGCATTTTTTCTTTAACAGGGCATGTAGTACTTGGGAGTGAAGTTGTCATTAACGTGACCACTGAATCCATTAGACAACATTCCACAAAAACTAATTTTGAATAGGACACAAATTGTAGACATTTATACACTGTATTTGCCTCTTTCTATAGGTTTTGCTTGAAATTTTAAATTTTAGAGTTGGAACGAGCCTCAGGATAGCATATGATACAGTTTTTGTCTCTTGGGAAGGGAGAAGGAATTTTATTCATCACCAATGAGAGATGTGCAGACATGAAAAACACCATCCTAGTATCTCTGAAATTTATCTTAAGCATCACGTCTGCTATTGCACGGAGGCTGCTAGACATTTTCTGACTCATTACTCAAATGACTCATGCTCCATTTAGTGTGGTGGGAATACATGGAGAAGTGGCCAGATCCAACTGAGTAAGTAAGCAACTGGCCAGAGTTCCCTGCATTTTGTTACCTGGGCTGTTAATTTGCTAGAAACCTCGAGACATTAACGTTCCTCTGAAGTATCTGCTGACATAGAAAGCCTCTTTCTCCACTCAGGAGAATATGCCAACATTTTCCCTTCTCAAATTGAAACAGGAGATTTCCAATTGTAACATCTCAAATTTATCTCAAACTGTAGTAATAGTTTAGCTAATGTAAGACAGACTGTAATTTATAAGCATGTATATATTTATATGTGTGTGTATATATAGGTATATATGTGTATATGTATAGACATGTGTTTATATATTCACATAGTGTTATTTTAACCATACTCATGTTAAGCATTATAGTTTGTCAACATACATATTAACTTGCCAGGGCACTAACTAAGTCAACATACACTTTATTTTTATGATCAAGAAATGTTCACATACAGTCATGCACCACATAATGACATTTTGATCAGTGGTAGAGTACACATACAACTGAGGTTTCATAAGATTATAATATATTTTTACTGTACCTTTTCTATATTTAGATACACAAATATACTTGTGTTACAGTTATCTACAGTATTCAGTATGTTAACATGCAGTAAAGAATTGTTGCCTAAAAGCAATAGGTTACAGCATATAGCATATAGCGTATAGCCTATGTGTATAGTGGGCTATACCTATCTAGGTTTGTGTAAGTGCACTCTTATGATGTTTGTGCTATGACAAAATTGCCTAATGATGCATTTCTCAGAACTTCTCATTGTTAAGCAATGCATGACTGTACAGGTATGCTTGCTCCTCTACTACTTACAAGTGATGGGTGAAAGGACAATTTGCAGGTGCATGGAAACCAGAACCAAGGAGCTATAACAGCATTTCTTGAGATAACATTGAAGATCAGATTGTAAAATTCCCTTTTTCTTGTGAGTGTTTACTTTCTTTGCCTGTAATTAATGTCCAAAGACATGGTATATAAAAGAAGACATCTAGAAAATGTTTCCTAGGAATTAGCTATCTGTAATAGTAAAAGAATAAAATTGGGAAATGTACCTATATAAATATAGGCACATATACACTAATTTTTGTGGCTTTCTTTAGCTGTGGTGGTGAATACTCCCTTCAAAAATGTTTCATTTATTTTAGAATATTAACATTAGGATCAGCAATACCCATTTTCTCCTTAGAGATGGCTATTTTGTTTTATGTGAACGTTTGAACTTGTTTTCTTTTAAATTATTCTTTAAATGTCCTCCTCATGACAAAACCTTGTGCCACATATGATATAAGCTGAATTGGTTAATTTCTAGCAAATGAAAATATGCAGGTACTTTATAAGAATAAGATCTTGTTTCCCATGATAAACTATAGGTTGAATAACCAAAGGCAGATGATGTGAATATTTATCGTGTGTGTGTGTGTGTGTGTGTGTGTGTGTGTGTGTTTTGTAGATGGAGTCATGCTCTTTCGCCCAGGCCAGAGTGCAGTGGTGAGATCTCGGCTCACTGCAACCTCTGCCTCCCAGGTTCAAGTGATTCTCCTGCGTCAGCCTCCTGAGTAGCTGGGACTACAAGTGCACACCACCATACTCAGCTAATTTTTGTATTTTTAGTAGAGACAGGGATTCACCATGTTGGCCAGGATGGTCTCAATATCTTGACCTTGTGATCCACCCACCTCGGCCTCCCAAAGTGCTGGGATTACAGGTGTGAGCCACCACACTGGGCACTAAAGTGTGCACTTTTAAAAGATTGTAGTTCTCCATCCCTTTCTGTATTTAAATGTCTGTTCCTTGTGCTGTGGTTTAGAAACAGATTTCGGAAGACAAGTTGATGATTTTTAATCATGTTATCCCTTTGGTACATGATGCTGGGCTGGAGCTACACAAAGTGAGTGAAACACACTTAGTCTTAGGGCTTTAGGAACTTAAAGTGATCCCTTAGCCTTTTGAAGAGCGTGCTATGAAATTTGAGTCACCTGGAATTGTCTAAGCAACTTAATTATTGTTAGCTAATATTAGAAAAGGGGAAGCAGAAGATTGAAGTTTGTTTTTGTAACAGCCAATGAGGCATCTAATGATTCAAATGTCGCTCTTAAAGCTAACTTCCTTAAGACAGAGCATCTCATTTTCATAAATGTCCTGAGGCAGCCGAACGGTTGTATATATTCATTTAATAGAAATAAAAAAGACTTCCAACCAAATTTCAGTAATCAGGAAAGCCTCTTAGCACTGATGTCTTCTCAGTGTGCAAACAATTTTTTAAGAATACCCTGAGGTGAACTCTGCAACCTTTTTCTTACAAAATATACACTTTTGGGATTATTTGAAAGTGGACTCTGCCATCAAATTAAATGAACCATTGACTACGTTTTCGTTAAGAGGTCTATTACCAGCTTCCTTATTTAGTGTACTTTTATTAAAATACTATTGCACTTTACATCTGAATCCTCATAATTCAGATATTTAATGGACAGTCATAGGGTATTAAATTGTCCCTGTTATTTTTGACCCAAAAGAGAGCATGGGGCACCTAATGTAAGGGGCTAAATTAAGGAGAGAGGAATCTGGTTAGCTTCTAGACATTTGGAAAGCCTATGTTCTTGGTCCCTCAAATTGCTGCTGAAAGGCAGCTTCAGAATTTGGTATGTGAGAGCTTGTTCCCTGAACTAGCTCAGTGTTAATTTGGGAGGGCCAGAACCATGTAGTACCAAACCTCATGTTTATGATAGGTTAAAACCAAAAAGGTACCTGTTGATCAATGAGGGGTGTTATATTTTTAATCAGTGTCCTCCTTTTTATTTATTTGAAAAACAGCATACAATTTTTTTCCATAATTAGATCTCTATTTTAAGGTGATGATCGACAAGTTGAATATTGAATTATCTATATCACTGGATGAGACCTGTGTGTGTGTGTGTGTGTGTGTGTGTGTGTATGCAAATGGATGCAAATATGTAATTAGACCCAGAAGCTATGGGAAATGAGAAGCATGTGGATTTTCAAACTTTCCAAAGTGCCTAGTAAAATGTATATTAATAAAGTGGGCTTTAGGGGGATAGGTTTTCATCCACCACCCTGTCTGTTACATGGAAAGCACTTTTCCCATTACTTTTCTATTTTAAATCTATTCCCCTGCCCCGGCTGATTGTACCTTTCTGAAATGTGCCAGGCAGAGAATCTCACATCTCCTTTTAGCTTGGAAATAATAACATCTTCACATTTTCACGGTCTGTTCTGAAATAGGAACTTTTCATTTATGCTTCACTCCCAATTGAAATAAATTGATTAACGTCATGGAATTGTGTTTCACCACAGACCTTTCGAAACAAAAAGTTGCTTTTCTGATGTGGTAAGGGAACGGATTGTCCCAGATTTTTTTATGCTCCAAGGACTCGGGGCAAAGAAACTGTTTTATCATTACGTGTTATTGAATCCTAAAGAATTTTCAGGTTGCATTTCTTTCCTTTTGCTTGTGTTTTTCCCTGGAGCATTTGCAGACACCATACCCTTGGTGTTTATTAAACTCAGAGCTCTCTCTGGGACCCCTCTTCTGTGCTTCCTGACGTTTCTCTCATATTTTCCACCTCCTTATCTTTTTGTCCTAGGAAATGTTTGGTGCCTTGCCTTCCATTTCTTGTATTTTTTAAAAAAATTTTACCAATCATATTCTTAATTTCCAATGACGCTCTTGCCTCTTAAACTGATTTTTTCCTTTTTTATACAGCCTTGTGTTGGGTAATCTTTGTTTTGCCTGAGGTTCAACTTCTACCCGTCTCTGTCTTGCGTCTCCTGGACTTCCTCCCTGGTGTTTGCTCAATGGGAGGCATTAGTGTAAGTTTACAGGGTGTGAAGAGAAGGAGGTGAGTATACTCATTCCCTCCTTTATTTGCCAGACGATAGTAACTGTGTCCTTCTGCAACTACATCTCCCACCAGTCATCTTGGCCTCCGTGACTGTGGCTGCCAGTGGCTTTGAGTAATGCTGTTTTGCCCTTGTCCTTTCAGCAGTTGTGGTAGTCATGGCTTCCTCCCGTTGCTAGTCTTTGGTGTCCCGGCATCCCTCATTGTTCCTTTGCACTGCTCATACTTTCATTCACAACTCTTCATGTGAACCGTAAGGCATAAAATTCTATTTTCTGATGAACAAACAACCTGTTCTTAACTTATAGGAGCAGTATGTTCTTGCATCTCTCCAAGAACTGGAACTTATGTTTGTAAGTTCTCTTCTGACCTGTGAATTCTGTCTCCGATGCCAGTTGCTCTCTATAAACTTTATTCCTTACATTTTATACTGTGGTCTTCTTAATTCTTTCATTCTTTTAAATGAAAATCTTATTTGATTAAAATAACTATTAAGGGTTTCCTCTGCTATTGTGTAAGCCTGTTTCTACAGTTTCCATTGGGTCTCCCTTCCATGAGTTCCAGTCCACTACAGTCCTTCTGGACATTCCAACCAGGTAAATATTCTTTGTGTACCCATCTCTAATGTTTAGACAAAAGAAAAAAATGGAATTGTTTGTTTGATACTAAAAGTCTTCCAGTATCTGGAGCTCAGCTTACATTTCTAATTCCTTAATCTCAGCACACTTTGGAACTAGACATCCCTTCCGACATACCTTTCTCAGCCCTGTTTTTGCACCTGTGTCTATTTGATACCTACTCATGTTTCTTACTAGCTTGCTATCAACCTACTCAGCCAAGTCCAACAGTCGCTTTCTTTTTCCTTTTTATTCTGACCCTTATTACTTACTGCCTTGCCTCATGTCTCACTGTATGCCTTGTCTTACCTGCCAGAAGGAAAACTCTTTGGAGACTGATTTTAAAAATGTTTATTCTTCCTTTATTCTTTACTCCACTTTTGCCTATCATCTCTATTCTTGGGCCCATAAAGATGTGACAGGCACAAACGATGTTCCCAACCTCAAGAAGCTCAGAGTCAACTGGAGAGACAAGCATATAAATAAGGGGAACACAGTGTGCAAAGGGCTATGATAAAACATGGGGGGTGGGGGGCAACAACTAATTCTGTCAGGAAGGAGGAGGGAAGTCTGGGAAGGCTGGGATCGTCTGCACTAAATTTTCTTACCCTGGCAAGCGGAAGGACTGAAAGGAGATGAGCAGGGAGCACTCTATAAATATGAGTCGACTGATGGAGCTTTGTTTTTAACTCAGGAATGAAGGGGTACAGGGACACACTCAAGCCCTTTGTTTCAAAGTGTTACGTTGGACCATGATGTAGTCAATGTAAAGATGTGTTTACACAACTTTACAATCCTGAAGTTGCAGCCATTCCCAGCCTGGGATTCTTGAGGGATTAGGAGGGGGCTATAGAATGCGTGAGTGCTCCACAATATATCCCTTTCAGTTGGGGCTGAAGGCTCGTCTAAGCTCGTAGTGCCTGCCTCAACTGTGCCCCATCACCAGGTACCACACTGATTTAAGCTGATACAGCAACAGTTGGCATTACTCTGAGCTATGCTCACAATCATCAGGAAGAGCTAAGGTTAAAAAAAAAAAAAAGGAGTTGGAGAAGGAGATACAAGGATGCTGGGGACAATTTGTGAGCTAAATTGCAGGCTTAAGTGGTTTCCACTGGAGTTGCTTTTCTTGTTCTTCAAGAAAAGGCAGAAAGTGAGAAAGAAGTCAGGATAAAAGGAGAGGGCTCACAGTGTCTTGAAAAGCTTCCAAACTCCTGGCTCTTTGTAGCTCCCATAGCTGCTGGGATCATTGTTTAAATCGGAAAGTAGAACACAATAGTCAGAAGTACATAATACTAACCAGACGTGGTGGCTCCCGTCTGTAATGCCAGCACTTTGGGAGGCTGAGGCGGGTGGATCGCTTGAGGTCAGGAGTTCAAGACCAGCCTGGCCAACATGGTGAAATGCTGTCTCTACTAAAAGTACAAAAATTATCCAGGTGTGGTGGTGCTTGCCTGTAATTCCAGCTACTCAGGAGGCTGAGGCAGGATAATCACTTGAACCTGGGAGGCAGAGGTTATAGTGAGCTGAGATCACGTCACTGCGCCCCAGCCTGGGTGACAGAGCAAGACTCCATCTCGAAAAATAAAAAAAAAAAGTACACAAGACATAAATGAACGCAGAATGAATGATCACCAATAGCAGACTCTTTCGTTTTCTCTGTAGAGGAAGAAATGTCAGAATCCAAATGATGACAGTCATTTGACTCATCACTCTCACCCAGCCTTGAACGGAGGCAGCTGCGCTTCTCTCCCCTTTCCTGAGAGCAGCAGGGAGCTGCATGCCTTTTTTGTCTTCTCCTGCTTCTTAGAGCTGCTCTGGATGCTGCAGGTTCGTTCTCAGTTCAGGAAGGACATGTACGGTTTGTTACTGAGGGGACAGAAGTCCACATTGCAGGCTGTTGGGAAGGGATGAAAGTCCTCTAGAAAGATTTTCACAGCACTTGAGACTCTCCTTTCTATACCCACTACAGTTTTTAGTTTGGAGATCCAAGAGGAGAAAGAATACAGGAGGAGGGGACATTTGTGAGGAAAGCATCTACTTTTTAGCAGAAATTCAAATTCTAAAGGAGATGGGTGCTTCTGCAGAAGAAGGGATGTGTCAGAGGGAAATGGTCTCAAATGTCCCTAGGACACCCTCAGAGGGGACGTTTGATCAGGGAAAGTGCAATATCACACAGTTATGGACAGTGCCCCATGTTGTCCTCATGATTGCATTCCATCCAGGCCTTGCCACTTCTGAGCTCTTTGTGAATGGTTAACCTTCCTGACCCCAGGCTTTCTAGCAAAAAGCCAAGCAGTTCTGGTGAAGAGTCTAAACTTTGGCCTTGGGAAGACCTGGGTGCAGGTCCTGAGCCTGCCACTTAGTAGCTTTGTAACTTGGGATATTTTGTAACTTGGGCCTCAGTTTTATCAAGTGAAATATGGAAATAATAGGAACTACCTTGTAGGGACATCAAGAGGATGAAACGAAATGCTGTATGTTGAGCATTTAGCAGCATGTTGCCTCAGTACAGGGAGGTTGTTGGTGATTAAAGAACTCTGCGAGTTGCTGACCAACTGGTCCCAGGTCTGCTCCCATTACCTCTTTCCTTTTTCCATCTCCCCAGCCAACATTAACCCCTGTGCTAGGCTGTCAAAAGAAATGATGTGATGAATCTGACCCTGTCTCCCATCTAAAGCCTTCTATCCTTTCCATCAATGGACCATATATTTTTTTGTTTTATATTTTAAGACTCAAGATGGCAGAAGTTGTGTAGGGAGTAGGAAAAGAAACCACAGGGTGTGGTTTGCACTGAGAATACTGATGGAATTCACATTGGATACCAGGATGATCTGTAGATAGAGTGTGTGTGTGTCTGTGTGTGTATGCATGTATGTGCATTTGTGTGATCTTTCTGAAAATATTGGCTGTGGATTTTTAGCCATTATGTTATCAACAGTCTCTTTTTTTCCTATCTTATTTGTAAACATGCCTAGGGGCTAGGATGTGATGGACATATTCTATAAACACAATAAATATTATAAAACAGAGTGAATCTAACCTACACATGCTCAGCTTGGAGTAATTAAAAAGAAAGAATTATATATATGAACATTCAAATATTTAGAAGGAATTATAAATATATGTGTGTATGAGTGTGTGTGTGTCTGTGTGTGTATATGCATGCACAGAGAAGAATATCAGTTTCAAAGCAGTCTGTACTGCCTTGATATTGGAGATATTGCATCAACTTTCTGCCCAAATACTAATTGTTAATTTGGTTGATTAGGTCTTGATGGGTAATCTTGTGGTGCTGGTTTCAAGTGACCATAATTTAGAATCTATTGACTCTAAGTTTCTTCAAGTAATGCCTGTTAAATCTTCCCCCCCAAAAAAAAGAAAGAAAGAAAACCTTGGGAAACACTACCTTGATCCAAGCCGTCATTTTATAAATAAAAAGCAATGACCAAAGAAATGATTTTCCTGAGTTTATTGAATGGTGAATCTCATATTCTATTCCTGTGCCATAAATAAAACATAATTATCTTGTACTTGAAGGAAGATGCTATGGAAAGAGAATTCTTCCTCTGATGGACTTCACCTAATAGCTTTTGTTACCTTGCTTTTGGATCTGTTCTGCATTTTGTTTTTCAAAGAACACTCTTTCCAGAGAGGGTGCTTAATAGTATTGCTTATTGTGTAACCATGTAGCTCTATTGTAATGATAATTGTATTTCTTTTGAATCCAAAAGTTTCTCTATTCCCTCTAAAGCCTGCCTTTATTTGCACCCTCCTGACTCTACACTTAGAGAAATGCCCGACTTTTGTTCTTCATCTTGAACATACCCCAGGTGACCTGTCTGGGGACACACTTTTTGCTCCCAGAGCGTATGCAAATTCCTGTTTACTGTAAAATTTTCTCAAATTCTCCTCAGAAGCCTAAAGACTTCTGTATAATCTACTCCTGTAAAAGAAAATTAATTGATATTAATTAATCTTTTTCCCCTGGATGGCAATTTTTTTTCTTGATCTCAGTGTTGGTAATACGTCATTCATTGTTCTTTTTTTTTTTTTTTTTTTTTTTTTTTTGCGATGGAGTCTTGCCCTGTTGCCCAGGCTGGAGTGCAGTGATGCAATCTCAGCTCACTGCCACCTCTGCTTACCAGGTTCAAGTGATTCTCCTGCCTCAGTCTCCCGAGTAGCTGGGATTACAGGCGCACATCACCAAGCCTGGCTAATTTTTGTATTTTTAGTAGAGACGGGGAGATGGGATGTCACCGTGTTGGCCAGGCTGGTCTCGAACACCTGACCTCATGTGATCTACCTGCCTCGGCCTCCCAAAGTGCTGGGATTACAGGTGAGAGCCACTGTGCCCAGCCTCTATTCAGTGTTCCTAATAACAGCTTGTGGTTGTGCCATTTATTTAGTGGAGTTATTAAGTACCCCAAGCTTTGCTCTTACAATGTCCCTTATAGAGTAAAATTGCAGGTCTTGCTTGCCAGTCTTCTGAGAGCTACAATGGCCCCTAAGTGTTCTGGGAACTTTGGAACTAGTGCACTATTTTTTTTTCATTTTTGTGTTGACAGTAGTGGATGTGAATTTGCTTTGGTTCAGTCCAACAAATATTTGTCAACACTGTGCCATAACATGCGCTAGGCTCTTGAGATAGTTTTTTTTTTTTTTTTTTAATTTTTTAATGTACTAAGTATTGTTTCTGCCTTCAAAGAACTCTTGCCCTGGTGAAGGTGACCAACTTCTGAAGTATATGACTCTGGGTGATAATTGCTGTATTATGCCAAACGCAGAGCTTTAAGAAGCATCAAACTGTGACTTCAGTGGGAAAAGATTTCACAAAGGGGTGGCACTTCAGTGGCATCCTGTAAGGCTAACCAGGAGCTTTTTAGAAGGCCAAGAAGCTTGGTAATGTCTTGAAATGTGTTAGATAAGTTACAGGTTCTTATCTCCTCCTGATCCCTTTCCTACCTCAACACTCTTATTCCCAACTTATACATACTCTCAGAGGATGCTGTGCCTGGAGATGTATTACCAACGAGTAAAAAAATTGCTATTTTAGTCCCGATTATAAAAGTTGCAGTGTAATTCTTTAAATAGTCTTTCCCATTAAATTCGTCCTCAGTATGATTATTCTCACCACCACTTCTGTGCTTATGTTATCATAGGACAGTCTCTCTGCTGAACATCTCCTCTTTCTTTATTTCTGTGTTTATTTTCCCTGAAACTCTGACAGTGATTCCAGTGCAGCATGGCTTCCCAAACATATCTGTGCAATGGAATTACCTGGGGAGCTTCGCAAACTACTGATGTCTGTGTCCCACCGCCATAGACTGTGATATAATTGATTTGTGGCATAGTCTGGGCTTTGGAATTTTTAAAGATCCCTAGGCAGTGATGAAAACATTCTAGAATTGATTGTAGTAATGATTGTACCACTGGGTAAATAGATTAAAAACCATTGAATTGTATCATTTGGGTGAATTACATCAATGGGTGAATTGTATGATATGTGAATTACATCTCAATAAAGCAGCTATATATGAGGCAGGAGAATCACTTGAACCTGTGAGGCGAAGGTTGCAGTGAGCCGAGATTGTGCCGTTGCACTCCAGCCTGGGTGACAATAGCAAAACTCTGTCTAAAAAAAAAAAAAATATATATATATATATATATATATATATATAGTATTAATAAATAAATATCTCTAAATATGAGGTGACTAATTTGGGAAGTACTGCCATTGAGTATAAATGGGGAAACTGAGATGTAGGGGAGGGACTTGCCCAAAGTCTCCTAGCTAGCCAGATGGAATAAGAACCCAGGCGTTCTGACACTAGAGCTTACGTTCTCCTCTACTATATCGTCCTGGTGTCTTCAAACATGAAGGTGATCCTGCTAACTCATTACTCAGTAGGCATATGCTTGGAGTAGTAGTGATGGATTTCCTTACATCTATTCACATGTCATACTATGTAAGCAGTGGATCTAATTTGCAAAATAATTGGCTTTAGAATAAGATAAAGGAGTTAGCCTCTTTGGGAATAAAATCTCAGTTCTCAATCACTTTATCACAGTACTGAAATAAACCACGCCAGTGTCCTTTGGTGGCCAGGAGGTATCCTTAGAAGTACAATTAAAGAGGAAAATGCTGGTATCAAAGTTATAAATTCAAAACCAACTGTTCTACATCCTGGAATCTGAAAATAGATTTCTATTTTAAAGATACTGCCTGAAATGTTACCTTGGTCTATGTCAAACCTTTACTGAATTTGGGTATAAAACATACATAAAAACACTTAAACTGTAATAGGAAAATGTTTGGGTTTCAGCCACAGACAGGCAATAAGGCAAGCCCAGAGTTGGAAGGCCTGTTTTCATCAGCCTTAGAAGACATAAAATGGAAAATATTTTTGAAAGGAAAAAAAAAAAAAGAATCTCTAGCATAATGAATTGTCATAAATGTGTTTTCTTGAAAAAATATTCAAAGTTTAAGTCCCCAAAATGGTATGGTGACTTTTCCAAGAGGAATGCTTTGTCTCTTATAAGTAAAGATGATCACTGCTGACCTCTTCATACCTTCTACCTCTTTAAGTATGTGCTCCTGTTAAAAATAAAGATCGAATTCAAAAAGATGAGCTTGACTAAGAGCTGAAAGGGAATTCATTAAAAATGGCCTTTTAAAATGCCTAAAGGTTGAGTTCCAGTGGTAGGTTTAGTTCATTTTGCTTTAGTAGTTAGGTGGCAACTGTTTCTCAAAGTGTTGGGAAGTCTAGAAGTTTTCTTTTCTTTTTTTTTAATTTTTATTATACTTTAAGTTTCAGGGTACATGTGCAGAATGTACAGGTTAGTTACATATGTATACATGTGCCATGTTGGTGTGCTGCACCCATCAACTCGTGATTTAACATTAGGTATATCTCCTAATGCTATCCCTCCCCCCTCCCTCCACCCCACAACAGGCCCTGGTGTGTGATGTTCCCCTTCCTGTGTCCATGTGTTCTCATTGTTCAATTCCCACCTATGAGTGAGAACACGCGGTATTTGGTTTTTTGTCCTTGTGATAGTTTGCTGAGAATGATGGTTTCCAGCTTCATCCATGTCCCTATAAAGGATATGAACTCATCATTTTTTATGGCTGCATAGTATTCCATGGTGTATGTGTGCCACATTTTGTTAATCCAGTCTATCATTGTTGGACATGTGGGTCAGTTCCAAGTCTTTGCTATTGTGAGTAGTGCCGCAATAAACATGTGTGTGCATGTGTCTTTATAGCAGCATGATTTATAATCCTTTGGGTATATACTCAGTAATGGGATTGCTGGGCCAAATGGCATTTCTAGTTCAAGATCCCTGAGGAATTGCCACACTGACTTCCACAATGGTTGAACTAGTTTACAGTCCCACCAACACTGTAAAGTGTTCCTATTTCTCCACATCCTCTCCAGCACCTGTTGTTTCCTGACTTTTTAATGATTGCCATTCTAACTGGTGAGAGATGGTATCTCATTGCGGATTTGTTTTGCATTTCTCTGATGGCCAGTGATGATGAGCGTTTTTTTCACGTGTCTTTTGGCTGCATAAATGTCTTCTTTTGAGAAGTGTCTGTTCATATCCTTCACCCACTTTTTGCTGGGACTGTTTGTTTTTTTCTTGTAGATTTGTTTGAGTTCATTGTAGATTCTGGATATTAGCCCTTTGTCAGATGGGTAGACTGCAAAAATTTTCTCCCATTCTGTAGGTGGCCTGTTCACTCTGATGGTAGTTTCTTTTGCTGTGCAGAAGCTCTTTAGTTTAATTAGATCCCATTTGTCAATTTTGGCTTTTGTTGCCATTGCTTTTAGTGTTTTGGACATGAAGTCCTTGCCCATACTTATGTCCTGAATGGTATTGCCTAGGTTTTCTTCTAGGGTTTTTATGGTTTTAGGTCTAACATTTAAGTCTTTAATCCATCTTGAATTAATTTTTGTATAAGGTGTAAGGAAGGGATCCAGTTTCAGCTTTCTATATATGGCTAACCAGTTTTCCCAGCACCATTTATTAAATAGAGAATCCTTTCCCCGTTTCTTTTGTCAGGTTTGTCAAAGATCAGATGGTTGTAGATATGTGGCATTATTTCTGAGGGCTCTGTTCTGTTCCATTGATCTATATCTCTGTTTTGGTACCAGTACCATGCTGTTTTGGTTACTGTAGCCTTGTAGTATAGTTCGAAGTCAGGTAGCGTGATGCCTCCAGCTTTGTTCTTTTGGCTTAGGATTGACTTGGCAGTGTGGGCTCTTTTTTGGTTCCATAAGAACTTTAAAGTAGTTTTTTCCAATTCTGTGAAGAAAGTCATTGGTAGCTTGATGGGGATGACATTGAATCTATAAATTACCTTGGGCAGTATGGCCATTTTCACGATATTGATTCTTCCTACCCATGAGCATGGAATGTTCTTCCATTTGTTTGTATCCTCTTTTATTTCTTTGAGCAGTGGTTTGTAGTTCTCCTTGAAGAGGTCCTTCACATCCCTTGTAAGTTGGATTCCTAGGTATTTTCTTCTCTTTGAAGCAATTGTGAATGGGAGTTCACTCATGATTTGGCTCTCTGTTTGTCTGTTGTTGGTGTATAAGAATGCTTGTGATTTTTGCACATTGATTTTGTATCTTGAGACTTTGCTGAAGTTGCCTATCAGCTTAAGGAGATTTTGGGCTGAGACAATGGGGTTTTCTAGATATACAATCATGTCATCTGCAAACAGGGACAATTTGACTTCCTCTTTTCTTAACTGAATGCCCTTTATTTCCTTCTCCTGCCTGATTGCCCTGGCCAGAGCTTCCAACACTATGTTGAATAGGAGTGGTGAGAGAGGGCATCCCTGTCTTGTGCCAGTTTTCAAAGGGAATGCTTCCAGTTTTTGCCCATTCAGTATAATATTGGCTGTTGGTTGGTCATAGATAGCTCTTATTATTTTGAGATACGTCTCATCAATACCTCATTTATTGAGAGTTTTTAGCATGAAGCGTTGTTGAATTTTGTCAAAGGCCTTTTCTGCATCTATTGAGATAATCATGTGGTTTTTGTCGTTGGTTCTGTTTATATGCTGGATTACGTTTATTGATTTGCGTATGTTGAACCAGCCTTGCATCCCAGGGATGAAACCCACTTGATCATCTACAGAACTCTCAACCCCAAATCAACAGAATATACATTCTTCTCAGCACCGCACCGCACTGATTCCAAAATTGACCACTTAGTTGGAAGTAAAGCACTCCTCAGCAAATGTAAAAGAACAGAAATTAAAACAAACTCTCAGACCACAGGGCAATCAAACTAGAATTCAGGATTAAGAAACTCACTCAAAACCACTCAACTACATGGAAACTGAACAACGTGCTCCTGAATGACTACTGGGTACATAAAAAAATGAAGGCAGAAATAAAGATGTTCTTTGAAACCAATGAGAACAAAGACACAACATACCAGAATCTCTGGGACACATTCAAAGCAGTGTGTAGAGGGAAATTTATAGCACTAAATGCCCATAAGAGAAAGCAGGAAAGATCTAAAATTGACACCCTAACATCACAATTAAAAGAACTAGAGAAGCAAGAGCAAACACATTCAAAAGCTAGCAGAAGGCAAGAAATAACTAAGATCAGAGCGGAACTGAAGGAAATAGAGACACAAAAAACCCTTCAAAAAATCAGTGAATCCAGGAGCTGGTTTTTTGAAAAGTCTAGCAGTTTTCAATCTGTCTCTTATTGCCAATCACAAACTTTTACGAGAGCAAGTTATCTTGGATATTCAGATTTTTAAAAGTGGTCTTTTATCTATTTGCTTGAAATATTTTTCTGAGTATTCATTTTGTTGTGTAACTAATTTCCCTTTTTTGTAAATGAAATCCATTGCTCTCATATTTTTAAAGGAATAACAGGCATCTATTAGAATCCAACGGTGAAGAATAGAAGTGGGAACTAGGTGTTATAGCATTCTCCATTAACGGAAAGTGTTGTATTGTTTATGAATTCTTGTATTTTGTATTTGGGATCAGCCCAGCAAGGGGTCAGCCATAGTGCTTGGGGGCAGCATGGGTAGTATGCCCACCTCCATGCCTCGTAGGGGTACAGCCATACCTCAAAGATATTATGGGTTCAGATACACACCACTGTGAAAAAGTGACTATCGCAATAAATCAGTCATGTGAATTTTAGTTTCCCAATGCATATACAAGCTATATTTACACTTAGCTGTAGTCTATTAAGTATGCAATATCATTATTCCTAAAAAGTGTACATACCTTAATTAAAAATACTTTATTGCTAAAAAATGTGAACAATAAAAATGGGAAGGTCTTGCCTCAATGTTGATGGCTGCTGACTGATCATGGTGGTGGTTGCTGAAAGTTGGGTGGTTGTGGCGATTTCTTACAATAAAAATGAAGTTTGCCATACTGATTGATTCTTCCTTTAATGAAAGGTTTCTCTGTAGAATGTAATGCTATTTAATAGCATTTTACTCATAGTAGAACTTATTTTAAAATTAGAGTTAATCGTCTTTGACAGTGCTGTTGTTTTATCAACCAAGTTGGTATAATGGTCCAAATTCTTTGTTGTCATTTCGACAATGTTCACATCATCTTCACTAGGAGTTGATTTCATCTCAAGAAATCACTTTCTTTGCTCACCCATAAAAAGCAATTTCTCATCTGTTCAAGTTTGATCATGAGATTACAGCAATACAGTCACGTCTTCAGGCTTTACTTCTAATTCTAGTTTTCCTGCTTTTTTCACCACTGATGTCTTGAACCCCTCAAAGTCATCCATGAGGGCTGGAATCAACTTCTTCTAAACTATGTTCATGTTGACCTCCCATGCATTATGAATGTTCTTAATGGCTTCTAGAATGGTGAATCCTTTCCAGGTTTTCAATTTACTTTGCCCAGATCCATCAGAGGAGTCACTGTCCATGACAGTTATAGCCTTACAAAATGTATTTAATTAATAAGACTTGAAAGTCAGAATTCCTCCTTGATCTGTGGGCTGCAGAATAGATATTGTATTAGCAAGTGTGAAAACAACATTCATCTCCTTGTACATCTCTATCAGAGCCCTTGGGTGACCAGGTACATCATCAGTAAGCAGTAATATTTGGAAAAGAATGTTTTTTCCTGAGCAGTAGGTCTCAAGAGGGGGCTTAAAAAATTCAGTAAATCATGCAACAGACAGATGTGCTGTCATCCCGGCTTTGTTGTTCCATTTACAGAGCACAGGCAGAGTTGATGTAGTATCATTCTTAAGGGATCCAGGATTTTCAGAATGCTCAAGGACCACTGACTTCAACTTAAAGTCACCATCTGCAGTAGCCCCTAACAAGAGATTCAGTTTGTTCATTGAAGCTTTGAAGCCAGGCACTAACTTCTCCTCTCTAGCTAGGACAGTCCTTGATGGCATCGCCTTCCAATAGAAGGCTGTTTTGTCACTATCGAAAATCTATTGTTTAATATGGTCAACTTCATTGATTATCTTTGCCAGCTCTTCTGGAAAACTTGCTGCAGCTTCTGTATTAGCACTTGCTGCTTCACCTCGACATTTTATATTATGGAAATGGCTTCTTTCCTTGAACCTCATGACCAATCTCTGCTAGCTTCAGACTTGTTTTCTGTAGCTTCCTCACCTCTCTCAGACTTCATACAATTGGAGAGAGTTAGGACCTTGCTCTGGATTAGGCTTTGGCTTAAGGGAATGTTGTGGCTTGTTTGATCTTCTATCCAGACCACTCAAACTCTCCCTATCAGCAATAAGTGTTTTACTTTCTTACTGTTTGTGTGTTCACTGGAGTAGCACTTTTAATTTCCTTCAATAACTTGTCCTTTGCATTCACAGCGTGGCTGTTTGGCCCAAGAGGCCTAGCTTTTGGCCTGTCTTTGGCTTCTGGCATGCCTTCTTTACTAAGCTTTATCGTTTCTACTTTTTGATTTAAAGTGAGAGATGTGTGACACTTCCTTTCACTTGAACACTTAAAAGGCGATTGTAGGGTTATTAGTTGGTCTAAAAATGCAATATCTGAGAAGCACAGTAAAGCAAAATGCAGTGAAATGAAGTATGCCTGCACTGACTGGTTCTTTGACCATCCTCTTTCCTAACTGCTGCCCCACATTTCTATTCATCAGTAAGTATTATTAGCTCTTCTCCCAAGACATATCCAGAATAAGTGCACTGCTGCCTCACCAACTCAAGTCCCTACCGCTTCCCATCGGGCTCGCCTTTGTAGCTTCTTAACTGTGTGGTTTCTCCATGCTTGCTTGGCTATTGTCCACTCTCTCTGCAGCACCCAGAGTCACTGCTCCAAAGTTTCACGTAGAACATATTACTTCTCCCTTGCCTAAAAACTTCCAAAGGCTAGCCATTTTATAGGGATAAAATTTAAATGGCTTGCGTTTATTTCTGTTGATTTCACTCATAATTCAGCCTGGCCCATATCAGGGCTTTGTACTTGTTCTTCCCTTTATTTAGAGGATCTTGAGGACCTCCAATAAATAGCAGCCCTTGTCTATGCCTGGGTCCTCAAATTTCTCAAATGAATTCCAAAATAAACAAAGGAATGACTGATAGAGGCCAGGCTTGGTGGACATGACTTTAGGTCTTACTCAAGGTGGCTAGCTCCAGGGCTTCTCAAAGTCTTAATACACATATGAATTACCTAGGGGTCAGGTCAAGTGCAGATTTTGATCAATTACATCTGGAGTGGAGCTGAGAATTTGCATTCCTAACAAGCTCTTGGGTGATGCTGATGCTGGTATTCCCCAGACCACACATTGAATATTAAGGTGCTGGCTGGTATTATACCCTCCAAGTAGGCCAACTAACTTATTTTCCTAATAATAGTCAGTGTCAGACTCCTCTTAAAACCTAGGAGTGGGGAAAAGCTGGCCACCCTGACAAACACCCTTCCTGGATTGCTGGCTTCATTTACCAGTCTCAAGTGAGACTTTTCTTCTTGGAGACGCCACCTGGCCAATTTATCTCAAACAACAGTCCTGCTGCCACTCCATCACTCACTCTCAATGGCATTATCCCAATGTATGTTTTTCCAGCTCTCCTAACTATCTGAAAATGTTACTAACTCATTTAGTCTTTTCCCCCTGGATCAGAGAATAGAGACTGTCTGTTTTGTTCACTGCTGTCTTTCCGTAACCATAAAAGGGCAGTGTTTAATGTATGTAGTTGTTAAATAAAGTAATATAGATTAATTATAAGACAGATAAATAATGAGCTCCATGATAAGACATTTTCTTTTTCTCATTAACCGTTGTATCCCTAGCATCTAACACAGGGTCTGGCACATAGTAGATGTTGAATAAATGAATGAGAACTCAAACATAGGGAAAGCATGTTTTCGGGTAATAACTAGTGGATCAAGTTAACTGGAAAGCATAACTTTACCTAGGAAGAGTCAGAATTATCTTTCTCTCTCTCTCTCTCTGTTTCTCTCTTTCTCTTTTTCTTTCTCTCTTTCTCTCTCTTTTCTTTTTTTTTCTTTTCTTTCATTTTCCAGATTCCCAGAGTCTGGGCAATAAAAAAGAGAGAATGTTTTGATATTAAGAATGGTGCCTGACTAGTTACTAAAAGGCCTTTTAAAAAAGAGGCTGCCAAAGCCTGTACCATTTGGTAGGAAGCTGTTGTCTACTGACACATCTAAGCATAGTCACAGACATTCCTGAGAATGAGCCGTCAGTCCTTCTATCTCTGGCTCCCATTTCTATTTGAATGGTGTCAGAACTACAAAGCTCAGTCACTGAGTTGCCTTTTCAAGTCATCCTGGATAATGGCCTGAACTTTTTCTTCATTTCTGTGAGAAGAATTGGGCTATTCACCTGTCCCCTGCCCAGATGACTATTGCAGATTGGTTCATTTTGACATCCTTGATTGAGGTGTTTTTTTTTTCTCCCCATCATCTGAGGCTGGGAAAAAAATGGCTCAAACATTCTTTGACTAGCTCTTATTCTATCAATAGCGACTTGTAAGGACTCCACTTCTATAACTTGGTTGTAACTGGCTTAATGAGAGAAGAAATGACCTGAAATTTGTTGAGTGTGTCTTGGGGTCCAGGTGCTTTGGAAGAATAGCTGTCTAAGAGCTTGACCTTGAGTATTGACTTTGTTCTTTGTTTCCAAAATGGGTTTGGCCCACATTTCAGTCCTACCTTAGCGTCTATCTGATTGGTAATTTGATGTGTAATTTCTACACATATGTCAGTACTTTAGGACATTCTGCTGTTTTGGTTTGGTTTGGTGTACAACAGTAGGCTCTTCTAAGATACATTAAAAAAATCTTAAATACTAGAGATAGAGACATGGAAAAGTGCAATGAATGAATCCATTTGTTCATTCAGCTGATGTTTGTTGGGTATCAATTATTTGCCTGGCACTTTGCTCACTGCTGTGTATATGGGGATGGTAAATGAAAATATTATCTTATTCTTTTCACAGGAAGGGACTTTTCTCTTTAGTCCCTGGCTCTGTGTCCCTTCCTACTCACTTCCTCCCCACCTCTCCTTGACACACACACACACACTCTCTCTCTCTCTGTGTGTGTGTGTGTGTGTGTGTGTGTGTGTGTGTGTGTGTGTCTCCTTACATCAGTAGAAATGGCAACTGCCTTGCCTGGTGACAACATGCCAGTGGAGGAAAACTCACCTAAAAGTAAAGGACCGGCTCTATTCTGTCCTCTTTCTGTGGTACCTGCTTGTGGTTGTGAACAGTCTGCCCATCAGTCTCCATATGGCAAGCAGGCCAGATAAGGCCTGCCTGGTTCTTCCCATTTCCATTTTCAACCTCAAACAGAAAGAGGAGATCAGGATAGTATGTCACTGCAGACCTGGGGTGAGGGAACAGGAAGATCCATTTTGGTTTTGGCCTGAACCAAGCCGTTTAAAATTTACTTACAGAATTTCCAGGCACTACTGGGAACTGCCTAGTAGCCATTCATGAAGCTGTTCTTGCCTACCACCTGGCTGCTTAGGTCTGCTTGGGAGGGGGCTGATAGGCAATCCCAATCTCTGACCGTATTCCCAGCCCTTAAGGAGATCATTATCTAATATGTAAGACAGAGAGGCAAATGCATAATTACTGTGCCTATGAGAAGCCCTGTACTAGGAGTGTGTCCCAGGCACTGTAAATAATACAAGACAGGCACTTCTATATGGTATACTAATTAGTTAACACCACATTCTTCTGCAGCAGATTGTATCACTGATAGCCATGATAAGGGAAGAAAATTGCCCCCAAATGGAACCTACAATTGTCTGTGTACTGTCTTGTTTGTGTACTTAGAAACTGTGCACAGTTTCCCCATCAGAGCATACCATGTTACAGTTTAATTTTGGTATTAGCTATGATCTGAAGCTGTTGGGAGCTGTCATTCTTAAACATCTGTACTTGACTTGTTTAAACTTAGGGCTCTGGCCTTTCCCCAACAGCCTGGCATGCCAGGAAAAGTAAAGAAAAGACCTCATGCCATTAAATAGACAGGTGGTTTCCATGGCCACCAACACAGGAAGACTCCAACATCTTAGCAATAAGCTGAAGCAGTTAAAGGGGAGTTTGAGAAACAATCAGATTTGTTTAACAGTGTGTGGGATGGCTTCATAAGAAATGGTGTAAGTGCCCGTAAGAGGGACATGCTTTTTCTCATCTTCTAGAGCTGGGAGGTTAAACAGGAGCCCAGAGATACATATGCTTTCCATCTTCTCAGTGGGTTAGTGGGAAAAGTGAAATGGATATTAGCAAGCGCTTGGTTAGTGAGAGACCTCTTGTGGGGCAGTTTTTGAGGATCAGAACATTATACTGTGCATTGTCCTCTAAAGTGAGAGAGAGCACACCAGCAATTTGAGTGGAAACATCAATAAAGAAATAATAAAAACCTTATTAAATGAGAAAGTGCTGGAAAAGTGCATCAAGGCAAGAGGGGACATCTCAGCAGCAGTAACTTGAGAAAATATCTTTAGGGAATTTAGCTGTAACTGAGAGTGCGTGCCACAGCAAATGCATGCTTCACTTGTTCTCTGTGACACTGACACATCTTTTGTGATCTTTTCTAAATGCACCCTCAAAATGGGTTAATGTTTTCTTGTTTTGTGCTGAATTTTATAGAAATGCATGCCTCTAGGGAAATTTTAATTGTCTCCTTATTTATTTTGTCTTATATTAATTCCCCATACAGTTGAAAATTAATACTGCTGTGGATTTACACAATTTGCTAATTAGTAAGAAGCTTGCCATTTACTAACACAAATCTATGAATAAACCCGCTAATTTAAAAATTATATCACAATCAGAATGTTCCCATGGAAGTTGGAAGCTCAGAGAAAAATGCGGTCTTTAGATATTTATTAACAAGGTGATCAGTCAGAGGATTACCGTAGAATATGTTATTTCAATGCTAGAAGTTTGTTATTCATGCTCCTAATTGAAAGAGTCAAGATTCTGGAAGATACACGTATTATCACATCCTTAGCTTGAAATGGATCGAACCATCTCAGGGCTGCCATGAAAAGTTTCCCTGGGTCATTAGTCTAAAGCCGAAAAGTGAAATGAGCAATAGGTTTTCCATGTTATGCAGCAACTCTGATTGATTGGTAATGGTATCTAAAAGATTCTGTTAATGCCCTGCAGGAGAACATGTCATAGTTAATTAGCGACATCTGCCTACAGTGCAGGAGGAAGATGCCACAACATGAGTGCTAGGCCTGGGCCCTTCCTGGTATAGAAGACCCCAGGCAGTGAGCTTACCAAGCAACTTTTACTTTTTTGACTGGAGGTCGGAGCTCCTGGGAATGTGCATTTAGTGGGGAAAAATGTTCTTTCTGGACTGTGCAAGAGGAGAAGTAAATAATGCCATCCTAGAACTCCAAAGACCATGCTGAGTCATTAGACTCAGGGGTCAAGTGGACAGGCCAATGGCATACTCAAACTCTCCTGAGCTCCCTATATGACTCTGCCTCATCTGCTTGGCTTGGTTCACCCATGACATCAGAGAAATATTTAAGTTGGGAGCAACCCTACTTCAGGCATGTGCTGTTACTAAGGGTAATTGATGCTTGAAACCCTGGCCTGAGCCATGGAATGGTTTCATGTGGCCCTGTGTGTATGCCAGTCAGGGACATGGGTCAGGGAGATGACTAGAGATTGGTTGACATTATGCTTCCCTGTTAGAGAACAAAGGTAGGGCAGGGTCTAGCACACACCTCTGTCTTCTGAGCCCCGCTTCCATGAGCTGTTTCTAACAGGCTTTGCGATACACAAAGGCAAAGACGACACAGGTAGCAGTCAAGTGATGCCAACACAACTCTGTCCCGGCAGGACTCTTGGCGTAGGGGTCTTCTAAACAAGATCACTTGAAACGGATCAAAATTTTCCAAGAGAAGCGTTTTTTAAAAAATTCTATTTGTTGCCTCTTTTGGAAAGCAATGGTCCTTCCTCATTTTTGCAATGAAACCAGGGTGCAAATGTATGGGTTACTAATAGCTGGCATTTGAAATAGTATTTTAAAAGCAAAAGCCTTTAAGATTACAGAGCTCAGAGATTCTGCACTGGGAGAACACACATCATTGTTTTACTTGGACTCAAAATGCATTTTTCAACAATACCTATGCATTTCATTAGTGATTGCTTATCAGTCTTTTAATTATTATGTTGTGCTTCTCAGCCCACGTGGCAATGAGAGTTGCCATAAATTACCCTTAGTAACTGGCATATGCTTGAAGTAGCATTGCTCCCAACTTTGTTTCTCTGATGTCATGGGTGAACCAAGCAAGCAGATGAGGCAGAGCCATGTAGAGAGCTAAGGAGAGCCTGGGTACACCCTTGGCCTGTCTGCTTGACCCCGAGAGACCTGGCATGGCCACCTTATGGACTCTGAGTAATCTCTTTATACCTATGGAAAACCAAACAGACAGACTCTGTGGGTAGCAGTGATTGTGCACTTGAAAATTAATTCCTTTCTTGACATCATGTCTATTTTTTTTTTTGTTCTTCCTGTCACCTCCTCCGCTCACCCACCAGGATGTAGACATTTGGAATGATCATTTACATGAAAAAAGTACAGCACATAATGCAATGTGGGCAGAAGATCTTTCTTAGCACTGTTGGAGGTGGGGAGGAGACCAGTGTCACATACCTGGGTACAAATCTCGGCTCCATCACTTGCTTCCGTGTGTACTTGGGCAAGGGACTTAAACTCTTAGTGTTTTCTTTTGTAAAATTAGGGTGATAAAAATACCTCAGAGGCTTTGGAGAGGAGTAAGTGAGATATTTACATAAAGCATTTATAGCATAATGTCTGGTATATAGCAAGGGCTACAGGAATATTAGCTCTTATTAGTATGGTTAACAAATGCCAATTTTAAATGTTACTGCACAAGTTTTCTAACGGAATGGTCTCTCCTTCATGGGTATCATCAGGAGATGTCCTTGGTGGCATCATATGTAAACGTTGACCTCCAAGTCCTGTTTTCAGAAATGACTTCTCTTAGCTGTATAAAAATGTGAAAAAAAGAGAGCATCCTTTGCCCTGAGCACAGTATTTCCTAGACAGTGTTCAACACGGTGGTCACCTTGGATAGAAGGCAGCAGCTACAGGGGACAAAGGCAGCGTTACACACCTAGGTGATGCCACTGCTCCTCTTCTCTACCACCAGCCTCTATTACCTTCAGGGTGTTGCTATTCCAAAACCCACCCCAGGCCCTCATTTTGCCTAACCGTTTTCTGAGCGGTGTTGGGTGACCACTTGTACTGAGAAGAGCTTTGGGGTTTTCACTAATGGGTGACCTTGATCAAGTTGCTTGACTTCTGTGGGTTTTGTTTTCCTCCAGGTCTACTGTACAGGCTATTGGGGTTTAAATGAGCAAATGCAGGTCAAGTGCCTAATGTAGGCTGGGCATTTAGAAGTATTCAACCAATGCTCATTTGTCCTCATTGGTGCAAGGCTCTTGTTGCTGTGAAAGGATATGAAGCCAAGGAAGAGATGGATTTTGGATCAGTTGCATCTTCCCTCGTTAACTATATAAAGACATGTTTGTCATAGTTTCAGAGGGACCAGCTCCTTCTTAATCCTTTACCTTTCTGTCTCCTCTGCATCTGGGTCTGTCTTTGGTGCTCAGAAAACTTTATAGATGTCACTTAACATTTGTCTAGCCTCTTTTGTGTTGAGGCAGTATGCTGACTACTGCGGGAGTGTCAAGGAAGGTCTGTATATAGACGGATCACCCAGATGGCTGTGAGAGACTCACTGTTCATTCCAGGTCAGGAGGAGATCAAAAGTAGCTATAAGAAAATGACCAATTAGTGTTCCCTTTGAGAACTCTTAGCTCCAGGAAGTCCTTATACAAGTGAAAAGGAGGACAAGGCAGAAATAAACATTAAGTGTTATTATAAGGAAGGCAATAGCCAGTATGTAAATGAGCATGACCACACAGGAAAGCTGTTTTGAGTCAGTGTGAATCATAAGACCAAAGTGAATGGATAATAGCCACCCTGCAAACTCCAGCTCTCCTGCAGAAAGCTTGCCTGCAGACAGAAATGTCCCACCTGGCCTGAACAATGGAACCACGTGATGGAATTCAGGTGCCGGTCTCAGTCTGCTAGCTTGTTAGTGTTGGATGATGCTCCCCAGTAGGCAGCCAGAGCCTCATTACTGTTGGTAACAGTAAGCTAATAATTAAGAGTTCTGAAATTCCAAATGGTGACAAATAGAGTGAAGAGGTAATGAGATGGGTAGGATTAGAGATCCCCTGATGAGTGCCTCTCATGGCGAGAGGATGAAGAAATGAAAAAACGATGAAGAGAAAACTGCCATTGTCATTCTAAGAGCTGCTGAGAAATACCAATTTGTCTAGGGTGCAGGGAAATGGGAAAGCATTTGTCAAGCAATGAAAAAGCAAAATTACCTTGAATGGAGCCCTGGATAATGCTGTTCTGTAAAACCCATGATGGTGGAAGAAGAGTCAAGACTTGATTCATTTAAATTCGTCTTTTATTTAATGTTGTATAATAGGCATCTCTGCTGAAGTTGGGAAGCTCTATTTCAAGACTCCATGAGCAAGAACCTCTCAGCTACAGTAAAGTCTGGCCATACTGGCTTTAGTGGGGACATAACACAGAGGCTATAGTTTGACTTTTTATGATTTCCTTTAACCGACATCTTCTGAGGGCCTGGAAGAACACAGGGAATCAGTAGTTTGGGACGGCTTTGGATTCAAGGCCTTGAATTTATATCTGGTTATCTTCAAATGTGTTTTCCATATGCTAATAAACAGGATTGAAGGAAGATGTGCATTATATACTTCTAAACTTGTTCTCTTACAAGGTTGTACCACCTGTAGTACACTGTTACGTAAAAAATGTATCAGTCATGTAGTTATCTTGTGAATAACACCGTTAGATATTAGAAGAATATGGTAGACCACTTAAAATAGGAGTAAGTCTATAGAGTACAAATGATACATAGCTATAATTGACACTGTAATTAGCCTTATACTCCGTTTTAGCAAAAACCTATGAGCAGCATTGCTTTGCCATGAATATTGCCAACAATTCAGGAGTCAAAAAATGGTGGAATAATTTCTCTCATATGCAGAATAGTAATTATTATGTTGTATTCACTTATGTTGGGAACTTTAATTTGTTCAATGTAAATGTTCAAAATATAATTTATGTGGTTTTTCCTTTGGTATTTCTTTTGGTATTTATTTTTAAAATAATATGTGAGAAGTGTTAAAGTAAAAGACCCAATGTTTCTTAACCTCTGACTGGCCTTGCTCTGATAAAGGGATGCTACAGGAACCCCTTTGGAAGCTCCTGCTTCTGAAAGATCACAGTTGATTCAGATTTACCATACAAGCTTTTGACATTATTTCTGAGTTGATGTCCCAATATGTCCACAATGTCTTCATACAGTCCATGGAGATGAATATCTGTGATATCTGTGGATTTTTTGATGGTATAGAGACTATAATATAGTAGAAATTTTGATTACTCCAGAAAGATACATAACAGTAAGGTGATTTTCAACTTCTGATTCTCCTCTTTAAGGATTGTTTTTGTATTTAAACATGTAAGTTCGTCTCTGCTATTACAGTCCACATGAAAAACATGATTTGGGTTTCGTTTTGTTTGTTCTTTTTTTTTTTTTAACCGTTAAGATGAATCTCAGAATGAAAAAAACGAATCTCGGCCTCCATCAGACTGAGAAGTCATGCCATACTTTGTCCTTCAGTGTAGAAATCTGTTTCCTTTTTATTCAGGTTTCTGTCTTTCCCTGATACGTTTTTTTTCTTTTTTTGAGATGAAGTCTTGCTTTGTTACCCAGGCTGGAGTGCAGTGGCGCAGCACAATCTTGGCTCACTGCAACCTCTGCCCACTGGGTTCAAGCGATTCTCCTGCCTCAGCCTCCCAAGTAGCTGGGATTACAGGTGCCCACCACCATGCCCAGCTAATTTTCTGTATTTTTAGTAGAGACAGGGTTTTGCAGTGTTGGCCAGGCTGGTCTCAAACTCCTGACCTCAAGTGATCTGCCCTCCTAGGCCTCCTAAAGTGCTGGGATTACAGGTGTGAGCCACTGTGCTTGGCTTTTCCCTGATATTTTGTACAAACACAAAGCTCTAGGCCTTGATGCTGGTGTTTTAGATATTCATCACCTGTGTTTGGTTTGGAAGAATCATTTTATAAAGTGACAAAAGTAGTTCTAAATGTTATACATTTTTGTAAATATGATACCATGTTTAATACTCAAGGTCAGGTTGAAGCATAAAACATAGAAGTATCCATTTACACCCTATATCTTTCTTGACTAGATGAGAAGAACTTCAGGAGCCTCTCTCTCTCTCTCTCTCTCTCTCCCTCTCTCTCTCTCTATATATATATATATATATTTTTTTAAATATATATAATTTTTATATATAAAATAAATATAAAATATATATATATATATATTTTAAAGCAGTGACCTCTTTTTGCATAAAAGGTCTCCGTCGGATCAATCAGTGGAAGAAGGGGGTTGCTGATTCACATTACGTAAAAACACAAGTCCTCACTTGAGTCATAGGTAGGTTTCTTAGAAACTACAACTTTAACCAAAACAATGTATAATGAAACCAATTTGACCATAGGCTAACTGATTAAAAAAAAAATTCCTGTGGCATATTTCTCCTCACAAAAACATCACCAAACTTCTAAATAAAAACCAAAATATTGTTAATATTAAATACAGAAATAAAGATGATGTCTACATATTATAAGAAAGATTAATAAAAGCAAGATAATTATTTACCCATTCATTGCAGTTCAGGGTCTCAGGTGGCCAGAGCCTGTCTTGGCAGCTCAGGGCCCAAGGGAGGAGCCCACCCTGGACAGGGCGCCATTCCCTCTCAGGACTCACTCTACATACCTTCTCACTCAGACCGGGACCATGTAGACATGCCTCTTAATCTCACATGCACCTTTGGAATGAGGGAGGAAACCAGAGTGCCTGGAGAAAACCCATCCAGACATGCAGATAACCATGAAGATTTCACACAGACACTGGCCCCACTCAGAAATAAATGAGACTGTTAAAAGTATAAGACTGTATCTTCCTTAATTATCTTTCCTTCTCTCACTGGATGAGTCAGCTACAAAGCAGATGTCATTGAGAGTGCTGGGGGCACCAAGTAACATGTCTAAAGAGCTCTGGAGCAGAAGAGGGAGTAGGTATGAATACTTATCAGGAAGAGGGAGTAGGTATAAATACTTACCAAGTTGGCAATGAACAGGCTGGAGTAAGGGCTTCTTGGCCTTCACTATACGTTAGGAATAGAATCACCATAGGAACTTTCAAAATAAAAACCAAAAAAAAGCCTGATATCTAGGTCTCAGCCAGACCAATTAATTTAAAATATCTGGGAGTGGGGTGTTGGTGAGGAATGTGGAGGACTTGGAACCCTCTTTCATTGGTGGTGGTAATGTAAAATGGTACAGCCACTAAGGAAAACAGCTTGGCAGTTCCTTAAAATGTTAAATACAGAGTTCCCACATGATCCAGCAGTTTCACTCTTAGGTGTACGTTCAATAATTGAAAACATAAGTCCACACAAAACTTGCACCTGAATATTCACAGCACTATTCACAAACGTCCAAAAATGTAGTAACAAATGTCCATCAACTGATGAATGGAGAAAAACATGTGGTGTATACATACAATGGGGTATTATTCAGCCTTTAAAAGGAATAAAGGATGAATACATGGTAAAATGTGGATGAATCTTGAACACATGCTAAGTGAAATAAGCTACACATAAAAGGCTATATATCGTATGACTCCATTTCTATAGAATGTCCAGAAAAGGCAAATCCACAGAGACAGAAAGTAGAATAGTAGTTGCCAGGGGCTGTGGGCTAGAGGAAAATGTGAAATGACTGCTAAAGGAAATGGTTTCTCTTTTGGGGGTAAAAATGTTCTGAATTAGGTAGTTATGATAATTGTACAATTTTGCACACATACTGAAAACCATCAAACTGTACACTAGAAGGGTGAATTTTATGGTATATGAATTGTATGTCACTTTTCAAAAGTCTTAACAGAAAAATAATCTGGGAATGGGGCATATGCTTTTTTTTAAGCTCCTGAGGTTTATTTTTATAGACAGGATCTCACTATGTCACCCAGGCTAGAGTGCAGGGGCATGATCACAGCTCACTGCAGCATCAACTTCCCAGGCTCAGGCATTTCGTGCCATGGTCTCTGGAGTAGCTGGGACTATAGGTGCATGCCACCACACCCAGCTAATTTCTTCCTCTCCTCTCCTCTCTCCTCCCCTCCTCCCCCCTCCTCCCCCCTCCCGTCTCCCCTCCCCTCCCCCCCTCCCGTCTCACCTCTTCCCCCTCCCCCTCCCGTCTCCCCTCCCCTCTCCCCTACCCTCTCTCTGTTTCTCTCTTTCTTTCTTTCTTTCTTTCTCACTATATTTCCCAGGCTGGTCTTGAAGTCCTGTTCTTAAGGGATCCTTCTGCTTTGGTCTCCCAAATGAGAGGTATTAGCCACCACACCAGGCGTCCTGAGATGATTTTTAATGTACAATAGTAAAATCTTTTTTTGAAAGTCAAATTTAGACCCTGAACACTCTGGAGCTTGAATCTTTGTTATCACGAGTTTCTCATTAAGTGAAACGCCACACAAGACCTTGTATGATCTGATCCCTGCTCATCTTTCAAACCCATCTCCTCACCTCTGCCTTGCTGCCTGCTGTTAGGCTCCACCCCACACTCTTCTTTCCATTCCTCTAAGATCTTGAGATCATTCTTGCCTTGGCAATTGCTGTTTCCTCCATCTGGAACATTTTATCCCCATATAGTCACATACAGTGGACTTCTTATCATTCAACTCGCAGATCAAACGTGAGATTCCCCTTTCCTTTGACACTTAGGCAGCCACTTCTGCCTCCTCCAAGTCCCTTCCTGTTCTTGGATTTTGATCATTTCCTTCAAGTCACAATCAGAATATTTTTCCTTGTTGACTGGCTTGTAGTCTCTACTGCTTGCAATATGCACCCTGTGCCTAGAATACTACATGAGAGCAGAGGGCTGGTCTGTCATATTTACCACTAGAATAGTATTTGGAATATGGCAAGTATATAATACATATTTATTAAATGAATAGGTGATTAGAGTTTGATGAGGAAAGGTTATTAAGTATATGTAATCCCTGAACATCTTTTTAGGAGACAGGGAAGAAACTGGTGAGAATGAGGTTAAATATGTAAAACAAGTAGGTTTACAAAAAAAAAAAAAATGACAGAACAGAGAAGAGGTAACTGATGAAGTGAGATCTTGAAAAGGCAGTTGGCATTTTGAAATACCTAGGTGTTTTCTGTTTATAAATAGCTGAGGTTTTGGATTTTCTTTGACTTGTTAACAATTGAAAATTTTTTTAGTGACATAAGTTGATGACTTAATATACTTCACTAAAAAATTCTCTTTGTATAAAAATGTTACAGGTATTCTTGTTTGCTTAAATTCTGGGACACTTCAAGTTGTCTTCTCTTTCTCTTTGTTCACTTTGTTATCTTCTTCTAGGATCCTCTTCTACTGTCTCCTGTGGAATTTTGACATACGCCTGTAGATTAGAATGTTTTACAAATCATATAAACTTCAATATATGTCTCCAACCATTCATTTATGTGCCTTGTTTTCCAAGTCATCAATAAAGTATGTTTCAGAGCGGGGCCAGATCAGATTGTGTTGTTCCTCAGTTAGATGACAGGGCATTGTTCCTCTCAAGGTTCATCTTGGGATCCATTAGCCAGCAGCTTTTAATAAGCTCATTTACATTCTTGGTTAACAATTGAGCCCCTAGTGTTTAAGTTAATTGAAATAGAAACCTACTCTCCAGTTGGTAGAAGTGTCTGGAGTTAAGGCTTTTTCTGACATCCCCCAAAGACATTCGTGCCTTCTAGGATTGGTCTAGATTTTTGCCATTCACTGAGTAATGCCAGGGTATAAAAATAGCAGATTATTTTTTACAGTGAACCTTAATATTCCTGGCCATAATGAAATAACAACTTTATTTTTCTAGTTAAAAGGAAACACAGTTTTATTCTTTTAACGAAGAGAACAGTGTTTCTTTTTCATTGTGTCTGACTTCCTGGTTGCCTAGGAGACATTAATTTTCATGGTAGATTGTTTTATCTAGGACATTTAGAAGAAGTTATTTCCCTTTATGTTGTATTCCTAAGTCATGACAAATTTTTATTAGCAATTTGGAGAATTAGAGAATGCCTGGCATTAACAAAGTTTTGGGGAAATGGGACTTTTTTCTATACAACCGTTGGATATCAACTATTGGCTACATTTCTTGAGAGCTATTTAGTAGTTCATACCCGTAGCCTTAATAGTTCAATATACTTTGAACACAGTGATTCTCAAATCTAGGAATTAATGCATGAGAAGTAATCAAAGAGATGCATAAATGTTGATATGTTGGTGTATGAAGGACCTTCCTCATAGGGTTGTCAGGATTAAGTAACATATCATATAAATTGCTTAGAAAGATGAAAGTACCGAGTAAGTACTTAGCTGTTATTTCTATTATTTAATCAGATGGTAGTTTTTGACACTGCTCTACCTCTAATATGGAGAGATAGTAGTCACCTAATGGCAGTATGGTGTCAAATACATGATTTTATTTGTATTTATGTAACCATTACATACCATTTTTGTGATAAGCATTATACGAAGCAACTTAACAATATTAGCTTATGTATGAGTTGACAATTAACAATTGTTTATTGAATAAAATTAGGCATTACTTTTGTCAAGGCAAAATACACCAATATTGTGACTAGCACTTATCAAATATTTAAGTGCTTTATGTGTGTCCTTGAGAAGAAGGTACTGTTGTCATACTCATTTCTCAAATTTAAAGAAGCTAAGGAACTTGCCTGAGTTCATAAAATGAATTGGAAAGAAGATACAATCGGAAGCCATGTTTGTCAAATCCCCGTGATGGGTTAGCTACATTGTTGCAGAGATTGTTGGAGTCAAGAGTATGATGAAGTATAGGAATTTGTTTTTTGAGAAAGTTCTCAAGTTGATCTTAATAGACCTAGTTTTAAAACTAGTGCTCTGAGATGTGCTTTTCAAACGTTAATGTACAAACAGCCTAGCTGGGGATCTTGTTAAAATACAGGTTTATGCATTACATCTAGGCTGGGGCCTGGGAATCTACATTTCTTACAACTCTCAAGTGATGCTGTTGTTGCTACTTAGAGGACCACATTTTGAGTAGCCAGGCAAGGGAAATATGCGCTCTTTTTCTTCCAAAAACATCATTTGCTACAGAAAAGAGAGAGAAATCATGAAATGGGATGGAAATGTTTTCAGGTAATCTGTTGATTAGAATTTCACATCTTCATGAGCTTGGTTTCTTAGGTGCATTTGCTGAAGGCCTGAGTTTCTTAAACTTCGGCCAGTGGGTTTTGAAGGCCCTCATGCTCTCAAAAAGTTTGTATTTATTGTTCTCTATTTGATGAAATAATATGAAAATGACAGATATAGGCTTATATTTTAAATCAGCTGCTTGTTGTCTGATAACAGAGTACTGCTATGTGGCTTTAGTGCAAAGGGATTGCCTAAAGTGACAGAGTTGTTATTAATTCAGTATTTCCCAAATCAGGGCCCTGAAGTCTTATATTCCCAAGTTTAAGAAATCCTTGAATAATATTCTCTATGAAGAGTGTCTCTCTCTCTCTCTCTCTCTCGCTCTCTCTCTCTCGTGCTCCTTTTTTTCTGCCTGCTTTATATCCACTGCCAGCTGATTAGATTGTGCCCACCAGATTAAGGGTGGATCTTCCTTCCCCAGCCCACTGACTCAAATGTGAATCTCTTTTGGCAATACCAAAAGAGATTTCGTTACTTTAGTTGGATGTTAACATAACATTTGAAAGCAAATCCGGAAAAAGAATCTGCCCTACCCTGAAGTGAGCTATTGTCAGTTCCTGTTCACAGCTTGGAGATTTCCCAGTTTGGGGCCTGCATTTGCTTTTGTGTCACTGAACCTTACTCTACTACAAGTTAGGTTGCCTATCTAGCCCTGTCAAAAAAATGACTGAACACATCCACTGAGTCACACACAAAAGGATAGTAGAGATCTTTTCATTGTTTCTTTTATGTTTATTAAATTTTAAAGATAAAGCTCTAAAAGTGTTATGCTACCAGCTGGCGAGAATTGTAGGAGATGCAGATGTAAAGGTAGTTTATAGGAGGTAGAGAGGGTACAAATATGTCATAAGAGAGAGGTAGCAAGAGGCTACCTTTTATGGCTGAAAAGTGGGAAATGGAGACTCATTTAAGAATGTTGAAATCATATATTTTTAGTCCCAAATAAAAGAAGTTTTCACCAAAAAAATAAAGAAGAAAGTAATCGGCTAGAAATGTGAGACCTTTTTTTTCATTTATGTATCTACTTCTGTTTGTTTATAAAGAGAGAGTAGGGTTCAATTACCATTTCTAGAGTAAACCAAGTTCCTTGTATTTCCTTCTTGGCTAATGCTCACTACAAGTCTAAGGGTCTAAACCTTGGACTGAGGTTCCTAATCCAGTATTTGCTTCTCTGGCTTACAGAAACCACCATCTCCATATTTGCTAAGAAGCAGTTCCCTGAAGATGATTTTCCCTGGAAAATTCCACAGAATATTGGTACATCTAGTCTTTATATTTGGTAGAAAGATTCAGCAATTTTACTTATCTGAAAATAAAATTGCTTTCTGCCATTTTTATGTGAAAGGAAAGTATTTAATATTTATCTCAGTCTTGGAGACAGTTTCAGATCCTGGAGATGCACAAATTTTCCCATCAAACTCTATTGACTCTTAATCTTTTTAATGCTTTTGTCCCTTTTAGAGTTCCTAGAATATTTTTCTTCTTCATTGAAATTAAAACTTGAAGAAATAGGTGTACTAGCAGCATATATGGGGAGGATTTTTACCACAATTAAAAAAGAGGTAGACTTAGATTTGGGTAGGGAAAGAGAGAAAACTATTAGTATTTAAGGGTACCTACATCATGTGGCAGACAACGAGACATGCTTTGTATACTTCATTATCTACTATTTTCAAATGAGATGTCTGAGGATTAGAAGGTTCAGTGAATTCTGGAAGATCAGGAAGAGAGTGGCAGAGCTGAGACTCTTTATCCACTCAAAAGTGTAGCCTAGTTTTGAGGAAAAGGGAGGACTAAAGGCCAGAAAGGGAAAGTAAGATTCAAAAGAAGCAGGTGGTGCTGGAGCCCACAGCTGCCTGTGAGAAGGGAATGTCCTTACATCTTTGTAAACAAGACAAATGAAAATACAATCAGTAGAGTAAGTGGGGAGAGAGGGATGGTGGGTAAAAAAGCATATAAAGCATTATTTGAAATTATAACAATATCAATTCAGCATAAAAGTTAGGACATGACGAAGATGGGATATGATATCTGGAAGAGATGAAAGGAGGTAGGAATATACTAAGGATAAAGATCCTGATCTGCTTTTAAACACTAAGCATTAGTATGGATAGGATAAGAACACGAATAACCACTACTGAAATAAAAATAGAATGTGTAATTTTCATACTCATGGGGAGAGAAAAACCAGACTTAACCCGTGGAAGGTAGACAGGAGAAAAAGTGAAGTGAAACAAACGAAAAGATAAAATATCTGAAATAAGCTCAAAGAATAATTAGTGTAAATGTGTAGTGATTAAACTTATCCAGCAGATTCTTTAATGGATAGAAAACAAGATGCTATAGTATTTTATTAAAAAAAAATTCAAGAGAACACACGCTAATGTAAGGTGATGGAAAAATTTATACTTGTCAAATACAAAGAAGAAAAAGGAATAAGAAGACCAAGGGAGTGAAATGAATAGGAACATATCCACATGTAGTAATGTAGCTTTGAGGTACAGAAAACAATAATTTATGGCGTTAGACATTGATTTAGCAAATATAGTTAGAAATTTAAAACAGTCCTCTCAGAAACCAATGAAGCAATGAGACAAAGAGAGATTTGGATAACAATTTGATGTCTCATGTATATAGAACTTATTCAACAAAAGCAGAGCATACTTTATTTCAGAGGGCATGTGGATTAGACACAAGCTTCAACTTTCAATGAGTCAGGAAGCCTCAAATTCTAAAAAATCAACAGCTTAGAGGTTCTCTTAACAACAGTGCTATAAAATCAGACACTGTTAACAAAAAGATAGCAAAAACATCCTATATATCTGGATATGAAAAGACATACTATGAAATAACCCTCAGGTTAAATAGGAAATAATAACAAGAATAGCAAAGTTTTAGAGCGGAGTGATAATAAAAGCACAGTAGGTGAGAGATAGAGCTAATGGAATACTTTCACGGCAATATATAGCTTTTGTTACCCAAGAGAAAAACACTAAGTCTGGAATCCTATAAGCCCAAGGTTTGACTCAAGTAACTAGAAAAACTGCAACATAGTAAATCCAAAGAAACAATAAAGGAAAACAAATCAGAGGAAATAAATACAAATGTGGTAATAAAGTAAAAATAATTCATAAAAGCCAAAGAACCAGAAGTTCATTATTTAAAAAACTTCATAGGATAGATCTTACTTTTGAATAACAGATGAAGAAAAAACATCTCCATGTACCATGATAAACACAATACGAAATAGGTAAAAGAGATAATTACAGATTATATTTTTAAATCCAGTAAAAAGAATATAAGTTTTTACCAGTATTATGTGAAAAGGATATATGGCTAAGAAATTGATACAAGAAAAAAAAAATCTTTAGTAAATCAGAAAACAATAAATTGTAATGATTGTCAAAACTTAGTCCTTTCTGGCACAGGAGAAAAAGACACAGTTTGACAAAAGAGTTTTGTTTAACGCTCATGAAACAGAAAATGCTCGTTTAATAAACTCTCTTTGGAACAAAAAAGAAAAACCAAACTATTATGTTTAATCTTGATAACAAAAACTAGATAAGTTGGCTGAGCACAGTGGCTCATGCTTGTAATCCCAGCACTTTGGGAGGCTGAGGCAGGTGGATTACTTGAGGTTAGGAGTTCGAGACCAGCCTGGCCAATGTGGTAAAACACTGTCTCTACTAAAAATACAAAACTTAGCTGAGTGTGGTGGTGGGTGCCTGCAATCCCAGCTACTTGGGAGGCTGAGGCAGGAGAATCGCTTGAACCGGGGAGGCGGAGTTTGCAGTGAGCCCAGATCGTGCCACTGTGTCCAGCCTGGAAAACAGAGTGAGACTCTGTCTCAAAAAAAAAAAAAAAAAAATAGGTTGAGAAATTATTGGCCAACTTCACTTATGACATTCAAAAGGCTAAGAATTCAAATCTAGCAGTATATTAAAAAATAATACCTTGTGACGGAGTTGAATTAATCATAATAGGGAAAGAATAGTGAATTATTATTTTTAAATTTGCTAATGTAGTTTGCCACATTAATGGCACGGAACAAGCAATTGTGTCATCAGTGATATAGGAAAAGCATTTCATAAAACCAATTTTTTTTAAAAAAAGGTATCAACCCTTAGAAAACTTGAAATAGAAGGGATATTTTTAGCTTGATTAAAGGCTTCATATTAAAAACCTAGAGTAGACATCATTCATAATACAAAAAAAAAGAAGTTTAAACTCAGCCCTCTTAAGGTCAGGAACAAGAAAAGGATCCCTGTGTTACTTCTGCTTCTCAATACATTACCACATAGCTGACCAATGCAGTATGACAAAGAAACATGAAAGTAGGAAAATTGCCATGAAAGATATGATTATCATTATTTCTAAGTGAAATCATATATATAAAAACAAAGAGAAGTCCGGGCGCGGTGGCTCATGCCTGTAATCCCAGCACTTTGAGAAGCCAAGATGGGTGGATCATGAGGTCAGGAGATCAAGACTATCCTGGCTAACACAGTGAAACCCTGTCTCTACTAAAAATACAAAAAAAAAAAAAAAAAAAAAAAAGCCGGGCGTGGTGCGGGCGCTTGTAGTCCCAGCTACTCTGGAGGCTGAGGCAGGAGAATCCCTTGAACCTGGGAAGCGGAGCTTACAGTGAGCCGAGATTGCGCCGCTGCACTCCAGCCTGGGTGACAGAGCGAAACTCTGTCTGAAAACAAAACAAAACAACAACAAAAAAGAGAATCAGCAGAAACCATTAGAAGCAATGCAAGAGTTCAGCTAGATTGCCAGCTATAAGAACGTAGAAAAATCAATAGCTTTCTGCTGTATTGGGAGTAACTAATTATAAACTATGACAATAATAAGATACCATTTATAATAGTGACATAAACTAAAAGCTATCTAGGAATAAATCTAAGATAGAATGCATAAAACATATAAGGGAAATTTAAAACTCTATTACAAGAGTTTTATTATGGTATTAAAGAGCATAAATGCAGCATTCATAAATGGCTTCGTTGAATATTTTGAAGATGTCACATTCCCCTCACCCATCTTACAATTTAAATTCAGTCTAATCAACATCTAAGAATTTTTTTTTGAAAGGGGCAGAGTGGAGGCTAAAATTTATATGGGATAATAAATACAGAAAGAGGATCTCTGTTTTTCTTTAGACATTAACAAGATACAGCAGGAGCTGGCAAACTCCCCCTATAAACCAAATCTGGGCTGCTGCCTGTTTATTCAAATAAAGTTTTACTGGGGCACAGCCACGCCTACTCATACTGCTTTCATGCTGCCATGACAAAGTTGAGTAATTGCAACAGACATTGTGTGGCCTGCTGTGTCTGGTCCTTTACAGAAAAAAAAAATGTGCAAAAATGTGCGACCTTTGTTCTACAGCGTCTGGCTCTGAAGCAGAATAGAAAGGAGTCTAGACTTATTCCTGTGTATATATGGGAACTTACTGTAATCATTCCCAGGAATTGGTACTAGGAAAATTGGCTCACAAAAAGAAAAATGAAGCCGTTTCTGTATTTCATACTATAAACAAAGTTCCAAGTGGAATAAATACCTAAATGTTAAGGATGAAAATATAAAGTCGATAGAAGAAAATATAGGAATATATATATTTGCAAACTTATGGTAGAGAGGGATTTGTTCGGAGAGATTTGCAGAGCACAAACTATAAAAAGAAAATTGATGGACTTGGAATACATCAAAATGAATGATTTCTGTTCAATGGAGGGAACGATAGAGAAATTAATAGATGGTGAAAATATAATTATTGTGTTTAATAGACCATGATCAATATTTAGAATATACAAGGGACTCTACAAAATTAGAAAATTGAAGGGAGGAAAGCAATATGAAAGAGGACAAAGTATATGAATTGGCAATTCATAAGAAGAGAAACATGCATATACACACACATCACACTATTAGAGACAAATGAAGTAAAAGGAAGAGACGCCATTTTACCATTCAATAATTAAAAACTTGGAAAGCAGGAAGTACTATCAAGTGCTGGTAAGGATGTAGGAAAATAGAAATCCTAATGTATTGCTGCTGGGCGTGCAAGCTGGTGCATATATTTTAGAAAATCTAAGTAAGTATCTGACCTGAATCCCAACAATGGGATGCTAAGATAGGAATCCAGGGAAACGTGTAAGAATGGTAGTCACAGTGTAACTTGTGGTAAAAGGTTGTAATCAAGCTAGCTCTACAGCACTAGAGGAATGGGCAAGGAATACTACAGTGGAATGCAGTGAAGGAATTGTTTATGGCAACATGGATAAATTTCTAAAACAATGTTGAGAGAATACAGAAGAATGGGATTTAAAACCTACAATTTATATACAAATTTAAAAATTATGTATAAGGGCCCTGTGTATTTTTGACAAAAAATGTATGTACACAAACATGTAAAGAGGATTCTGAATAATACATTAATTATGAAAAAGTGAATTTCTGTGGTGGGAAGGGAGGGAATGGGACTGAACACAGAGGACAAAAAGGAAAATGATTGGAAAAGTGAAAAGAAAAAGAAGAGCCTTTCATGGGCTCATGATAATAGTAGCTCATCAAGTAGAGCCTGTGCTAAGTCAATTCTATTCCATTATCCTGAAAGAAACTTCTGGTACATGACTTCTTCTGGCAATGTTAGATCCATGTGCTCAGACAGTGTCATCAGGTATGGGTCTCTGTGTCTTCACTGTCTTTGCCTCAGTATTGGCTCTCACATCAAGCCAGCTCTTTTTTAGGAAAACTCGTAGCTGTTTCAGGTTCATAGTCTACCAGTTTGGCAACTCAGTTGAAAGAAAGTGGCATTGTTACTAATAGCAGTATTACTCTGAAGGATGTCCTTGCCTTTGATTGGCTCATTTTGTGTCCTGTGTCCACTCCCGAACCAATCATATGTCAAAGGACTATGGGTGCCTGGGTCACTTGCCCATCCCTAGAACCAGGTAGTACGAATAGCCCCACATGTAGAATATGGTGGGGTGTTACTAAAAGCAAAAAATCAAAGTGGTACAGCTAAGACTCTAAGGAAGTAGATTCTGGGGAGGGAAATAATCACAGGTCACTTGAATCAATGCTGTTTGTAGAATGGTGGATGTGATTTGCCATCTTTATTCTTGAAAAACAAGAAAAAATGAAAAATAGCTAACTCCAAATATCTGAAGCACTGCCACTTGCATGATACTTGTTTTATATGATCCCAAGGAATAAAGTCATGAAAAACAGATGGACTTGGTATAAAGAGCAACTATGTTATTTGTAGAGTTGACTGTCTTAGGAGGAATGTGTGATGAACTTCCCATCACTGGACATATTCAAGCATATGCTAGGCAGCCATTTGGCAGGAATTCTGTAGGAAAAGGCCCAGGGATTGGGAGGATAGTTGGGTTTGGTCAGTGGTTCTGAAACACCTGGACAGCTATGGAAGCCTTGATTGCTGGGCCCTTGTCCCAGAGTTTCTGGTTCAGTAGGTCTGGGGTGGGGCCTCAAAATTTGCATTTCTAATAAGTTCCCAAGTGATGCTGATGCTATTGTGGAGGGACGTCACCTTGAGAACTGTTGGGTTTTTAATGAGCTGGTTGTAAATGTTCTAAAAACCATTATCTTGTACCACTGGGGCAAACCTTCCTATCTTATTTCTTTAGTACCTGAAATGTGTACAGTTCTGGCTATGTGGGTGTGTCCATAGTAAGTGACATTTGCACAGCTCTCTGTCTTCTGTGTCATTGAGAATATTAGAATCATTAAACAATCATGCATTATTCATGTGCTATATAAAATAAGGAAAAAAATACACTCAACATGTTTTTCTTCTGCTTTCACACCAGCAACAACAATCAGCAAAGACTACTACTGTGACCAAATGTGTGGGGTTTCTTTCCCCCCAACACACAAAGCAGCGGACACCAGCTGGATGTCCTTTGATTCATTTCAGAAGAATTTGGATGTTACGTACCTGGAGATAGCCTCAGATTCCACAGGTTGAGGGCTCAATGCCATGAGACTGTCACCTGACTTTCAGACACCAGTTGCAAGTCTGGGCCTCTGGAACTTCCAACTGACTATAAATCAGGGACCCCATGGTCCCTTCTTTGAGTTCAATCAATTTGCTTGAACAACTCAAAGAATTCAGGGAAATACTTAAGTTTACCAGTTTATCACAGCAAATATTACAAAGGATACTGATGAAAAGATGCATAAGGTGAGGTATGGGGGAAAGAGCATGGAACTTCCATGCTCTCCCAGGGCGAGCCATCCTTCAGGAACTTCTGCGTGTTCAGCTATCCAGAAGCTCCCTAAACCTGTTCTTCTGGGTTTTTACAGAGGCTTCATTATGTAAACATGACCGATTAAACTGTTGACCATTGGTGATCAACTTCACCTTCAGCCCCTCTCTCTTCCTGGGAGATTGAGGAGTGGGGCTGAATGTTCTGGCCCTATAATCCTGCTTTGGTTCTTCTTTTTTATTTTAATTTAATTTATTTTATTTTATTTATATATATATATTTTTATTATACTTTAAGTTCTAGGGTACATGTGCACAACATGCAGGTTTGTTACATATGTATACATGTACCATGTTGGTGTGCTGCACCCATTAACTTGTCATTCACGTTAGGTATATCTCCTAATGCTATCCCTCCACCCTCGCCCCACCCCACAACAGGCCCCAGTGTGTGATGTTCCCCTTCCTGTGTCCAAGTGTTCTCATTGTTCAATTCCCACCTATAAGTGAGAACATGCAGTGTTTGGTTTTTTGTCCTTGTGATAGTTTGCTGAGAATGATGGTTTCCAGCTTCATCCATGTCCCTACAAAGGACATGAACTCATCCTTTTTTATGGCTGCATAGTATTCCACGTATATGTGCTACATTTTCCTTAATCTAGTCTATCACTGTTGGACATTTGGGTTGGTTCCAAGTCTTTGCTATTGTGAATAGTGCCGCAATAAACATATGTGTGCATGTGTCTTTATAGCAGCATGATTTATAATCCTTTGGGTATATACCCAGTAATGGGATGGCTGGGTCAAATGGTATTTCTAGTTCTAGATCCCTGAGGAATCACCACACTGTCTTCCACAATGGTTGAACTAGTTTACAGTCCCAGCAACAGTGTAAAAGTGTTCCTGTTTCTCCACATCCTCTCCAGCACCTGTTGTTTCCTGACTTTTTACTGATCGCCATTCTAGCTGGTGTGAGATTGTATCTCATTGTGGTTTTGATTTGCATTTTCTCTGATGGCCATTGATGATGAGCATTTTTTCATGTGTCTGTTGGCTGCATAAATGTCTTCTTTTGAGAACTGTCTGTTCATATCTTTCGCCCACTTGTTGATGGGGTTGTTTGTTTTTTTCTTGTAAATTTGTTTGAGTTCTTTGTAGATTCTGGATATTAGCCCTTTGTCAGATGAGTAGATTGCAAAAATTTTCTCCCATTCTGTAGGTTGCCTGTTCACTCTGATGGTAGATTCTTTTGCTGTGCAGAAGCTCTTTAGTTTAATTAGAACCCATTTGTCAATTTTGGCTTTTGTTGCCATTGCTTTTGGTGTTTTAGACATGAAGTCCTTGCCCATGCCTATGTCCTGAATGGTATTGCCTAGGTTTTCTTCTAGGGTTTTTATGGTTTTTGGTCTAACATTTAAGTCTTTAATCCATCTTGAATTACTTTTTGTATAAGGTGTAAGGAAGGGATCCAATTTCTGCTTTCTACATAGGGCTAGCCAGTTTTCCCAGTACCATTTGTTAAATAAGGAATCCTTTCCCCATTTCTTGTTTTTGTCAGGTTTGTCAAAGATCAGATAGTTGTAGATGTGTGGCATTATTTCTGAGGGCTCTGTTCTGTTCCATTGGTCTATATCTCTGTTTTGGTACCAGTACCATGCTGTTTTGGTTACTGTAGCCTTGTAGTATAGTTTGAAGTCAGGTAGCATGATGCCTCCAGCTTTGTTCTTTTGGCTTAGGATTGACTTGGCAATGCAGGTTCTTTTTTGGTTCCATATGAACTTTAGAGTAGTTTTTTTCCAATTCTGTGAAGAAAGTAATTGGTATCTTGATGGGGATGGCATTGAATCTATAAATTACCTTGGACAGTATGGCCATTTTCTCAATACTGGTTCTTCCTATCCATGAGCATAGAATGTTCTTCCATTTGTTTGTGTCCTCTTTTATTTCGTTGAGCAGTGGTTTGTAGTTCTCCTTGAAGAGGTCCTTCACATCCCTTATAAGTTAGATTCCTAGGTATTTTATTCTCTTTGAAGCAATTGTGAATGGGAGTTCACTCATGAGTTTGCTCTCTGTTGTCTGTTATTGGTGTATAAGTGTGCTTGGTCCTTCTTGTGATCAACCCCATCCTGAAGCTACCTAGACTCTTAGAGGCTGCTAGACACCAGTCAATCATTAGCATACAAAAAGACATCACTTTGGAGTTTCTAAGGATTTTAGGAGTTGCGTGCCAGGAAATGGGGTTGAAAACCAAATGCATATCACAAATAGCCAACTATTTTCTAATTTCATCCTTTTTGTAATCCTTTCTCTGTTTTTCTGTAGATTGATCCATGTTCCTCAGTTTCATACTAGGCTGTTCCCGAATTAGAAAAATGAAGTAGTTTTCTAGGGATGGTGTTTCTTAGTCATTCACAAAGTGTGTCTTAGTCATTCACAAAGTAACTTTGTCATGTATTGGCATCCACCTGATTGAAAAGTCATTCCTTGGTGCTAGATGGATTTGGCTTGTCTCAGCTGTGCCATTTGCCAAATTCCCTTCAGCCTCCCTTTCCTGCCCCCGGCCCCCCATGGCTTTCCCTCAAAAGGAAGACGCAGAACATTTCAGGTACCTTGCTGCTTTGTGGCCCTGTTACAACCAGGAATTGTTCTAGTTTTGAACTCCGTTTTGCTCCTTCCTTCTTTTTAAATGTTTTTTTTCTCCTTTATTTTGGAGATTTTACTAGAATAGTTCTCTGGAAGTGCTCATGTTTTTGTAATTGTAGGCAAGGTCAGACAGTGTTCGTACTTGTTCTAAATTGCTATTATATGAACACAAAACCATTTGAGAGAAGCATTTAAGAATTAGAAGGTTTATAGTTAATACTTAATGAAAATTTTCAGCTTAGCAGACATGACAAAATAGATGGGTAAAAATAAGTAGCTGACAAATAGGGCCTTGTGGATTTGAGTTAAGGTGGCACCGTGAAGTGCAGAGGGAGTGAAGGGGAAAAGCTGTTTTATTGTCCACGTGGAAGCTTCTGCTTGAAAATTGCTAACTCTAATCAAGGAAACACTGGTAGGGAGAGTGGAGTATTTTAGAAAGACTTTCCCAGAATGCATCTTGGTGAACATTCAATGAGGAACAATTTCAATGGCATCCTCTCTGCAACTAAGAATCTGTAGTAATGGAATTTGCTTTCTTTAAGGTGGTATATGAACTGAGTTTCTTAATTGAATTTTATAACTATCCATTGTCTTTTCTTTTAGACTTCAACTGTGAGGACATGTCGTTCAGATTTGGCCAACATCTCATCAAGCCCTCTGTAGTGTTTCTCAAAACAGAACTGTCCTTCGCTCTTGTGAATAGGAAACCTGTGGTACCAGGACGTATCCTTTCTTTTTTTTTTTGGAGAGGGAAAATAAAAGTCTTCTGAGCCTAACCAGCCAAATGAATATAAATACAAGATTGGCCTCCAGTCTGTCCAAAAAGGTAAATAAAGAATCCATCTCCCTCCCACTTCGGAGACACCAGGTAAGATGTTACTCATATTTATTCTGAATCCAGTTGGTGGCACCAGTAATATGCTTGATCAATGTTGCAGAACTTCTGAGGAGAGTTGCTTAGCAACCGTGGCTTTGGAGGTGAATTTTTGCTTGACCTTTTCACTACCATAGCTGAGTAAATAAATAGGTGCTTCTAAAATGAGCCCAGTGAATATCACGGGCACTTGGTTTTCAGCTTATCTGTTGTGAATTTTAATAGTAGATTGAGTGGTGCCTTTGTGATGTGGAAGTAAGATATGTGAGGATTTGAGACTGACTTTGTTGCTTTACCTCTTGGAGATCATTCAAGTTGTGCGTTTTAATTAAATTTATATTATAGATATACTTACAAATTTTTTTTAAAAAATATTAGGACCTGAAATAGCATTTTCTCTTGGGAAAAATACCAGCTTGCAGATCATTGACCAGTGTCATTGGTGGAGTTGTTTTATTTCCCTCTGACCACTGAGTTGTAGTCTTTCCTCCTATAGACTTCAATAGGAGCTTTATTCTTTTGCAGTGGGAATAACAAGTATTGGTGAAATGCTTGGGAAGTTATCTTTATGTTGTTAAAAGTTTCACTCCTGATTGTGTGCATATGAATTTTGTACGGACTCTTCAGGATGTTTTTCTCTTTCCTCCTTCACTTAGTTTGCCATGCAGAAGGCAACAGAATAAAATTTGATATTTTCAGATAATAAGTATTTTCCACGCTGAGACATGATTTTGCTTTGAAATGAATTTCTTAGTAATTCTGAATGTACAAATATGCCAAGAGGTTTTTCAGAGTAAGCTACATTTTTTTTCCAGTGAAAATGTGGAAAGTGCCTGAGAACTTTATGAACAAGCTTCTTTTCTAGCCACGTAACTATTGTATGCTAAAAAAAAAAAAAATACAAATAAGAAAAACATGTACCAAAAGATAATTGTGATTGTATTATAGACTCCCAAATTTCTGGAATCCAAATTCTAGTCAAATAAATTGTATTAATTTAGAAAACTAATAAGCAATACTCTAGTAAATATGTAAGCTTTTCTTAATATTTAAAACTCTTCTTTTAAATGAGTCTAAATAATATTAGAAAACTATTTTCTTCTGTTTATTAAAAAAAAACACTAGAATGATTTAGAAAAGCCCTAGAAAACAGCACTTTTAATTTTAATACCAATTGTGTATTGAAATCTTTTAAAAGACCTGAATTTCTTGAAGTAACATTTTATTTTGCTATAAGTTTGTAGTGGGCTTTTTCCTTTGGGGTTTTTTAAAGCAAAATGTCTGTAAATTCAGGTGTTAAAAGAATATGGTTTAAATGCCATCTCTCTCTAGGTGCCAGCTTTAACTGACTTTTAGAAAAGAAATAAAGGGACCTGGGATGAAAATATGAATTTAGACAAGATCCATTTGTCTAAATTCACTCTCATTCCTATGAAAATTAGAGGTCACAGAGATGTACCACTTTTTTTTGTTGTTGTTCCTTTTGAGGCAGAGTCTCACTCTGTAGCCCAGGCTAAGTTGCAGTGGCACAATCTTGGCTCAGTACAATCTCTGCCTCCCGGGTTCAACCGATTCTTGTGCCACAGCCTCCCAAGTAGCTGGGACCACAGGCAGGCACTACCACACTGAGCTAATTTTTGTATTTTTAGTAGAGACGGGGTTTTGCCATGTTGGCCACTTTTTAAAATGGTTAATAATGGAATGAACTCTGCTTTGTAGTTTTTTTACTCATATCTTGAGAGTAATTTGATATTTCAGACTTTTTAACAAACTCAGAAAAAGTGATGTCTAAAACCAGGGCATACCTGAGTTTGAACTCAAGAAAAGTAGAAATGTCTATGTCTAGGAAAATATCTGTAGTGAATAGTGAGCAAGTAGTGAATGACAACTCGTTTCTTTGTAGATGGCACTGGTGTCACCATTTGGGAAATGAACCCTGCTCAGTTACTTTATATTTGAGTAAATACCAAGGGCTCGGAGAATATTTTATTAAAATTAACACACTTCAGTTTGTTTGGAAGGTAGCAAGAAGGATCCAACCCTCTCTGATTATAAGAACAATGAGAACCAGAGCTTTTTTAAAATCATTATACTCTATAAGTCTAATTAACAGCTGCAGTATTTAAAACAGTCTCAGGGCCAGTAGACAGTGTATTCAGACAATGCTTTTTATGTGATGATTTTGTAACTTTTTATTTTACTTTACCTTTATAAACTCTGCCATGTTACAACTGGGAGACGCATCTTTTTTTTTTTTTTTTTTTTTTTTGAGACGGAGTCTCGCTCTGTCGCCCAGGCCGGACTGCGGACTGCAGTGGCGCAATCTCGGCTCACTGCAAGCTCCGCTTCCCGGGTTCACGCCATTCTCCTGCCTCAGCCTCCCGAGTAGCTGGGACTACAGGCGCCCGCCACCGCGCCCGGCTAATTTTTTTTTTTTGTATTTTTAGTAGAGACGGGGTTTCACCTTGTTAGCCAGGATGGTCTCGATCTCCTGACCTCATGATCCACCCGCCTCGGCCTCCCAAAGTGCTGGGATTACAGGCGTGAGCCACCGCGCCCGGCCTGGGAGACGCATCTTAATAAGGTACTCCTTTGCTTGCAGAAAGCTCTAGTCTTTTGTCCTGAGACTTGAGAATGGAAGATGTGGATAGCTCTGTCCACTAACATTTCATAAATAAATGGTGAGATGTCTGGAGTGGGCTTTTATCTTCCTCCAGTGTTCTCTCCTGCCTGCCCTAGTCTAGCCCTTAGGTGTGGTTCATCTAGATTTATGCTGTCTCCCTGCCTCTGGGCTTTTCCAATGTAGCCTATAACTTTATCTGAACCACAGCCCTGACCATATCATTCTTCTCTTCCCTTGTTAATAAACCAATAAGGAATGTCTGTTTTTTGAGGATAAAGTCCAAATTCCTTAGAATAGTTTTTAAGGACCTTCATTGTACTGGCTCAGTCTCCCTTCTTTCCGGCTGTTCCCTGAATATGTGTTGTACTATCCCTTTACTATACTTTCTCCTGCCCCTCACCTCAACTGGAGATTCCTCCCCATGCTTTTCATTTCATCTGAAGTGCTTTGATAACTGTCCCCTGCTCCTAGGGAAGAAAACAAAACAAAACTCTGTCCTCTGTTTGTGACACTCACTTCCTTATTCTCATGTTGATTCATTCAGTACTTTATTACTGAGCTCATACTCTGTTCCAGGTACCAAGACCAAACACACAGCCCAGTCTGCCTCATATCCAAAGTACGTGCATCCCTATTTCTGTCTGCACTGAGTCTTTGCTTCCTATGGACGAGACCTGCTCTTGCACATCTCTTTTTTCTTAGCATCCAAATGTACTGTGTTCACTGAATCTAAAGTGAAGCTGGAAACATCAGGAGTATATGCATTGTTCCAGTTAACAGAATAGAGAGACAGGATGTGCCGAAATCCCACCTTTTCCCGTTTCCCATCCCCAAGGCCAAGTCTTGTCACCACTTTTTTCCAGATGTTTCAGTATCATGTCCAAGCTAGGTTTTCCCAGCTTCCCCTTCATCCTTTGTCCATTACAATTCTGTTTACAAGCGTGTGAGTGTAGGGAGTTAAATCTAAAAGCAGTGAATGAATTGATGGCAGATGGGAGAAGGTTCTTTGCCATTTCTTTACATGTTAATTTGTGAATGGACCAATCTGTGTTTTAAGGGCAGTATATTGGCATCTTTATGTAAAATGGAACATTTTATTTTGTATGTTTGATGACTTCTTCTTAAAAATGGCATTCAGGTGCCCTTTGGGGAGTGTGCCATTCATGAGAGGCTTGTAAATGTCATCTTTGAACTTGTCTCTCTTATAACATTTTGCTGCCCCTCACCAACACTTATTTCTTATGACTTTGCTCACTGACTTTTTCATAGCTTTCAGAGAAAGAAAAAGAACTGTCAAATCAGAGGCCAAAGATACGCTTTTGAAGCAGGATCGTTTGCTTCATTCTCAAAACAGCCACTTCAGTCCCTCCTTGTTCCCACCTGAAGCAAACGCTTCTGTTCCTTGCCAACACTGTTTAAAGCCTATTGAACAGGCTTTGGCTTCTGTGGTGCAACGCTTAGAAGAATATGTCAGAATGTCTTTAATCCATTAATTTCTTGTTACTGGAAAATGCTTTTCAGAGTTTCTTGGTGACAGAATCATTTTGAAGAGTACACATTCAGAATTCTGCAGCAAACATTTTATTCCTGTGTCTCAGTGCAGCCCAGCTATTGTTCATGGCTTAAATAAATTTGAACCATTATGGCTAATACTTCTCCTTACCCCCACTCCCTTTGCTTTGTGCTGTGTCTATCTCTCTTCTTGAGTTGAGCATGAAAATGAATTTAAACATTAGTGGTATCCATTTGAAGACTGGGGCTTTCATTGTAAATAAAATTATTCATTTGTTCTGTCGTCTTCAGCAGAGAGTGTATTGATCTCTGCATTGCTATTCTGAATGGCATAAGGAGCTGCAACATGAGGGAGACACAGCAACATTTGTGGATGAATTGAATAGGGTGTGTAATGACAGAAACCTTGCTCACTGATCATACTGTATTCTACAAATCATACGTCAACAGTTTATTGAATCAGTTATTAAAAAGAGCAGATTTTTCCAATCAAGACCATCTCACGCAGAATGTTACCAGGGCCATACAACATTAGGATGATGCATGTAGGGACAGCCTTACAAAGTATATTTGTGAGAGAATTAGACTAGGTAACTTTAAGAACATTTCTGCTGACACATTAGAAATAAAAAGTTGGCTACCATGCAAACAGTGCTCCAAGATCCAAATTCAAAAGGTAAAAAAGAAAACTCTGACAAATATCTTTTAATACGGAATATTAACTTTCCAAAGAGCAATGTTAAGTTTCCCCCGTTTTCAGACCGTTACCATGTTGAGTGTTCCTGAAATAAGTGGAAAAATAATAAAAATAGCTTCATTACTTAACAGTGATTCTTACAGAATAGATGCTATACATAAAAGCGCCCTTTTAGTCCTTCCATAAAAATCAGAAATATTTGTCATTTCCTCAGTAGGTTGTAATCTTGTGAATTCCTTTAATTGTTCAGGAAACTGCAGTTATTAGTGATCTTTCATTTCTCTAAAGAGTTTCTTTTCGGCCGGGCGCGGTGGCTCACGCCTGTAATCCCAGCACTTTGGGAGGCCGAGGCGGGCGGATCACGAGGTCAGGAGATCGAGACCATCCTGGCTAACACGGTGAAACCCCGTCTCTACTAAAAATACAAAAAATTAGCCGGGCGTGGTAGCGGGCGCCTGTAGTCCCAGCTACTCGGGAGGCTGAGGCAGGAGAATGGCGTGAACCCGGGAGGCGGAGCTTGCAGTGAGCCTAGATCGCACCACTGCACTCCAGCCTGGGCGACAGAGCGAGACTCCGTCTCAAAAAAAAAAAAAAAAAAAAAAGAGTTCTTTTCAAACCTTCCTGTACAAGTAAAATGAGCACAAGCACTATTTTAATATCTTTATAGCTAAAGATAGGTTTTTGCTCTTAAAATTTCCCTAAGCACATGTCTTGTCTTTGCTCTGTGCATGCTTGTTGTATATTAGCCAGCTTAAGAGCTTTTGGAGGAGAAATGTTCAAAGACAATATTGCTGTCCATTGTAGTGGGGCAAGTTGGTTTTCTTGTGGTCACATTTCTTTCTTGACTTCATTTGGCAGATTATTGTGTTCAAAGACATGCATTTAGCAGTGACTGTTAAGTTGGACCTTTCTTTTTCCTACTTCTGTGGGAAAGGTTTCCATATGAATGTGCACCTACCCTTGGGTTATTAGAGTACATGGCCACCAGCTACAAGCAGCTTCTGATAGCACTGGACAATGGGAACAAAGGAAGTTATTGGATGCTGTCATCATTCAAAGTTGACCAACATCTTTTTTCAGTGTCTAAAATCCACCACAGAGAATCCTGCCAACTCCCATTGTAAGACAAACTTGCTGTGACCATCATCCATCTTGACTTGCCATCTAAAGAATTACAATGCAGAAAACAAATTCATTTTATCTCACATACCAGCTGATCAGTTGGTAGTGAGCTGCCAAGGTTGAGGACTCAGGCTGCACGTGGGGTCAGAAGGCAGTAACTGTGATGGGCACTAGAGGGGAAGGGGAAGCCCTCCTTGCTAGTCTCTTCCTCTCCCAAGTTTATTTTTTGTTTCTGGAGCCGAGACTGACATCTTTATTTTTTATCATAGACAGAACAATGGATTGTTGGAAGCTGATGCTGAAGGAATTAAGTAGGTACTTTGTATGTGTGCAAGGAAGGTTTGAAATTGGATGAAGAAAAATGTGTGGACTTTGTGCACTTTGCCCTGGCCCCTTCAAAATGAAGGTGACATACCCACGAAACACTGTTCCTGAGGCATGTACATGTTGGTCTCTAGACCTCATCTAGACTACTTCCTGCTATCTGCCTTCTCTTCCTTGACTCTTCTGGCTCCTTGCTGCCTGCTCTCTGGTGAGGATATGTATGTACAAAGTAGCCTTGTGGGTTACTAGGTCCCTGTTGCTTAATGATAGTTTTAACTGTCTTTCCTTGATCTTGACCTGTCTTCCATACTATGTTTTACCTTCTAGCCCCAGACCGTGCTGTGCATGGGATGGGGTGGGCTGGCCTGACCTGATTATGCATTACAGGAGAAAAATTCAACTGTCATTTTGATTAGGACTTTTAGCAGGTACATTTCTCAGAATTGCATAAAGGCTGTAGAGTCACTTTTGCAACCAGAAATGTGTATCTTTACGATCTGCGGATCTACACAGAATGTAATTCTGTTAATGTGTATGTATGCTGGGGGAGAGGGATATTAGGGGTGTTCTTTCTCCAATTCTAGTGAATGGTAGAATGATAATTATATGTATCTAGACAACACTTCAAATATTTCTTATGTTGCTATCATGGGTATCCTGTAATTTGGAAAGCTGTTCACCATTTCTATTTATTTCCACAGTAACTTTTTCAAGTAGTTTTAAACTGTCATGGTTAACAATCACTGAACTCTGTTCGTTATATTCTGGGCATATTTTTGACCTGCTTTCCATGCAAGTCATCAGATTTTAAGGAACAGGAAAAGACTGGTCATGGTGTTGCAGGCATCGCACTTGCTAAGGAATATAATTAGAAGTAATGAATGGAATAATAATACATCATTATTTATAAGAAGTGTCATGTAATTAACTCAAATAATGCAGAATATATTCTAATTTCCATTTGGAATGAAAATAGGTTTGTTTGAACATCAGTAGGTAGTTACTTATTCTTTTATATTTCATGCACATATCAAAACTGTTAAAATCTACTGAGTACATATACGTGGATTTTTTTACAACAGTCAAGGTAGCTTTCCTCTCCTAATAGTCTTATGTATGTTCCTTATTTTTATTATATATACAAAATACGTATATGTGTTCAACTCTTAGAATTAGCATAATTAATTTATATTTATTGCAAATTAATGATCTAATTTATTTACTTAGCTGCCATTTCCTTTCTCAAACTAATTAACTGAAAAAATAACCATAAATTTGCAAATAGCTTCTGGGCACAAATCCTACATTGGACTTATCCTTAAAAACCTCTACAATACCAGATATCTGAAGTAGTTTGCAATCTAAACTATCTTTGTGAGATTTCTACTACAGGCTTTAAATATATTTCAGGAGCCTTGGTTTAGCTTGTATCTGCCTGCATTTGGGGGTCAGGATATGGGTGGATATGTCTTAGGCAGTGGAGTTATGTTTATGTGTAACAATTAGTATGACAGGTGGTACTGACCAATGTCAAAGGTGGTTCCTGAAAGCTCTCTACTGTGCCAGACATCAGCCTATTAATTTGTGCATTGTGGGGAGGTCTGGAGAGTCCCAGGGGAGGAAGAAAAGAGGTGGTGAGCAGCACGCAAGGGTAATAAGTAATACTTGTGTATTTCAATATTGTAATAACAGGAATAGACATGCCAATGCACATGGTCTCAGTAGATTTTAGAGGGAGATTTTAGAGGGAGAAAAACAGATGGAAGAAGCTCCTTTATATTCCTAAGACCAAGCATGTTCTTTGTTCTTCAAGACCAATTAAGTCAAGCATAGTTGTAGGTTAGCTGATTAATTAAGACCAACAGAACTCTTTCTTCGTATCAAATGGTCATCTTCCTCACACTGAACTTAGCCTCCTAATAGTGGTTTAAGGGAAAGCTTACTTGTAGCATGGGGGATACTGAGGCAATTTCCTTCCTTCCTTCCTTCCTTTTTTCCTTCCTTCCTTTCTTTTCCTTTTGTATATGTGTTTGGGGTAACTGTGGCAGTGGAGAGTATATTTATATACATATAACTAATATCTTACATTAAGATAATTTTAAATAATTAAAATTATATTTTATGACTAACAATGCATTATTGGAGTCAATATTTTGTTTCACACAGGCACAGTGGTGCACACCTGTAATCCCAGAGTTTTGGGAGGCTGAAGCAGGGGGATCACTTGAGACCAGGAGTTTCAGACCAGCCTAGGCAGCATAGCTAGACCCTTTTCTACAAGAAAAGTTTATTGGCTAGGTGTGATGGCATGCATCTGTAGTCCTAACTACTAGGGAGGCTGAGGTAGGAGGATTGCTTTAGCCCAGGAGTTCAAGGTTATAGTAAGCTGTGATTGCACCTCTGCACTCTAGCCTGGGCTGCAGAGCAAGAACCTTTCTGAAACAAAAATTGTTCTATCCTCATTGGCCTATGAGTGGTTTGAATGGAAAAGCTGAGGCACAGACCAATGGTGGCTCTAGTTCATGGGAGTCTGGGCTTTACCCAGGACTTTTGATTCTCATTCCATTGTTCATTTCACCTTCTCCAGTTACATTTCACATGTGCTGCAAACTTCTATGTACGGTGGGGTGGGTGTCCTGAGAAGTTCTTCTCCCTAGAGTTTAAACCTTTCCCATTAGCCCCACTTTCTAGTGTTGTATTTTCCTAAATCTTTACTCTGCCATTTATATTTTTATGGGCATTTTGCTGTTAGTGGCTTTATTATTTTATTGTAAGCTTCATTATCATTTAAGAATAAGACCAACCTTAGTGACTTCTGAAAGTCTAGAAGGTTTAAGCCTTACTCTCCACTGCCATCTATATGGGGCCAGGCAGTTTAGCTTGGTTAGCCGCATAATTTGCTCTGAGATAAAATGGGTCCAGGAGGAGCTAAATTCATCTGGCTCTCCAATTTTTCTCCTTTCTGATAGGTTTTGAAATGCCTGAAGTTATCAAGAACTTCTTTTTATCTTTAAGATTAATTTTCAGTTCAAGAGATTTACGTGCTAATACTTTAAAAGTTAGCCATGATACCCTTCCATTCACCAAAGATGATTGCTTTAATAGTTGTTAAATAAGATGTGTCAAGATAAAAATAAATCAACAGGAATTACATGAAAATCTAGAGTGTTTCACATGCAGAGGCCTAGAATACCAGTTAGTATTTTCTATTCTGTTTAGGGACCAAATGACTCTAGAAGCCATCTCTCAGGGAGTCATATCTGCAGTAATGTAATTGAAGTTCAGGAGTGCAGCAGATGTTGAGTGAAACTTTTCATATTTCCGCGGAATAAACAGCTAAGGCCTAAGCAGGAATGCTGACATGTGGGGACAGATGCTCCCCACATCCACATTACTGAGAGGCAGCAGCAGAACCATTCCTACCTCACTGAAACATACCTCCACGCCCCCAAACCGCAAAGGGAGAGGATACGTGAGGACAAAGATCGACAGTTGAAATGAGGAGTGTAGGGATGCTTTCTTCTTCCCTCTTCTGGAATAATTACTCCCACTGCCTCAAAAGTCACATCTCTTGGGGGATGCTTTCCACAAAATGACACTGGCATCTTGTTCTTTGGCTTGATGCTACGAAGCTGTAGGACCTGCAGGCTGACACAGGTACTGTCATGATCTGGGAGTGCAGGGAGGTACAATTGCTTTTGGAGAGCTTCCCATGTGCTCTGTGGAGTTTGGAATTGTACATGAGCACACAAGAGTGCTTGCTTCTCATCTTTGCATTCTTGAATGTAGGGTGGGGCAGGGGAGGCTTGTTGGAGAGGCCTGTAGTAGCAGAGCAAGAAGTCACTGAAGAGGAGTAGTGTTCCTGGGAAAAAAGATGAGAACAACTTTTCTACACTATTTCACCTTTTCGGTAGCCCTTTGAAGAAGCCCAGAAGCACCAACCTCAGCAGGTCCCCCGGTTCCTGTAAATGACCATGAATGTCCGAGTAGGAGGCAGGCACCACTAGGTTGCTCAGGTAGATGCTGGGCCAACTGAGGTGCTGGCCTCTCCAGAGAGGGGATTGGGTCATGGAACACCGGCAGACCTAAAAGGGAGACATGGCTGTCCTTTTGTAAATGGATCCTCAGAAACAAACGGGGGCGAGACTTTACTACCTTCCTGGAAAAAACATGTCTGTTAATTCACCAGTGCAGACTACCGTATTTGCAGAGGCTCCCAGCAGATGGAACTGGAGCTAGACCAGGGACACTTACCTGTCACCTGTTTGTGTGTGTGTGTGTGTGTGTGTGTGTATGTGTTGTGTGTTTCATTTTGTGTTTTTGTTTTTGAGACAGGGTCTCACTCTGTCATCCAAGCTATAGTGCAGTGGTACAACCTTGACTCACTGCAGCCTTGAGCTCCAGGACTCAAGTGATCTTCTCACCTCAGCCTCCTGAACAGCTGGGACTACAGGTGTGGGCCACCACGCCCAGCTAATTTTTGCATTTTTTGTAGAGACAAGGTTTCACCATGTTGCTCAGGCTGATCTCAAACTCCTGAGCTCAAGCAATCTACCTCAGCCTCCCAAAGTGCTGGAATTACAGGCATGTGCCACCACACCTGGCCACCTGTCACCTGTTGACAGGCAACCTGATACCTAAGACCACTCTGCCTTTAACGCTAGCATAGCTTAGCCTCACTATGGGGGAACACTTGTAGAGAGCTCTAAGTAATAAAAGTTGCATCTCAAGTCTGTGCTTGATAGGATATAAAATTTTAAAAGAACCAAGACTAGAATTTTAAAATGGAGAGATTTACAATTATGGAAAGTGACTACATAGTTATACGTTCTGCCCAAGATATTATTAAAGAGCCAGAAAGGGATTCAACATAGGGTGGCTGGAAAAGTAATGGCAAAGAATATAATGGTAGCACGTCTTTCTCCCACTAAGTTGAGATTCTTCAATTATTGTTTACACAAAGAGATGACATAAATCTTAAAAAAAAGGGGTTGTCAGTCAATACCACATTAGGTAGGGTGTGATCCCTTCAATTCTTAGAGTCAGAATCTTGTGTATATTAGATGGTTGATAAATATTTATGGGATAAATTTAATTTTGGTTCAAAACAGGATGGTTAGGTAGAGGAATATTCTTTTAATTATTAAATATTTTCTGAAGATCTGTATATCAGGTTCTTCTCATTTTCATTTCTAATCTAAATTTGGCATGCTCTTAAGCCAACAAAGTATCAATGTAAGGATTAAATGCTATTGGAACTTTTTTGCATGGCAGCAGCCGGAGTGATCCTGTTAAGACTTGTTGAATCTATGTCACTTCTCTCATTATCCCCACAGTGGCTTCCTACCTTCTTCTAACTAAAGCCAAAGTTATCACAGTGATTGACAAGGTTCCTACTTGTACTCCTCCATCCACCCCCTGCCATCAACCATTGCCCCTCTGATTTCATCTATTACCATTTTTCCTGTAGTGAGTTGAATGGGGATCCCTCAAAAGAGATGTCCATATCTCAATCCTTGAAACCTGTGAATGGTACCTTATTAGGAAAGGGGTCTTTGTGGATGTGTGAGTTAAGTATCTCACCTTGAGGTGGGGAGATTATCCTGGATCAGCCAGGCAAATCCTACATCCAATGGCAGTGTCCTTATAAGAGTGAGACAGGGAGATTACATGGAGAAAAGGAGGACACAACATGATCGTGAAGGCAGACTGGAGTGATGTGGTCACAAGTCAAGGAATGCTGACAGCCATCAGAAGCTGGAGCAGCAAAGAGGGAGCGTGGCCCTGCTGACACCTGGATGCCACGCTGGCCTCCAAAACCATGACAGCATCAATGGCTATTGTTTTCAGCCACCAATTTATGGTAATTTGTTACAGCAGCTACATACAACTTTCAAAGCTCCCCACATTCGCTCAGATCCAACCACACTAGATTCCTTGTTGTTTGTTTAACATTCTAAGCACACTGCTGCCTCATAGCCCTTGAACCAGCAGCTGTTTATTCTTCGTGGAATGCCAATTCCCCAGATGTACATATGCTATGTTCACTCAACTCCTTCAGACCTCTATTTAGATTGTGCTCAAATGTCACAGAATAGTCTTTCCCATTATCTTAAAATTGCACCCCTACCACATGACGTTCCTTTGTAGTGTTTATACACTAAATTATTATATAATTTATTTGTGTGTGTGTGTGTGTGTGTGTGTGTGTGTGTGTGTGTGTGTGTGTGTGTCTCAGGCTGACTAGAATGTGAGCTCTCTGAGGGCAGGGATGATTCTCAGGTTTATTCATGAATGCATCTCCTCTGCCTGGGCAGGGCCAGGCTCATAGGAGGTGTTCAGTAAATATTTGTTAAATGAATATTTGCTAGATGAGTGACCCTGGTTGACCATGTTGGCTTTTTAGCTCTAAAGATAAAAGAGGACAACGGTCCTCATTTAACAAGTAGAATAATGTGGTAAGTTCTCACACCAGGCAGTATACTGCAATGGTTAACATAGTGTCAACCAGGATTTCTATGTACCTAACACACATGAACACATGCTTGGAGACATAACTAATATTCATCATTCCAAAGTGGCCTGCTTTGAAAGAGAGAGAAGTAACAGGTGGTTTGAGCATGAAAAATACTCAACCCCTCCCATGCCCAGCACAGGTTTCATAGATTTCCATGTGGATTCCAGCCAGGCTGATGAAATCAGTTATTTCCTCAGCTGAGAGAAATCTAACAGAAGGGTTTGATAACTCGTCGGCTCATGAGATTTGATTTCCCAAGATTGTATATGCCACTGTCTTGCCTTCCTCAGGAAGTCTGGAGCAGCTCTGTAAGCAATTTCTTCAGTTTAGTCAAGTTTTTATGGCTTTATCATCTTGGCTTCCCATGCATACAGGTTGCCTTACATAACATGCCCTTTTGTAGATCTCTATTTCTTTCTGATGATCCCTTTGATGAAACCTTCTTCTGATTTATTATTTCTATAATAATCAAGGAAATTTCCATTAGACAATTTTAGTTTGTTTATTCATTTATTTCCTAGAATTTTTAAAACATGATTTAAGGTGACTATGAAAAAGTAGAGTAAGATTTAAGTGCTTTAAAAAAAAGCAAACTACAAAATTCAAGAAGTAGTAAAAGGAAAGTAAGATGGACCAAAAGTGAGATTAGTGCATCAAATAGATATAAAATATTTATATACTTGCTAGAGATAGTGATATGGTTTGGCTGTGTGCCCACCCAAATCTCATATTGAATTATAGCTCCCATAATTCCCACGTGTTATGGGAGGGAGCCCGTGGGAGATAATTGAATCACAGGGATGGTTTCCCCCATACTGTTCTTGTGGTAATGAATAAGTCTCACGAGATTTGCTGTTTTTATAAGGAGTTTCCCCTTTCACTTGGCTCTCATTTTTCCTTTTGCCTGCTGCCGTGTAAGATGTGCCTTTTGACTTCTGCCATGATTGTGAGGCCTCCCCAGCCACGTGGAACTATGAGTCTATTAAACCTCTTTTTCTTTATAAATTACCCAGTCTTGGGTGTGTCTTTAGCAGCCTGAAAACCAACAAAAACAGATGGGTCACAAAGTTGGCCCTGAACTTTCTATCACCAACCTAAATAAGGAAAGAGCATCAATTCTTGAGGTAAAAATAGGCTGATTGTTCAGAAAAATGCAGAAATGTGCACAACACCAGAGATCAGGCGATTTTCTGTGAATTCTTCCTCAAGGAGATGATGCCAGAATATGTAATTGACAGCATTCTCAAAACATCCTTCCAATGCACATGGAGGCTGTTTCTCAAAAATATGTTCTGAGTCTGGTACTCAACATCTCTACTACTCCTGCCAAATCTTGTCTGAACTGGGTGCAGTGAGCTCTCAGGTTTCCTTGTTTATCACTCCCGCAACTCCAGTCTACCACTATCCATCCTCCAGTCTACCACTATGTAGCTGACATAGATTTTTAAAAATACAGAAACAAGAACAGGTTGTTCCTTTGCATTAAGAAATTATGGTTGTTTCTGGCTGGGCATAGTGACTCATGCCTGTAATCCCAACACTTTGGGAGGCTGAGGCAGGTGATCACTTGAGGTCAGGAGTTCGAAACCAGCCTGGCCAACATGGTGAAACCCTGTATCTACTAAAAATGCAAAACTTAGCCAGGTGTGCTGGTGGGCACTTTTAATCCCAGCTTCTCAGGAGGCTGAGACACGATAATTGCTTGAACTCAGGGGGGCAGAAGTTGCAGTGAGCTCAGATCGTGCCACTGCACAACCAGCCTAGGCAACAGAGCAAGACTCTGTGTCAGAAAAAAAAAAAAAAAAAACTTCTGGTTGCTGTTGCTGTTTCTTTCACTTAAAGTAAAATCTGACATTCCTCTGACCTTCACCTGCCACCCTCTGACCTACACAGGGTCCCTGGTTTTCCTCCTTTCAATTCCTGTTCCCTTGTCATCACTTACACACAGAGGCCTTCCCTGACCCTACCACAAAACTCAAACCATGGAAATGATGGTTACAAGGCTCTCTCAGTCCTGTTTCTGGTATTGTTGAATGTACATGGGAGAAGAAAGAGCTCTGCCTGCCAATGGCTCTACTGCCTCATTTACTGTCTTTGGGTACAAAACATTTGTACTTGTCAAAACTGCAAATGAGCTTTGGACAGGGAATTGGAGAAATGTATTTTAGTCCCATATGGGGAAACTTAGGTCATTTATTCTTTTTTGTTTGATTTGCTCATGTGAAGATAAAGGTATTTTCTGCTATGAAAACAGGTATTTGCCTGCCTCCTGGGCTCTTGTGAGAGAATTAAAACAAGGTGATATGGAAGTCAGAAGAATGAATAAATTTGGCATATTGGAAGCATGGTATAATAATTATAACTTTTGGCCGGGCACAGTGGCTCATGCCTGTAATCCCAGCACTTTGGGAGGCCGAGGTGGGCGGATCACGAAGTCAGCAGATCGAGACCATCCTGGCTAACACGGTGAAACCCCGTCTCTACTAAAAATACAAAAAATTAGCTGGGTGTGGTGGCGGGCGCCTGTAGTCCCAGCTACTCGGGAGGTTGAGGCAGGAGAATGGCGTGAATCTGGGAGGCGGAGCTTGCAGTGAGCCGAGATCATGCCATTGCACTCCAGCCTGGGAGACAGAGCAAGCCTCCGCCTCAAAAAATAATAATAATACTTATTTTTTTTTTATTGTCCATTATCCTGATGCCTTAAGGTTGATCAAGAGCATGGGTCTTGGAATGGACATTATATAATGGTAGCCCTAAATTTGTAAAACTGAAGCTTAAATGGAATTTAAAAAAATACTGCATTTCTATGTGAACATCACATAGCAACTGGAAAAACCCAGACTCAAGTTTAAATTAGTCATTTAAAAATGGCATTAAAATAACACCCTGGATTTAAAATAAACCAAAAAATTTATAGGCATTTGATATGAGCCTTTTTCCTTTTTTTTTCTCTTCTATGAGGCATGGTAGTAAAAATCAAACCCAACCAAACAAACTCACCTTTATTATTTCTACTGTTTTTGGTACTTGGGAAGAGGTAGGTGTGTGAAAAATGCTGCTGTTCATTCATGGCTTAGAGTTGCTTTGCCATAGTGGTTTTAAATTAAACCCTCAGGGGGTTTAGATGAGTCTAGATGCTCAACTCTCATTAACCATAATGGGAGTTACTCTAAGTGTCTCGCTCCTCCACCCACAACATTGAAAAATGACCCTCTAACACCATGTTAGTGTCCTCTTTGAACTAATTTTAATGGATTTTTTTTTTGAAAGTGAAGCATCTCTGCAATCCTGGGGTCATTGAGACTACCAACAATTCAGCAATAAGCAGTAGACCTTCATTTTGGAGTGTTCAGCCTGTACATGCTGGAAAGGTTTGGACTAGGACTGACATGCTCTCTAGACGAGATGTTTCTCTTTTATTTAGTTTCAAATCACACTACTGTTTCTTTTTAAAATCTCTTTCATCCACAGCTCAGCCTCCTGATATAATCCGTACACAGGAGGTACGGAGCATTAATGTAGTTCTGATACTACTGAAATGTTATGGAGAAAAGGAATTACAGTTGATCCTTGGAGAGCACAGGTTTGAAATGTGTGGGTCCACTTCTGTGGATTTTTTTCAATAAGTATATTAGAAAAATTTTTTGGACATTTGTGACAATTTGAAAAAAAACTAGCTAGAAATATCTAAAAAAAGAATAAATGTATGTCATTAATATATGTAGATACTAGTCTGTTCTATCATTTAGTACCATAAACACAAACAAGCCTAAAATTTATCGAAACGTAGGCACACAAACACAGTCTGGACATGGTGCCACTTGCAGTTGAGAGGAATATAAAGAAATATAAAGATGGTGTATGAAATCATAAATGCATAAAATTAACTATAGTACATACTGTACTATAAGAAATTTGTAGCCACCTTGTATTGCTATTGGGGTGAGCTCAAGTGTTGGGAGTATCTGTTTAAAACTCCTCAGGACACTAATCATCTCTGAGCTGATGGTCACTCCAGTAAATTGTTTCACAGTAAAAAGTGATCTCTCATGGTTCTCATTTTTCTTTGTGTGTGATGCATACCATAAACCTGGAATAGTACCATGGGACTAACATGAAGGGTCACTAGTGATGCTGGACGTGCTCCCAAGAAGCAGAGAAAAGCCATGATGTTACAAGAAAAGGTTAAATTCCTTGATATGTACCTACAGTTTTAGACAGATGATTCATCTTGTAAATAGATGATGTCAAGCTATGGTATCAATACATATAGTATAATACTGTAAATGTCTTTTCTCTTCCTTATGGTTTTCTTAATATTAATATTTTCTCTAGTTTACTTTAAGAATACAATACATAATACATAAACAAAATATTTGTTAATCAAGTGTTTATTGGTAAGGCTTCCAGTCAACAATAGTCTACTAGTAGTTAAGTTTTGGGAAGTTAAGTTACATGTGAATTTTCAACTATGCAGATGGGGAGTGGTACAGGATCACTTGCCCCTTAATTGTTCAAGGGCCAACTGTAAATATATTCAAACTATTTGGTGTTTTTAATGCAGTCTACCAGTAACCAGCTAATGAATTGCTTGACTAAATAAACGTTTTGTTTAAATTATATCTATGAAGCTGCAGTCTAGTTTATATCAAGTGTAACCCATTTTTAAACCTTTCATTTATTTTTTCTAATCATAAGAATATCTGCCCACTGTACAAAATAAAAACCATCTATAATCTTATTTTCCAGAAATAACCTTTGCCAAAACTGCAGTTTATTCCTTTCTACTTTTTTCTTTGTTCTTACATGTTTCTCTTGAAAAAGAGAAACACTTTATAACATGATTTTAACCTACTTCATTGTTGACATTTTTCTGACGTTTTAATATGTATGTAAAAAATAATTGTTTTTTAGACAGTCTCACTCTGTTGTCCAGGCTAGAGTGCATTGGTGCCACCTCGGTGCTCACTGCAACCTCCACCTCCTGGGTTCAAGCAATTCTCCTGCCTCAGCCTCTTGAGTAGCTGGGATTACAGGCCACCATGCCCAGCTAATTTTTGTATTTTTAGTAGAGACGAAGTTTCCCCATGTTGGCCAGGCTGGTCTCAAACTCCTGGCCTCAAGCAATCTGCCTGCCTCTGCCTCCCATAGTGCTTGGATTACAGGCATGAGCCAGCGCACCCAGCCTGCATATAAATGAAATTTTTAACGATGGTATAATATTGTGCCATATGGATCTACTATAATTTATTAGTTATTACTGACTTTTCGACATATGTGTAACAAATATTTTGGTACAGGATCTTTGGTAATGTTTCTGCTAAATTTCTTAAACTGGAATCACTACTTGCTATAATATTATGTGGTGTTTAAATGGATGAACATTCGGAAGTTATTGTATACTAGCACTGCATGGGGGTACACATCTCATAAACTTCAAGAATTAGGTTTTTTGTTTTGGCCTAACCTTTTCCAAGTTGATAGATTTTACATATCTCACTGTTTACATTTTATTATCTAATTGCTAGTGGAGTTAACTTTTAAACATATATATACATTACCTTTATCAATAAGTTACCTATGAAGGTGCTTTGCTTCTTTTTCTATTGGGATATTTTTAAAAACCCAATATGTTAGAGATCTTTTACGAATTAACCCTCTACCTGTCACATTTGTTGCAAATATTGTTCCTTTTTTGGCCCTAGCCTCTTCAGTTTCTTTAAGATGTTATTAACATGTAGAAATTTTGTCATAGTTTTGTCAACTTGGTCATTTATGAGTTTTTCCTGTTCTTTTATGCAAAATCTATCCTGAGATTAAATATTTGTGCGTATTTTCTTGTGATTTTTTTTGAATGAGTTTTCTTTCTTCTAATTTTTATTTTGCTAGTCCACTATCACCAACAAGTTCATGGAACTTCATAGGCATGCTTTAAAAATTCACTGTATCTTCCTGGCCACCCTTGAAGAAGGTAAAGAATGGTATTTCCAAGTTTATAAATGGAGAGACCAGGAGTGTCATGATGAACCGGGCAGTATGGTTCTAGAAGCACAGCGGTGTTTTCACATTCTAACTAACTTCTTTACAGAACTCCTAAGTTGGTCTTTATACTATTAATTGCTAGTTTCACATGTTTCCTGCATAGGGGTAATATTGAAAAGACAGATCTTGGGGATTGTGGCACAACTATAATGTGTCTTCTGAGTCATGAAATGTACTATATTCAATATGACGTTATGGTGCTGTTTTACATTCTAGATTATGTTTAATATAATTTTCATATAAAATGCTTTCTGCAATATTGTAATTTCTTAAAAATGATAAGCCATATATGGCAATTCCCAGTTAACCAGGCCATTGGACTGAAGACCACCCTTTGACCGTTGATGAAGAGCAAAAAATTCATAGTAATATCAGTGGGTCAGCCGCCTGTAGTTTTAGGGAGGTGGGTGTAGAGAGACAGAGGAAGTAGCTACTTAGTATCCTATGATTCCGATGCTATCTAAAAGACAACTCATATTTGATGGAGGGAATAAAATGTCAAAGAATATGTGAAAGGTATAGTAGGATGGGATGGAAGAATTTTACATGTATTGCATCATATATGGCAATAATATAAATAAGAAAGATATCTACAACAAGTTGTGTGTTCTCAAATCACCTCCTGAATGACCTTTATCAATTTTTAAAAATGAAATAGATAAAAATTTGCACAGGTAAAAATATATTTAACTTAACCCTAAAATAACATTAACTCTTGAGCCTTTATAACTATTCACCCACTTTTTGTCATTAAGAGATACCTTGGAATTTGTCAGCTTAACAACTTCTCGACATGTTTTTATAGCCAAAATGCAACAGAAATTACATTAAAGAATTTCCCCTGTCTGATGTGACTTTGAACATGAAAGGGTTTTGAAAGGATGTTGCTATCCATCCTCAGAGGAGTAGAGATTCAAATGATTATGTTTTCTTAGCTCCCATGAAGTCGAAGTTTGTATCTCAATTGATTTCTCAATTTACTGAAGCTCCTATTATAATTATCCCTATTATAACATGGGTGTAATTGATCACTTTCGCTCAAGTGATCCCTGTCATTGTCTCAGCTGTCAGAATGTACAATTCAGTACAGAGACGTTACTCTGGCGGAGATGCTTCTTGCAAAGCCAGGTCATTTTATTTATTCATCTAACATATAATATTTATGCTCTGAGATTGTTCTAGGCATTTGATAAATATTAATTTAGCACTCATGAGCAAACCTATCAGGTGGGTACTGTTGGTATCTCCATTTTATAGATGAGAGAATGAGATAATATGAGCTAAATCGATCTAGACCAAACAGCTATTAAGTGGCAGAGCCAGGTTTCAAATCCAGGTGGTCTAACTCTAGAGTCCTTTCTCTAGACCAGTGGTCCTGGGGCCCCGGAAGGTCCCCAAGACCTTTGCAGAATTTGTGAAGTAGTTCCTTTTCCAACTATATGTCTATATGAGGCCAACTTCTTCCTATGCTTTAGCGAAGACATCTCATGATAGATTGCATACAGAAGCAGAAATAAGGATGCAATTATCTTCTATCAAGCCATTCATTAGAGATTTGTCACTCTTCACACTAGTTTTTTTGTTTTAGAAAATATTATTAAAATATTACATTAACATATGGGTTTATTATTTTAAGTAAATGAATAAATATTTTAGAATTTTCTTAGTTCTAACTTGGAATTAAATATCAGCAAATATAGTCACATAAATTCAAGCTCTTCGGTGTAGTCAATTTTTCAACAGCGTGAAGAGGTACAGAGACCAACAGGTTTGTGGATAGGTCCTCTGAACCCATAGTATGTTTCCCCACTCCTTTGTCTCAGCTCCAGATTTCCCTGCCTTCCCCGCCTTCCCCACTATATCAACTTGAGTGTTCACTTAAAAATGTGAGCCTTATTTCCTGAAGGCAAAGGTGATTTTTGCATACCCAGAGGCAGTATTCATGGGCTGAGGAATATAAGCTTTGCAGCTGAGGGCCTGGATGTGAATCCAAGCTCAGTTGTCTTACAAGAGCAAGCCCTGGGAATTACTTAACCTAGATTTCCTTCAGTTACCTTATGCTTCAAATGGGCGGTAATAGTATCTACCCAGCGGAATTGTTGTGAGGATCATGTGAGTTAATATATGCAAAATGCTTAAACTCTCTCTCGTCCATATGAAGCATTCAAATATAAGCTCCATTATTGTTAAGTTTCTATTGTTATGAGAATTATAGAAGAGTCTAATGTGATTTTTGTGTTCTACAAGTTTTCTTAAAGTTTCTCTTATTTCCGTGAACATTTTTTTTTTTTTTTTAAATTAAAGCCCAAACTTCCCTTTGTAGCTTGTTTTTCAAAGCAGAGCCAGGTCTATGACAGTAGCCTTGATCTTAATTGTGTGGTTAGTTCTCTTTGGGGTGAGGCTACTCTTGAAATGCATTTATCTTCTTGTAAGCCCATAAATACTGATATTAATGGTGTCATTCCTCCTTCCTGGACGAATTCCCTCAATTTCTTGCATTTCACGTCCCGTAAATGTATAGATTTTCCTTCCTCCTCCTCCCACCACATCCAGTGGTGCTGTTTGTGTTCTGTGCCAGGGACAGGGGCAGGATCTCCTGCCTTGAACCGAGCTCTGCAGCCTTCCTGCCAGCTGCAGTCCACATCAGGCCTACAGTTGGTTTTCTTCCCAGCTTCCGCTCACACTAGGATGGAATATTACCCTCTTATAATGGCTTGTTTATCTAGCAGCTCTCCCTCGGCTCCAGGTCAGAGGCTTTCCTCCAGGCACCACTCCGCGCCTGCCTGTTCATTTGCGGTGCCCACTGTTTTGTCTGCCTGCCTCACCTTGTCTGTCGGAGGTCACTGTCCCTCCAGGGAATGCGGTAACCAGCTGCATTTTATCTAGTAAGGTGGCCTCTGCTCACATGCTCTTGTGACAGATTACAGCCTGGCTTCCCACCAGGGACTCCTCTGAGTGAGACACCAAAGGCTGTTGTCAGTGTGGCTGTTGGTGGGAGAGTCCTCAGTGTCCAAAGATACCCTTAGCATTTTCATGTGTCTGTAGGAACGCTTTCATGTGACTTCTGTGTCTCCTGATGGATCTGGAAAGATTTCTCTCCTCTCAGAGACTTCTAGGTTGTCTTACTGACATTGGAGGCAAAATGGCTTATGATAAACACTGGAGGATTTTTGTCGTTGTTGTTGTTCCACCACTTATAACTCTTGTTTTTATTATCTTTTAAAACTTTAAGTTCTGGGATACATGTGCAGCATGTGTGGGTTTGTTACATAGGTCAACATGTGCCATGGTGGTTGCTGCATCTACCAACCCGTCACCTGGTGTTAAGCCCTGCATGCATTAGCTATTTAACCTGATGCTCTCCTTCTCCCCACCTCCTCGACAGGCCCCAGTGAAACGGGAGCTCCCTTGACCACTTCGCTGGCAGGAACTGAAGCTGCTAGTTTTACTCAGCCCACTGCTGGCCACTCCCCACGGGAGGGAGCGTGCAAGGAAACGGGTGTGGGAACCGGAGTGAAGGAACACTGGAACTGCTGGCTGCTTCTCTCCAGCAGAAGCAGGCCCTGTGCATGCCCCATGGCAGCGTCCAAGTGTGTTACAATGCTCTTTTAGCCTTGCCATCCACAGACAGCTTAAGTGTTAGCCAGCTCAGTGAAGAGTCAGTGTGACAGCCTTTTTGGGTTTCCACACCCAGTGCCTCCTGAATTCTTGTCTGGCATCCAGGAAGAATCAGGTCACACAAATGGATTGAAGGGTAGTGTGTGCAGAGGATTTTATTGGGTGATGAAAGTGGATCTCAGCAGGATGGGGAGCTGGAAAGGGAATGGAGTGGGAAGATAATCTTCCCTTGGAGTAAGGCTGTCCCTGGCCAAACTTCTCCCCAACCTAGTCTCCGATGTCCAGCTGCCTCTTGTCCTCTCCACGTTCAGACACTTCTCTCCTCTTCTCTCCTGTTCTCTGCTCTGCCGCTCTGCTGCTCTTCTGCTCATGGAGCGTGGGGTTTGGGGTTCTTATGGGCACAGGATAGGGTGCAGGGCAGGTCAGAGTGGTTTTGGAAAAGGCAACATCTGGGCACAAAAACAAGCATGCCTATTCTCATTTAAGGCCATGGGTCCAGGCTTGAGAGTAGAACCCTCACCAGGGACCCTTCCCTCCTGCTTCCTGTCCATATCACCAGTGTGTATTGTTCCCTGTGTCCATGTGTTCTCATTGTTCAGCTCCCTCTTGTAAGTGAGAACATGTGGTGTTTGGTTTTCTGTTCCTGTGTGTGTTTGCTGAGGATAATGACATGGACAAAGCTGAAAGATTGGAGGATTTTAAACTCCAAAGGGAATCTTATCTTTGTTATCCTTAACTGAAAAATATTTGCCTTTTTTATGTAGGGGAAAATTATTATTAAATGTTTTGAACTTTGCTTATTTGGACCACTGTTTCTGCCAATAAAGTTTTGAGCTGACTTACAAAAACAGAGTACAACACATTTATTTTTACTGTAAGTGAGAAATTGAGGCTGAAGAAAAATACCTGGGAAATTCCATGGGTGGTCTGTGTATATAAGATTCAGAATAAAAGTAAATAGAATGTAAAAATTTCAACCTCAGTAAAGTTGAAAGAACAGTTCAGTGATCACCTGTTTATCTCTCATTGAGATTCATTAACTTTGACATCTTGATATATCTGTGCCGTGTCTCTGTAGACACTTCCTTTGTGCCAAACCCTCTAACAAACAGTAGTCTGCTGCAGATGTTAGGATGCTTTACTCCTAAATAATTCAGCTTGCATTTTCCAAGAATAAGGAAACATTCCTACACAACTAACCCCATTTACTGCACCCAAGAAAATTCACATTAGTTCAGTAATATCATATTTTCCATATTCAGATTTTCTCAATTTGCTTTCTCAGTTGGCTTTTTTTCCTCCATGACACAGATCCAGTCAAGGTTCCTAAATTGCTTTTGGTTATTCATAAATTAATAAATTGCATTTGGTTATTAAATATTTTAAAATATATATCAATTGTCTAACTCCCTTGGATATTCATGACATTAAATTATTTGAAGATTCCAAGCCATATGGCCCATGCAACAGCCTACTATCTTGATCCATCTCATTGTTTTCTCCTGATTCGGTTCATTTAAACCATTTTTGGCAAGGACACCAAATAGGTTATGTTGTCCCCTTGCCTCTGCATCAGTACATCCTGTCAGGCTATTGGCATCACTAATGACAATGCCAAGTTTCACCATTTGGTTAGTTGATGACTGCCAGATTACCCCACTGTAAAAGACACAGTTTTTTTCTTTTTAATTATTATATAGTGGGGTGATAATGCAGTTCACCATTCATCTGAAATTCAAAGACAAAGCTGAATTTATTGTAAAGGAGAACTATGCTGGTCGAGTTCAGTCTGAGTAGACCAAAGTGGAAAGTATGGAGTTAAGTAGATTTTCAGAAGTAAGTAAGCTGACATATGTGGAAACATGTTGATTCAGGTGAGGAGTGGGGCAGGTTGCTTAATTGGCACTTAGAGATGTATGAGTCTGTTGCTGACTGGCTGTCTTTTAGCAATAAAGGGCTGTTACTGATTGGTTGACTAGAAAGTGCCAATTAAATAGACTTTAATCTGATTCAGGATGCTACTTATTACCATGGCTACATATCAGTCAATCTTTTCCTAGGTTTGCTGTGACTTGAATTAATAGACATGTCTTGTTCCACAATAAGATTTCCCCTAATTGTTTGTTTTAGCATTTGTTGGTGATTCTGGCTTGAGTCATTTATAATATGGGATATATAAGATGTTAGCTTTCTATTTTTGTCGTTCTTTCAACATATATTTACAGACATTATTCTGTAAGGAAGAACTTTACCTCTCCTCAATTTTTTTAGCCCCTTTTTGTCTGTTGCTGTTTCTCTCTCATCTAGTAAACTGAGATCACTTTTAATTCAAGGTGTTAGAATCCATTTATTATATCATTTTGATTAAATTTGCCCAATTTGACAGCAGAAGTCCCTTTATTCAGATGTCTCTGCCCTTTTGAGATAACCCTATTTATCTATAAGCTGTCCTCATTTCCTGGCATAACATACTTTCCCTGCTTCAGATCTGGAATTAGCTATATGGTTCATTTAAATAGAAGATAATTAGAAACCAAGATCTGGGCATTAAGTGTGCTCATGGCTACTCAGGTGACATTGTTTCTAGGCCCTTCTGTTAGAAAGGACTGGAAAATATGTATACATATATTTTAAATCATGGATTGATGCTGATACCTCCATTAAAATCCAGCACTATGGGGGTGCTTCCTCTCATTTTATGTTTATTTTTCTCTTCTATTTATTCTAAGACCCTATAGTACCCTCAAAATAATTTCAGAATTTTAACATCAAAATTTCCAAATTTTTGATTAAAGATAAATGGTCTGAGTTGAAAGTGTCTTTAGAGATACCTTAGATTTTTCTCTAGTTATAGCTTGATTGTCTTAAAACACATAAAGCGATGTTTGTCTGTGTAGAAGGAGACATTCTGAAGGGTGTCGACCATTTCTGTATAGCTCAGTACTGATGGAATTGGCATAATGGTGGTAATTATAGGTAATATTTATTGAAGGATTAGTATATCTCCAGCACCATTCTCAGTACGATACATATTTTCTCTGTTAATCCTTGTGAAAACCCTTTAAGATAGTTAATATTATCATTTTAATTTCACTGATGGATAACCTTATGCAAAGTCTCACTGAAAGTAATGGGCAGACATGAGACTCACACCTAGGCATTCTGATGATAGAGTTTAGATTCTTGACCACTCTGCTGTACATGTGTTTTACGTTTTTAATAATAAAATAGCTACTCATTATTACCTGCATTTCCCCCATCATCAGAACACTTTTCACCCCCTTACTGGAATTTATTCTTGGTTTGTCATTAACATTAGATGTAAGACCTCCGAGGTTAGAGACTATGATTCTATTATGTACTATTGAATTTACAACATATACTACATTATATGGTGCATAAATGCACTTACTGGATTTTTAATAATGGCACTATAGTCATTCCTATGTGCCATTGTGCTAAAACCTTAAATTTAAATTTAATATTTTGGATTCGTAATTGTACAAATTAGGTATTTCTATATTGTGTGTGTGGGGGGAGGTGGGGGAGCAGGTTCAAGAAGGTAACATGATTGCCCACAGCCCTTCAGCTAGTAAATACCAGAGACTTGAACTCACATCTCTGTCTTGGAAGCCTGGTCTTTATCGTCTCCCATGAGATCTCATTTTCTAATGAAATTCTTCCTAGTCCATCTAGTCGATGCTGACCCTAGTGGAAGGATACATATTTGACTAGCTTCACAAAAAATGAGATAAAAGGCCAAATAGGTCCATTATACTCAGCAGATGCTCCATTCAAATTCAAGGCCTAGAAATGATATGTAGAAGAGAGAATACTTCTTAGGGGGTCCTAAAATTCCTAAAGGAAAACAAAAATGAATCATGGCCGTTTAAACTCTTATAGAAACTTAACAATAATTGGCCTTTTTTGGGCTTGCAGAATATGTGAAATTGGATCTGAATTGCAGGTGAATTGCAAAGTGCAGCTGTTACCCATCAATCCTGGCTTAACTATGCTTGGTTTTCAGTGCTGTTCTAGTTTTCCCCACTCGCCAAGATGGCCAGCTCAGGCATTGGGTTTCCTTTTGCTACCATTGGTTTCCTGTGTTCTTCATACCTGACCTTTGTTTTATGAATTCCACAGTATGTTGCTACTGAAGCTGACATTTTATTCATTTTCCAGAGACAAAAATAAAGATGGCAAAATAAGAGTACTAGTAACTCTGGGATGGGCGCTCTTTGTAGTCAACCTCACCAAGCTGTAGGCTGAAGCTGCTAGGGTTTGTATCACTCATTGGAATCTCTGTGAATGATAATGTTGGCAAAGGTTGAGACGGTAGCAAGGTTTCTTTACCAGGTACGTGATGTATTCATTGAAACAAAAAAACTGTAAGACAATGAAAAAATATTTTCTTCCTATTCCTTAGAAAGACTATATCCATAACGTTAAAGAGACTTATTGGGTAGTTTTCTCTGAAAATGAAACAGATCATTGTCAACAGAGGATGAAAGACTAGTCTGGATTGCAAGTGTAGCCACAGAAATGTCATGTGAAGGCAATATGAAAATGTAAATGTGCTTAGAGGACTAAAGTGGACATGCTTTCCAAGTCATCTGTCACTTGCGAATAGCAAAATAGCAGATATAGTTAACATTTCATTGTAATTTCTAAGTGGTAGGCTAAGGCAATAAACAAATGTTACTGGGCTTTTTACAAATTCCATTTGAGATGTGATCATAGGAACAGTATAATGAATTTATTAAGATTATGAATGTGGATTCAGTCTAACAGAGATGTGAATCCTAATTCATCTATTTATTATCTGTGTGATTTTGGACAACTTGTCTTATCTGAGAATCAGCTTCTACTTATGTAATAGTACACAAGATTGGAAAGCTATGGGAAGCAGGTCATAGACTGAAATTTGAAAGCTAAGCACAAACAGGCCTCAGAAATAATAGAAGTTGGGGCAGCTCTGGGTATCCTGGTTGCGGTAATGACAGTCTCCTCAGGATGCTGCCATTGAAGTGATGTAGCTCCAACCATACATGTCCTGGTATCATTTGGAATCGCCAAGAGTCACATTCCTGGAGCACGCCATCTGTTTGGCCTGTCCTGGATCTCTTGCTTGGTAGATAAGGTGTTTTATTTGATAGCCTACCAGGACTGCTTGCAATGGGGGAGTTGCAGGTACCCCAAAAGAATTTGGGTGGGAATATAGGAAGAGAAGCTTAGCTGGTAGACACCACAGATATGTACTATGTGGGTCTAGAGAGGGAATCTTAAAGCAGTGATTTGTGTCTGTACATTTATACTATCACGTTCGTCTTTACTTCATCAGCCAGGTGTAGAATTAGTTTTTTTTAAAACCAAATATATAGGAATTTGGCATGGTAACAGCTGTGTCTTATAATTGGCTTTTTGAGAAGCTAAGCTGTGATGCCATAAGTACCTACTCTAAAGATTGTTGAAACACATCTTTGAACTTTAAGATGTCAAAGAAAACACCCTCATAATATACAAATCTCACAGATTTGGATAAGAATTGATCCAAATAAATAGAAGGAATAGAATTCAAGCTAGCTCAGAGGGTAGTCTTTGGCATTTTGAAGTACTTTGTATTATCTATTTTTTTGTTTTCACCTTTTCCAAAAAGATGACATAGATTATATGGAAAGAGAAAAAACTTGAACTCTCCAATGAAGTCTAAATTAATATTCACTCACTTGTCCAAAGAGTTTTCCTAAGATTCACAAGTTTGACAAACATCATTTATGCTCACACCATTATTCAGTAATAACAGTTTCCACCTGTAACTGTGGTGGCAGGGAGTTGAAATTACCTACCATTATGGGTTATTTTCAAGTAGTCAAACCTAATTGATAAATTAAGTCAAATTCATAATCCAGAGACATTATTTCTTAGATTCCTTCTTTATTGTAAGATCTATCGCTTCATGGATAGTAGTACTATAGAACATCCTTCTTTTTCTAACATGCAATACTGTATTCACAGTGCTGATCTTGCTGGTTTTACTTCCTAAATTTCACAAATCTATCTATTTCTCTAATTTCTAATGCCAGTGCCCTAATCCAAGCCACCAGCATTCCTCACTCAGCTTATTTATTGTCTTCACTCTACATTCCCTGCAATACATTCTCCATGTAGCTAGCAGTCAGAGCTTTATCAAACACAAACTGATGAAGAACTCCTTACTTTATCCCCATTGAAAAACCTTTGTCATTCTGCTATAAAGACACATGCATGCATATGTTCACCGAAGCACTATTCACAATAGCAAAGATATAGAATCAACCTAAATGCTCATCAGTGGTAGACTGGATAAAGAAAATGTTGTACATATACACCATGGAATACTATGCAGCCATAAAAAGAATGAAATCATGTCCTTTACAAGGACATGGATGGAGCTGGAGGCCATTGTCTTTAGCAAACTAATGCAGGAACAGGAAAGCAAATACCACATGTTCTCACTTATAAGTGGGAGTTAAATGATGAGAACACAAGGACATATGGGCCGAGGAAACAATGTATACTGGGGCTTATCAGAGGGTGGAAGATGGAAGGAGGGAGAGGATCAGGAAAAATAACTAACGGGTACTAGACTTAATACCTGGGTGATGAAATAATCTGTACAACAAACCGCCATGACACGAGTTTACCTATGTAACTAACCTACCCTCGTACCCCTGAGCTTAAAATACAAGTTTTGTTGTTGCTGCTGTTGTTGTTGTAAAAAAACAAAATGAAACAAAACAAAACAAAAAACCTTTGCTAGCTTCCTTTCGTACATAGGATAAAGACCCTAGCTTTTAAAACATGGCCTTTAAAGGCCTCTGGTCTTGCTTCAGTCTTTCTCTCTAATCTCACCACATGCCAGGCCTCCCTCTTTCTTTCATGCCCAGCCATACTAGCCTCTTTCATTCCTCCACCAAATCGTGTTTCCTTTAGCCATAGGCCTTTGCATGTTGTTTCTCTCTTGACTGGAATGTTTTTGCATTGTCTTTTTACCTTGCTAACTCCTGTTCATTCTACCAATGCCAACTCACGTATCCCTTCTTCTAGAAGGGCTCTTTTGAAACCTCAGTCTTGGCCACTTTCCTTTATTATATGTTCTAATGGAACCACATTTCTTTCCTTGATAGCATTTACTTGTTTGTAATTCACATGTGCTAGAATGATGGTGCAATTTCCATTTTCTTCCTCTAGACTATGAGAGCAGGGGCAGTATATGCTTTTTTTTCACTATAGTAACTTCAGCACTATGTTTTACACACACTAAATCACAATTTATTAAATGAAGTAATTAAGACTTAGGGATAGTATATCCGTCAGTTTTTATGGGGCAACAACCTGGAATCTTGGTAGTTTACAACAACATCATTCATTCTTGTTCACAAATCTGCAGGTCAGCTGTGGCTCTGCTGGTCTTGGCTGGGCTCAGCTGGCTTTGGGTCTGCTCCATTGTCTTCTCATTCCATTTACGCAGGCTGAAGAAGCAGCCCCTATCTGGAACATTTTGCTCCTATGGTAGAGGGCAGGAGGTTAGAAGGCCAACCCAGACCACACACATACGTTTAAAGCTTCCTTTGGGAGGGCCGTGTGTTATATCCACTTGTGATCCATTGGCCAAAGCACATCACATGACCATCTTGAAATCAGTAAAGCAAAGTAGTATACTCCTCCCACGATGTAGGAGAAGAGGAGAATAAATATTTGTGAAGAAAATGGTGCCATCTACTATAGATAGTAAACACACTTGTCCGAGATTTTCAGACAAATGATTATCTGCCTTGTGTACTGACTCTAAAACCGTGGATTTGCCAAACACAATCTCTGTAATATAGATAATATATGATAAATAATTTCTCCAAAGGCACCAGTGTTCAGGAGTTGCAGTTTACAAAATTAGCTTTATACTTGTTGCTACAGATCCTATGGAATACATCCATCCCTTCCCACCTACCCTCCACCCTCAAAGTACCATGTGAAAAATAGACATCAACCATGTGTGCTATGTAACCAGTGTTTGTGGACTCCTTCATTAGTGCCTACCATATAAAAAGAACTGTAAAATAACATGGAAAGCTCAATTATATTGTCTGTGAGAAATCATGGGAAAAGACTATTAAATTTTCACATTTTACTCATGGCTTTGTTGATTAATTGAAAGAAAATAAGACTAATGATAAAGTTGGTCATATTTATGAAATTGCCACAAAATGAGGAGTCATCAAACCAGACTTTTACAAATGGCCTAATAGTTTCTTCTACAAAAAGCAGAGGTGGGTTGGCATGAGGAGGCCATATTTGGTAACTGTGGGGTTAATGTTACCAAATTCAAGCTTATTAACATTAGAAGAATGATGATAATATAGAAGTTGTCAGAATTTGGAAAGAGGTTTTGTCCGTTGGATGAAAGAATGCCATTGCAATACCAATGGATGCCAATGGGATAGCAGAAATCTAAGAGTTTGTCAACATCTTGGCCAAGATAATCAGCAGGGGATTTGGGCAGCTTTCTGGGATTTACCACATGAAAAATAGCAATCAAAAACAGAGCCCAAATAATATGTATTCCCAATTCATAGTCTGATTATCATAAAATATGCTGGAAGAAACCTTGGAGGATGATCTCCTCCAGATGGGAAGCAAAGGTGAAAAGTGTAAATATGAGAGAGAATGTGCGTCTGTATTAGTTACAAACGGCTTAAAAATATTTCTGTAACTTTGTCATAAGATGTTTTAAAAGAAGTTTTAGGGAAAATTTTCTTTCTAATAACTAACATATCTTTTCTATGAGGCTTTTATATTTAGTAATAACAGCTACCACTTATTTAATTCTGACTTAATGGCCCTTTACACAGATGCTGAAAGAAGCCTAGGGGTATGGAAGTAAGCTGTCCACACTCACCCACCTAGTAAGTAGTGAAGTCCCAATATAAATGAGACCATCCTAATTGCAAAAATCATTTCCTTAACTACTTAGCCATAGCAGAGGCCTGGAACCAGTCTTGTTTAGGTAGATGACCTGGTTTAGCCTTTTATCTATTAAAATAAAGGAAGGAAAAAAAGTAGTGGGTTTCAGATAGATTTCTGCCCATTATTTTGTTTTTTTCTGTTTTTACAGCTCATGATCTAAATAGGAAAAAAAATACATCTTTGACAAATGTCCAAAATAGTTCTGACAAAACTTTTGGGGTGATAGTGGGCAGGGAAGCAGGTATTCCCCTTGTCCCCTGGGACCTGTTGGTTTTTCTTGATGTTGTCATGCTGACGTATAGCAGTTTGACTTCCACTTTGAACTTAAAGGTCAGAATTTGTGCTTTCAGACTATTGAACATAATGTAGTTGTTCCTATTCCTCAAACTTTGAAAAATAATTATAAATTAAATCACTACTAAATTTCATTTCCACATTGGGCTTACTACCGGGCAGAAAGGCTACCTGTGTAGCTAACAGTTACATGACCTTAAGGAAACATTTTATCCTTCTCACAATTAAAAAATCACATATTTCTAAAGCATATTTTCTTTTGAATTAATTATTTTCTTATTTTGTTAATCACTTTCTCCTTTGGAGCTGCGGTTGAATACAGCCTGTCCACTATCGCTGAAGCTCTCAAAGCTTCATGAGACTCCTTCAATCAATATATTGTATTTGGCAGTTCACGTTTTACTATGTTATACAATTATATTTAACAAATTACTGTGATGTGAAACATTTGGGTTAGAATAATAAATAACTTTAAACTACTTACTAAGCAGCTTTGTTGAACCAAAAAAAAAATTTTTTTTTTTTTGAGACGGGGTCTCGTTCTGTCGCCAGGCTGGAGTGCAGTGGAGATCTTGGCTCACTGCAACCTCCAACTCCCAGGTTCAAGTGATTCTCCTGCCTCAGCCTCCCGAGTAGCTGGGATTACAGGCGCGTGCCACCATGCCCAGCTAATTTTTGTATTTTTAGTAGAGACGGGGTTTCACCATGTTGGCCAGGATGGTCTCGATCTCCTGACCTCATGATCTGCCCGCCTCGGCCGCCCAAAGTGCTGGGATTACAGGCGTGAGGCACGCTGCCCGGCCAAAAAATCTTTTTAAGTGTGACTGACATTGGTGGCTATCAATATGGTTGGATGCTTATATTTAGAGAATATACTTCACAATTCTTTTTTTCTGGTCATTTGAGCTATGTGGTCATTTATCTGTGTAGTAAAATTAACGTCACTTTGTGATATAATCTGGTGATACGTAAAATAAGGCTTATTTGCTCTTTCTTAAAATCAATACTGCATGTATTTATTATAAATAAAATGAGCAAGAATTTAATACTGTTAATTTTTTTCATGCACAAAAGTATGAAGTAAAAAGACTCATAATCCTACTGCCCAGAGATAATCCCTGTTAATCTTTTAAAATGTTTTGTTTTCTTCCATCTTCTCCAAAACAGTTTTAGATAAAACTAGAACACAACACTACTCTACATATAGTATGATATCCCTTTCTTTTGATCCTAATACCGTAAGTTTTTTCTTATTGTTTAAAGTTAATGTTTCTTATTCATTAACTTCATTTTCAGTGGTTTCATAATATTTCATCAATATGATTAACTATAATTATTTCACCTGGTTTTGAATATTTAGTTTGTTTCATAACTTTCACTATTAGAAGTCATGCCACAACCAATATAAAATGTATGTGCCCATACATTTATCAGTTATTTATATTACTGTATATTACATGCATACACACTCAGTAATTGTAGGAGTGAAGTATTCAAAGAAAACTGAGACATAGCATCTTTGCTATCATAGGCCTTCTTGGATAAGGTACATACACATAAATTATGTAAATGTTATGATAATAAATGTTTGAGATCTCAATGAGTGGACATACAATAAAATTTCACATGTACCCAAAAGCAAAGTGGAAAAACATTTTGCTACTACTCATTGAATAGTAATAATTTTCCTAATATATGCTAATTTTATAAGTGAGAATGTATTATGCTAATTTGCATTATTTGATTACTAGCTAAGAATTATTGAGCATTACTATATTTTAAAGTTATTTTACTGATGAAGAAATTGAGGCTCAGATAGGTAAGCAGTTTGACCAAAGTCACACAACTAAGGAAGAGAACCTAGAACTGATCACATGTTTTTCTGATTCTGACACCTATGTTCTTAACCAATACAGCATAAATGTAGTTTCGTTGTTTTGTTGCTTCTGAGAAGCATTCCAATTTTCTTAATATTCAGTATTCAGCTACAGTACCATCAAGTATTACTAATGTGTCACAGTCACCATCTAAATAGGAGTAACTAAGTTCTGGATGTGTTTTTTCTAACCTTTCACCAAGTGAATTTCTAAGGCTTGACCATCTTCCTTTCTGCCATTTTGATTTTTTTATAATAGCATTTTTGATATATACTTCACACACCGTGCAATTCACCAATTTAAAGTGATTTTAATGGCTTTTACTATAGTCATAGTGTTGTCGTCAGCCCTCATGACTACAGACGGTTTTGTCACTGCCATTGGGTTTAGGATCTAGCTGTCTGTTCTATTGAGTGCTTAACACAATGTCTGGTACATGGTAGGCAATAAATAAAAAATTATCAAATGATTAAACAAGATCTTTTTATGATGCCTGACATTATTGTGCTAAGCACTGGGGGAGTTGCTGACACTCTGTCCTCTAGAACTTTGCAGGATCCTTGGAGGGTTAAGACCTAAACCCGCAAGAAAAGTAACTTCCGAGTGAAGTGTTTGATTAGATGTCAAATGAGGAGACCAGCCAATGATTTTTATTACTGATGCCACAGGAAGATAAAGAGAATGCTGTGCCGTGCAAGGTCATTCAGGACAGCTCCTTGGAGACAGGGGCTTCTTACTGGTTCAGTTCATGGTGGCCCAGGTCTTCCTCTATGACCACTGAGATGCAATGACTTTTGGCCAGCTTTCAAAGCCTTAGTAATCTTTCCCAGGCTGCTGGGATTAATAACTTAGAAGGCCATAGTTCTTGCTTTACTCTTCCTGTGTTCTAAGATCTTAGGTCTTAACTGAGAGAAGAACAAGGTCCTGGGACACCTCTAGAGTGTGATAACTACTATCACTTTTTGTACTTCCTGCCTCCTCTACTGGATCCAAAGAAGGCAATTTTTCACATCACTGACAACCTAGACCCCCTTGATTGCTTCTTTCTCTGAAATCTTGTTGCATGTCTACTCGTCGGTCTCTCAGTCATGGGTCATTGTATCATTTGTTTACATCATTTATGCGTATGCTGCTTATCAAAGAACCGCCTGGATGGCAAAGATGCCACATTTTAGCTTTTCTTTGAGTACTTCACTCCTACAAGTACTGAGTGCGTAATATGCATGTGTATGCACGTAATATACAGTAATATGAATAACTCCAAGTAAAACACACAGTATCACTTCGTTACATTTCCAATAGAGGAAAGTAGTGGTTCCAAAAGTTGATAGCTACTTGGTATTTCTTAATGTGGATATATGATCTCTTGATCTAAAATAACAGATTTCTAAAGGACCGAGCATCACCTAGGGTGTTTGTTAAAATGGAGATTCCGGACTCTGCCATGATTTCTCACTCTAAGGATTCTGAATTCAAAAGTTGAGCGTAGGAGCCAGGAAGTGGAACTCAAAACAAAAAGCCAGCCACTCCCAAATAATTGTGACTTCCATCTGTGAGTCAACTGTGAGAGGCATTAGCTTAGACCGTCAAGATTTGGAGAAATAATATGCATCGGTTAGTCATAATTGGAAGAGCTGGCGTAAATGTGGGTTAGTTTGGATCTTTTAAAAGAAAAAATATCTATAGAACTGAGTATTACAGGGGATAGTATTGCAACTCTGGGAGTCTGTGACTCAAATTACTGTTTAAATTTTGTGTTTATGTATCTTTGTAACTCAAATAAGATAAATAGTGGCTACCTACAACGAGTTATCAAAAAACATTAAACGTATATTGAAATCTGGCTCCTTGGATCATATTACTTCAAGTCATCCCTGAAAAATGTTGGTGAGAAATGGTTTCTCAGCCTATTTTACAGAATGGCTTGTTCTCAGGTGAGTGAATCAGTTTTTTGCCCACTAATTTCACAGATTAGCCTGTTAGTCCCTCTGGCTGAAAGAGTCAAGTTCACTTCAATTCAGTTCAACAGATCTTGACTGTTACTTGCTATTAGGTTGGGATGGAAAAGCAATTGAGGTTTTTGCCATTACTTTTATTGTGAAAACTGCAGTTACTTTTGCACCAACCGAATATGTGCCAAGCCCTGTGTTAGCCACCGGATATAATGTTTTCTTCCAAAAAGAAGCCAATCAAGGCTTGTATAGTACTTACCAGGGGCCAGGCACTGTGTTAGTTCTTTATGATTTCAGCCAGCTGACCTAATGAATAGAGCACCAATACAATTTTTTTTTTTTTTTTTTTTTTTTTTAGATGGATGCTCACTCTGTCACCCAGGCTGGAGTGCAGTGGGGTGATCTTGGCTCACTGCAACCTCTGCCTCCCGGGTTCAAGCAATTCTCCTGCCTCAGCCTCCCTAGTAGCTAGGATTACAGGGGTGCACCACCACACCCTACTAATTTTTTTTGTATTTTTAGTAGAGATGGGGTTTTACCATGTTGACCAGGCTGGTCTCAAACTCCTGACCTCAAATGATCCACCCACCTTGGCCTCCTAAAGTGCTGGGATTACAGGCGTGAGCCACCGTGCCCAGCCACAGCACCAATACAACTCTTGCTAGGTGATGCTTACAGTTTTAAAGGAGCTTTCTTTTGGGCCATAGAATTTTAATCTAAAAGTGTTTGAATAAAAACACACAATGGACCAGAACTCCTTTAAAAGCAATGACTGTACTTTATTTTATTTATTTGAGAACATATACTGTGTAGTAGACCAGGAGCTAGCAAACTTTTTCTGTAAATCTTTTCTGGGCCATGTGGTCTCTGTTGTAACTACACCACTAGGCCATTCTAGTGTGAAAGCAACATCATCAATTGGTAAACGGGCAAACAGGGCTGTGTTCCAATAAAACTTTATTTACAAAAATAGGTATCAGGCAGGTTTGGCTCTAGGGCCGTCATTTGCTGACCTCAAATTAGACACAGAGTTGTCTATTGTAAATGAATGAATATGTAAATTTATCATTTAATTAGTTTCTGCTATGTGCCAGACCCCAGGTATACAATAATGAATAGTCAGATAACGATCCTACTTTTATTCTTGTGTGCAGAGGTTTACCATAAAAGATGAAACCCATAAATGTAAACCCATAAATCACAAACAACATGATTTTCTATTCTGAATAAAATAAAAAGAAGAGTATGATTGAGAGTGAGGGACTGCTTGAGACAGAGTGGTAGGGAAGTCTTCTCTTTGCCGGTGACACGTGCTGTAAGAACTAACGAGGAGGGACCAGCCCATTGTGGGACAATGGGCAGCCAAGTCCAGGTAGAAGGAAACAAGAACAAAGGCTCAGGGGCAGAAACAAGTTTGCATGCTCAATAATGTTTAAAAAAACACAGAGAGGCCGGGCGCGGTGGCTCATGCCTGTAATCCCAGGACTTTGGGAGGCCGAGGCGGGCGGATCACGAGGTCAGGAGATCAAGGCCACGGTGAAACCCCGTCTCTACTAAAGATACAAAATATTAGCCGGGTGCGGTGGCGGGCACTTATAGTCCCAGCTACTCGGGAGGCTGAGGCAGGAGAGTCGCGTGAACCCGGGAGGAGGAGCTTAAAGTGAGCCGAGATCTCGCCACTGCCCTCCAGCCTGGGCGACAGAGCGAGACTCCGTTTCAAAAACACGAAGACCTGTGGGGGTGAAGCATGGTGAGGAAGTGGGAAGATGCTAGGAGTCTGGAACCAGATTAATAAGGCCTTCTAAGGACTTCATTTTTGTGCAGCAATAAAGCTTTGGTGAGATTTAAGAAAAAGCAGAAGGGTGGAAGGAAGGAAAACAGGATTTTTAATATAAACATTATTTTGCTGCAAATCATTTAAGTATGCCCACATCATACCTTGCTATATTCACCATCCCCCAGCCCCAAGGGTCCAGGTCTTGTAGAGGCTCTGTAGAAACAGTGAATGGGGAGTTTTTATCCCCTTCAACTCCTTGGTCACTCATGGAATCTCGAAGCAAAGCAAACACTATGAAGCATTTATAGGAACTATAGTTCACATCTATCACGCTATTGCTTTATTCTTACCTTTAAGCCAATGTCAAGATAACACATGAAGTATTCCAGATCTTTGTTAAAAGTTCCTGGAATATTTTGTTATTCACAAAACATTTTACAGCAACAACCAATTAACAATACCCTTAGAAAATCTTGGGGCTTTTTCTTGAGTTTAACCACTTTTATTTTTTTTTTAAGTTGAGCTTAAATTTGGTGTAAAAGTGTATACAGATTAAATATCTTTGAAGTAGGTTTTTATTTCACAGGTCCTAGAATCAGGTAAAATGGTAGTTGCTGGTTTCATTTGAAGGAGTAATTAAGGTGTGTGATGTTGTTTAACTGTTTGTTCAACTTTGCCTAGTGCAGTGGAGTACAAATATTTGACCTTCTTGACAAAGACAGATGGATTGAAGCTACACACCATGATATCATTAGGTTGTCGAATAACATCATTATTCATGATTATAAGGAATTATTCAGGTGAAATAGCAAACCTAATAGAAAGCTATTATTTGTGTTGGGAGTATAATTTCACTGTCCTTGTCGTTCCCAACCCTTAGTTGAAGATACAATATGTGTGTTTATTTTCTTATAAGGAATCATTAATAGCATAATTTAAACTAGTAAAATTATAATTAATAATTTAGTAAATCAGGGGGTATAACATACTTCCAGAAAGAAGTTAGTATGCTATAAATGTAACAAATGAACATTTTCATCATTTATTGAATTGTTTCATTTATATAAATTCATTTTTGGTAGTACAAAATTTTTACACTGATTAAAACATACATAAAACTTTACTTTCAAAGATTGGAGGAAATGCCTTAAATTTAAAATAGTATTTAAACTGGTTGCATTTTTGCTGTCCATCTTGGTGTTGGCGAAACTATGGCTTGGAGCCAAGTCTAGCTCCCTGCCTGTTTCTGTAACTAAAGGTTTATTGGAACACAGCCACATTTGTTCCTTTATGTATCCTCTATGGCTGTTTTTGTGTTACAGTGACACAGATGAGTAGCTGTGACAGAGACCATATGGCCTGCAAAGCCCAAAATATTTACTATCTTGCCCTTTACAGAAAAAGTTTGCCATCCTCTGCACTAAGGAACTAAAGGAAAAAATAAAATTATGCACTGGTTGATCTCAAAGTTGTTTGTAGGAACTACTGAAACCCATGAGGTTGGGAGAAATCAGCATCCTAAGCCATGTACTTAAGGAAGCATGATGGGGTGTGTGATGCAAGCCCACTGTTCTAGATCATCAGCTTCTTCAGAGAATTGCCTGGAATTATTATGATCTGCTATATAACCAGGAAAGGACGGAATTAGCTTTCTCTGAGCTGGTTTTAGAATGTTCTTGCCTGAAACTGTAATAATGAAATGATCCTGTGATCCTGGATGAATCCTGGGTTCTTCCACAGTCTTCCTTTTATAGCTCTGTGTAGAACAAACACTGAAAAAAAGTGCAAATACGTTTGATCGTGAGTGTGAGAATATTGTTTTTCCAAAGATATATTTATAGAAATAGGCTAATAAAAGAATTATGTAATTTTCATCAAATTTAGAAATTAACTGTGTTTGTTTGCAGAATGATTTTTATATTTTTGAACTGATTAAAGAGATATTTCAAATATAAGAATGTACAAAGAATAATGTGGCAGTCCTTCTTAAAAAATTTAACATATTTTCATACATGCTTCAGATCTTTTCTTAGAATGAAAAGTTATAGATACACTTCATCTTCCCCACCTGTCATCTTATTCTCCTTCCTCTGTTTTTAGGGCTGCCTTTCTCAACCTTGTAACCATTGCCATTTTGGACCAGATAACTACTTTCTTGTGGGGGCTGTCCTGTGCACTGTAAGTGTTTAGCAGCAACTCTACCTGTACCGACCAGATACAATACCATGCCCCCTCCTAGTTGTGAATAACAAAGAATATCTCCACATATTGCCACATGTGGGAGGCAAAGTTACCCCCTTTTGAGAACTGCTTTAGAGGCGTTTACTGACCTGAAGTTGGTAGGTTTTCTACCTGCTTAGGTTTGCATGTTTTTTTTTGTTTTTTGTTTTTATTTGTTTTTAATGTGCATCTGTATCCCTAAAAAGGAAATCATGTTGTTTGATGTATTTAATATTTTCTTGACTGTGTCCTGCTGTACATAATCAGTTTCTTTTACTCGGCATTGTTTTTGAGATACAGCTACATGAATAAATGAAGCCCTCATTCTTTCATTTTTACCTCCTGTATTGTATTCTAGTCCCTGAGTGGAAGACAAATTAATTTCCTATTCCTTTTTAAAGGTTGTTTCTAATTTTTCTCAGTTAAGACGATGTAAAACCAATATCTTTGTATGTGTTTCCTAGTGTACTGGTGAGTCTCTCTGTAGAATATTTACCTAGCAGTGGAATCACCATGTTGTAAGGTACACATTTCTCCAACATTGGAGAGCAGTTCTATAGTCCTAATTAAGTGCTTGTGTCAGTTGATACTCCATAGCATTGGGTGAAAACATCTGTTTCCCATGATGTTTGCATTGGCACACTTTTTAAGTGTTTGCCACTCTGGTGGGTAAAAGATGGTACCACATTATTGGATTAATTCTCATTTCTCCAATTATCCAGTGGAGTAAAACGTTTGCTCCTGGATGCAAACAGGTGTCCCTTTTTGTCAATTGCTTGTGTGTATTCTTTGCCAATTTTTTCCATTGGGTCATTGTTTTCTTTTGCAATAATTAGTATTTTTATATATTCTAGATTTAAATCCTTTGTGATCATATCCATCACAGGACTTTTTTTTATTTCTCGCTTGGAATCTTAGTGGGTTTCCATATGTGTGATGGGGTCGGGACAGGGGATAGTGCCTTTGATACTAAAATGTTTAGTATAATGAAATTTAATAATTTCCTTTTGGTCTATGCATTTTGGCTGTACCTTAAGAATATATTCCCAGTGTTAATATCATAACAGTACTTTCATATTTTTCTAATGTATTAATGTTTTCTTTTCCATATGTGCCTTGATATCATCTGGATATCTTTTATATGTGATATAAATTATGAATCTACTTTTCTTCCTATGGAAAAACAGTGTTCCATTCTATTCTTTCCCCATGGTCTTGACATAAATGTGTGAATCTGTTTCTTGCCTGTCCACTGAGTTCAGTTGGTCTCTTTGAGCTTTAATGATACAGTCCTTTGATTACTATGATTAAAGAGTATCTTTATGTCTAGAAAGACAAGCATTCCTTTCTTTTAATCACATTTTGGCTGTTCTTTACCTTGACTCTTTCAAATGATTTTTTTCCGTCTTGTCAAATTCTGTGGGAAAAGGCCGTGAAATTTTTTAAAGGAATGGCATTGAATACATGGATTCATTTATGGAAATTTGACATACTGATGCTGTTGGATATCCCCAGTTATGAACACAATGTAGGTTTCCCCCTGTTAGGTCTTTTTTTTAATGCATATGTAGAATCAAGTTCCAATGTCAATAATGGCTTGGATTTTTAATTTAAATGGATATTTGTCACTGCCTTTTTAATTTGGAAAAATCTGGGAGTAAAAACTCATATTTGTTTACCTCATAAACAATAAACACAAAGCCCCATAAACTTTTTGGAATAGTTTTGGGAAAAGAAAAATAGAAAACAGTTGGGAAATGAAGTACTTGACCATTTCTTCTTTAAGAGTATTCCCTTAAAGAAGAATTAGAGAATGTATTTGTTAGAATGTACTTGAAGCATTTGCTTATGAAAGAAACCATACACTAAAAATAGCTAACAGGCATATGAAAAGGTGCTCAACATCCTTCATCATCAAAGAAATGCAAATCAGAACTACAACGAGATATCATCTCACTCCAGTTAAAATGGCTTATATCCAAAAGACAGACAGTAACAAATGCTGGCGGGGATGTAGAGAAAAGGGAACCCTTGTACCCTGTTGGTGGGAATGTAAATTAGTACAGCCACTAAGGAGAACAGTTTGGAGGTTACTCAGAAAACTAAAAGTAGAGCTAACACACAGTCCAGACATCCCACTGTTGGATATATACCCAAAGGAAGTCAGTATATCACAGAGCGATCTGCGCTCCCGTGTTTGTTGCAGCACTGTTCACAATAGTCAAGATTTGGAAGCAACCTAAGTGTCCATCGGCAGAGGAATGGATTTAAAAAATGTGGTACTTAATCACAATGGAGTACTATTTATCCACAAAAAAGAATGAGATCATGTCATTTGCAACAACATGAATGGAACTGGAGGTCATTCTGCGAAGTGAAATAAGTCAGGCCTAGAAAGACAAATACTGTATGTTCTCACTTATTTGTAGGATCTAAAAATCGAAACAATTCAACTAATAGAGGTAGTAAGTAGAAGGAGTATTACCAGAAGCTGGGAAGGATAGTTGACAGGTGGTGGGCAGGGAGGTGTGGGTATGGTTAATGAGTACAAAAAAATAGAAAACATGAATAAGACCTAGTATTTGATAGCGCAACGGAGTGACTGTAGTCAATAATGATTTAATTGTACATTTTGAAATAACTAAGAGTATAATTTGATTGTTTGTAACACAAAGGATAAATGCTTGAGGGGATGGATACCCCATTTTACATGATGTGATTATTACACATTGCATGTCTGTATCAAAACATGTCATGTACCCCATAAATATATACAACTATGTACCTACAAAAATAAAAATTAAAACTATACACTAAAAGTCGCATATTATGTGATACAATTTATGTGAAATATCCAGAATTGGCAAAGTCATAGAGGTAGCAGATTAGTGGTACCAGGGGTTAGGAGTGGGTAGTGGGGAATGTAGAATGGCTGTAATGGCCACAGAGTTTTCTTTTGGGATGATGAAAACATTCTGGAAACAGATATGGTGAAAGTTGCATGACATTGTGAATGTACAAAATGCCACTGAATTTTACACTTTAAAATGATTGATGAATTTTGTTATGTGAATGTTATTACAACTTTATGTATTTGAGTATATGTCATTTATTAATGGACAAAGATACATTCTGTAATTTGTCTACCTCCCTCTTGATCTGAAAAAACTACAAAGCATGTCTCAATTCTAATGCAAAGTCTTAACCAAAATGATTTTTTCTGAGCTATTCATATTTAGCTTCTGGTGACTCACAGGAACCTGAATTTTATGTTCCATTCAACACTCCATTATGCTCTTAAATGAGAATCTAATAATTTTCCCTTGGAATATTTTTGAAATCCAATTCTAAGTATTTAGAATTTTAGACACAGTCGTATCTCTCGTTTGAATATTCCAAATATTGAACTTTGTTCAACATTGTTTCAATTTGCAATATTTATGGGTTGTCAAAACAAAAGTAGAGATTTTTTTCTTTATGTCCATGTCTAAAAATGTCATTTTGGAAATGGCAATAAAATAGAGCATTAAACTGAAATTAATATCATGATGTTGAAGGTGTGACCTAATTAAAATGCAAATGTAAGCACACTTCTTTAAAATTGACATTGCAGCTTATATATTCCCCAATAGTGGGACTATTGCTTGTTGATAATTTGATTTGACAGGTTCTCTTCACAGGTTCATTTCTTTAACCTCACAGTGTAAGCATATATTGGCTTGCCTGATAAGATGAGAAAATTTAGGCAGATTCAGGAAGGTTAAAATGAAATTTAATGAGTTATGATCTTCCTTGGATATAGGCTGATTCTACTTATTAGAGGAATTTGGAAAATGCCTACCATCTACAGATTTAAGCATTGTTGAAAGTCTGTATTTTAAACTTAAAACTCACGTCATAGGCACTTTTTGTCCTTGTGTGTATTGTCCTTAAGTCAATTTCATGTTGTGCCCTTTACCCAAAAATACCCTTATTTCTTTTACTCCTCTAAATTCCAGTTGACCTTTATAAAGTCTTCCCTTGCCCTTTTCTCGACAAGTAAGAACCATTTTCTCTGAATTCTTGATTTGTATTTCTCCTTGGCACTTATCCATCAATTCTACGCTGTTTTATAATTAGTGGGTATACATGTACTGTGTCCTGTTTTATTAGGTCTTTAAGAATGGGAGTTACTCGCCCAGAGCAAATAAAGATTAACTGGCACATAGTAGGAAGCCCAAAAGGAACCAGTGAAGCAACAGAAGATAGAGTGAATGAATAAAGACACATGAATGCACTAAATCTTTTGTGCACATGGCTTTTACTGATTTTCACCTGTAATGTCCTATAAGGCTATAGACAGTCAAACTAAAAAATTGCTGTCATTGGGAGAGAGGCGGGTGGATCACCTGAGGTCAGGAGTTCAAGACCAGCCTGACCAACATGGAGAAACCCCGTCTCTACTAAAAATACAAAAATTAGCCAGGCATGATGGTGGGCGCCTGTAATCTCAATTACTTGGGAGACTGAGGCAGGCGAATCGCTTGAACCTGGGAGGTGGCGGTTGCAGTGAGCCGAGATCACACCATTGCACTCCAGCCTGGGCAACAGAGTGAGACTCCATCTCAAAAAAAAAAAAAAAATGCCATCTTTCATTCTTTAATAGTGATTATTGCACATTTACTAGTTTATGAAGCCAATTCTTGCACCTTAAGAAGTATTTATGACCTAGATTTCTTAACCTTTTTCCTATATATCCAAATCTTTCAATTAACTCTGAAGGATGAGTGTAATTTTAAATACCAAATTCTAATGCTCAAATGTGAGAAACAATTATTTGACTTTGTGACCACAGAAAGACATCAATATTTTAAATGCTGAATGTTTGTATTTTCAGATAGCTACTGTTGTCTTGCAGTTATGTTGCCTGTTCCTTCCACATAAGCATCATATAGTAAAATTTAGTTTTAGTAAAGAATCTGTGGGAAAAGTAGACTTGAACACAATAGGATTTTTAAAGATTATGTGAACAAGTGAGTGGAAATAGGATACTTAAGAAATACAACACATTAATTTTCAAGAATATTTATGTCCGAGATGTCAACATTCCACCAGGATAGTTTTTGGAGGATAATAGCTCTGAGCGAGATTGTTTCACATAAACGAGGTTAGAAAGTTCTTTATTTGAAATGAAATGGAAGATTTTATGCTAGCCAAACATGTAATGCTACTTTAAGCAAACTTTTCATATTCTAAATACAAATATTAAATCAAATATTGTTATAATGGAACATTTCATTGTGTTTCTGTTGTAAAAAAAAATTTAAGGAAATAAATAACAACATAAAGACAAAATTGGTGGCCTACCCCAAATATTTCAGTTATTTGTGTAAAGGTTTTCTTATCTTCACTAGCTGATGGTTATAAAATGAAATGCGTTTAAATCCATGGCTAAAAATGATTAAAATATCATACAGAACGAAAGCACTCCAGCTGTAGATGTTCATTAAATTGACCATTAATAACTTGTGATATAAAGGAATATTACTGCATTCATAAATTTTGTATGCAGATTTTATTAAGCTGGCATGTTATATGAATTGATTGTCTGACATCTTCTGGCTGTGGCTGAAGATAATAGTGTTTTATATGCATTTTTCATAATCCAAGAATTCTGATGGACTGTTTCTAGGTAGTTATTATGTTTTTGTTCTGGTTGGCCTTTTTTTTTTCACCCAGTTTACAATTAGAAAATATAATTGTAGCTTTTCGTATGAAACATTATAAGGTTGGTTGTGTCAGCATTTCTATTATAACCCTGTTTTTCATAGGGCTGCTAGTATGTGTGTAAGGGAGTGGGTGTGTGGAGAGAGAAACTACATCGGTTTGGTTGACTCTATTTTGTCTTGCTAATGAATTATTGCCATTTCTTTCTTGAAATGTAAATAGACTTGTTTGCTATTGCTTAATAAAAATCATATTTCAGTAGCTTATTGTTTACCTTTCAGATCTGAGCTTATTTAATAGGTCTTTTAACCTGTTTCTAATGCACAACTCAGCACCATTTGGTTTTGTGGGTTTGGTACTGCAAGGAGGGCTTGAGTGCAACATATACTTTTTGGGTTACCAGATCTAGTTTATTTGCTTCTCAGCATATCATACTTTTATTTTGCAATTACCTTTTGTCTTCAGAGGTAGAGGAAAGGTAGCACAAAGGTCAAAGCATCGACCAGACTGCCTTAGTTAGGGGCCCAAATTGGCTACCTGTGCAAGTTACTTAACATCTTTATACCTGTATCCTCACCTGCAAAGTAGCATGATGCTACTATCTACCCTGTAGGGTTGTTTTGGGAATTTGTTAAATCATGTGAAGGGCTTAGAGCAAAATAAGCACTCAGTAAATACCAACTGTTTTTAGTACCTGAATTAGTAAGAGACAGAAGACGTGAAACTGAAATCTAATCTTTTTTTTTTTTTTTTGGTACAAATCAAGTAAGACATGATAATGAAATTACTGCCTGAATCTTTGAGGCTGCTTTGGATATAGTTTATCCCCTGAATTTCCTCCATGTTGAAGTCTGTGGAGACGGAGCAAGAGGTTTAAAAGAGACACCTGGGCTGGAGTAGTTACAGTTTTGGATTGGGGAAAATAAATTTAAGCCTTCTCACTTTTGTAAAATGGAGATAATTATGGTAAATAAATAATAGGTTGTTATATATTTTTTAAAAAGCAAAATGGAATGTCTAGCACACATACGAGTTCAGTAGCTATAGTGTCTCTGTGGTACCTATAACAGATGTGCACAGAACCCATAACACATTTTGTTAACTAAGGTGAGAGTTTATTTTGAAGCAGTAACGATGTCTAATGTAACATCTTTTTAACTACCTTCTACTAGATGTTATGAAAATATTAGATGATCACCCTTGTCTTGGCTTTATAAACACAAACAGTGTAAGATTAGATTAAACCATGTTTGTGGCTTATAAAAACATTATGGATATTTATCATCTTTGCCTGTGATTACCGAATTGCTAGTAGAATATTGTTTCTTGGTGTTGATTTGTTTAATTCCGAGTTACAGCACTTTGCCATGTCCCTGTATTTTGAAATTCATTGCTCATTTTGGTCAAAAGTAGCCTTGTTAAATGTGAAAGCTGTAAGGATGATTTCCTGCCTGTCATGTCGTACATGAAGAGCACTGAGGTACAGTTTATAACAGAACTTGGAGTAATAAAAACTCCAAGCAGATGACTTGGTTTGGAGCCTCCTGTTCAGTGCCTGGGAAACTTGAAGGATTTCTTCATACTTTTTGGCCATTTGTGAGTATGGCAGTCTTTTGGCTATGAAAACAGGCACAGGCCCTCCTGCCAAAACTGAAAAAGACATTAGGGTGAGCCTAATGAAACCTAGGCAGAGATCCCCAAAAATTACCACATTGACTGCTGTTTCTTTTGCAATAATAGTTCAAAAACTTGTTATTCTAATTTAGATGTGCAGAGAATCTTTATCTAAAGCAGGCAGATGTTCTTATTGGTATTGTAGTGAGCAGTAGCATGGTGTAAGCAGGTGTGAGTGATAAGTGGACTTGAGCACAGGTGGCTTTAATGTATGCAGGGTCAATGCTATAGGCTCCTTAGGCCAAACAGTTGTAAGCTAGATTCTAGAGCACTCCAGCTTGGTCTTAGTCATGATGTCTTTAATTCAGTGGGCTTTTAAAAATTTAAACTTTGTTAAAAGGAGTTTAAGTTATGCTCCATTAAGTTGGACATTATTGGAAGCCAGGATTTTGTTGCTTTCTCAGAAATAAAAAGTATACACACACATTTTAAAATGAGATCATATGTACATTTCTGTGCCCTCTAAAGGAGATTTGCCACCTCTGTGAATTGCAACTTGAGCTGGATTTTTAAAAATTTCCAATTAGGATTGATGCCTCTGAGTAAAACGAATAGGTACTATTATGTTAGAACTCTGTTTCTATTATAGAGAGAAATAATAATAGTATTTGCTTAAAGGGGGATAATATTTTTCTAATGAATGCTATTTATTAAATATTGTGACAAAATGTCTACTTTTTAGCACTGCTCATGGTCTCTCTTGGAAATCCCAACTCATTGGACATCATCTGGTTCAATCCTTGACCCATGATGGAAATCTCTGTAGCAGAAAGTGTGGAATATATGAATTAAAACTGAAAAGGGATTCCAAAAGGTGGAATAGATTTTGTTCATTTGCAGTCATTGAAATTATTCAGCAAAATATTATAGTTTCATGTTTTACATAAAAACTTAACACCAAGTTTTTATCTTGATTTTCCTTCTGGCTGTTAGATAACTGGTCTTTCTCTCAATCTATTGAACTTGATAGAGAAAGTTAGATAATTCTATAGCATATTATTTAGCTGGAGAGCTGCCTGAATATAGGGCTTGGACTTAAATATTTATGTATACTAGGCAACATAGGACTGCTGAGGTTCTGTTTAGTCACACTGGTAATTAAAAGATTGAAATATTTCTATTGTACATAGCTATTGCTCTGAGAATATCCCCTACCCTGCTGTCATAGGCCCTCCCTCATGGCCCCCAGACCTTTCTAAGCAACCACAGAACCAATGTCTAGATCCTCAAGACCCCGCTCCAGTGACACTGTCAGCTTCTAGGTAACCCACCTTTTACTTAACATGACTTCTGAATAGTCCTACAGTGACTGTTGGTTGAGTAAATACAGGGTTACTTGGAATCAGATACAAGAGAAAAGTATCTTGAAGCCCTGTTAAGAGGTTTTCTAAACTTCAGAATCGAAGGTAAACACCAAATCACAGCATACATGAGCCAGGCCTACAATAATGCTATGGTGCCTGGAACACACTAGGAACATAACAGGGGCTCAGTAAATATGTCGATGGACCGAGCATCTCAAATATAATCTTTTAGCTCAATCACAGGAGTCGAGTGATTGTTTAGCAGGTCCCTGCTGCTGTGGTTTCCTCATCATTTAACAAAGGTTTATATTTAAATCGTAAGACCATTGCACTTCCCTTTATGCTTTAAGTAGCTGCACGGGCCTTGTCAGGATTTTCTTTTTTAGCCTTGCCTTCCTTCATAGAACATCTGCATTTGGATCACAGAATGTTGGCTTCACAGATGGTCTTGTAAATAGCTGAATAAAGAACCTTTAATACTTGGCATTTATAACAGGTACTTAGAAGTTTCATCGAAATTCTATTTGCTTTGGCTGGAGAAATACATTCTCTTGGTAATGAACTTGAACTCTGTCACCTGGTTATATCTTTGAGATAACAGAATAGGATAGACGGAATTAGGAGGAAAGATTGCTGTATAAATAGGTGAGCATTAAAGACTTCATCATCTCTGACTTGTCAAGGAATGAGCTAAACTCAGGACTTACTATTTTGTATGATTAAAATGTGATGATGAAGTGTTTTGAATTTCTGATAGGCTTATTTCCCTGCGTTAGCAACTTTGAGATAGTCAGGCACTGCAGGAAGCTCCAAGCACGGAGTAATTGAAAGGCAAGTTCAAGATAGATTACATTCAGCCTGTTGAAGTATACATAACTGTACCTATTAATTGCTGCACCAAAGATCTGCATTTTGTTCAAACCATCTTGAAAGAATGTGACTTCGGAGATGAGCCTTCCAGGTGTCGTAGAGCAGAATGTAGAAGTCTCTCAATTGTTGCTTTCATGGATGGATCCCCTACTTGGATAATATTTCCACATTTGATGTTTCTGACTTTGAGCAGTAATCACACTTAAGAAGAATGATAATTGTGCAACTGCAGGAGCCTGCCTGAGTAAGTTTCTCATTCTACCTTAAGGAGCTTCCTAGAGCTGCTCAGTGTGTTCTTGCTTATGCTTTCCTTCACGAGGCTCTTACATTTGTGCCCACGTGCTGGGTACAGAGACAGCAATGGGAGTGTAGAGCAGCACTTTAACTTGCCTAGTGAAGTCTCTTACTCAGTCCCTTACTAGCCAGGTTCTTGCGATCAAGTCACCAAACCTTTCTGCAGATTGTGATGACTATTCGATTCAATCAAACCCAAAGAGATCAGCCAAGAGTCTGGCACACAGAAATTCCTTAACAAATATTAGTTCTTATGTATCCTACACCTTGTGTTTATAGCAAGCCAGTCTGCTTGTGGCAGGGTTGCTTAGAAATCATTTGACAGTGTCTAAACAGTCACTCCCAAAGTTGTTGAAAAATTGACAGTCTGTAGTTGCATTTTGTAATGTTTCTTTTAGAGCAATAGGGCAGTGGTTTTAACTGAAGCACGTTTAAACTGACTTTGTTTTGAGAAATTTTAGTGGCATTACTAAGAATTTTTGGATCAAAGATCACGTTTATTGGTGAGAGGATATCCGTTGAAAGATAAAATATGCATTATAACATGTCTTTTTGATAAGGAGAAGTGTTTTGGCTTTGTTCATCAAAAGTACATCTTTGAAGCTGATATTTGAAGTTATTAAGATTTACTAGCATCTGGAATATTACCTTCAATAATTAATGGAGGAGACATCAGAGCCTGCCCTTCTCTGACCTATAGATCTTTAGCTATCAGTGAAAGAACTGATGGTATGCAATGCTTTCTTTGCCTAACCTGTCAGGCCCCTTTGGAGGTATCCTAAATTTGCTGATGGATCCTAAACTGACTGATTAATGTTTGATGTTAGGAGCTTTGGGGAATTGTTCAAGGGATTATGGTTGTTTGTAGTGCACAGGAAATACAGACTTTTTATGATCAGTTCAGCTCTTTTTGTGATCCTCTATTTTATGACTAGATAATGCTTTTGTGAAAAAAGAATGAAGTACATCTGACATATGGCTTGATCTTTCTCTTCCTCTAATTAAAAAACAAAAACAAAATAAAATTTTTTATTGGAAATTCTAGCCCTGAATTACCTGTTTTCTATTATTGTTTATATACTCTCTCATTTTAAGTGTTGTGTAAATATTTACTGTATCCTCTATCAAATTGAGGAAATGGTGTCTTTTTCAGTTCCTATTAGAGTGGACAGCATAGATTAGTTAGTAGAAATAGGCATTGTGAGGAGGCTTTTCTGTAACAGGTGTGCAGAAGTGTCTTCTATAATGTGCCACTTCATGCTGATCAATATAGTCTTAGACAAATGACTATTGATAGGGAAACTGTTCTTTGAAATAACCATATCTTTGACTCCAAAGTAGACTTTTCATTTATTTTTTCTCTGATCTCACTGCAATTAGTAATTAGTAATTATAGGTTGGGGTCTGTATATGAAAAGATGAACAATCCGTGGGTCCTTAATTATTCAAGGAATTTCAAGGTGTTTGATTCTAGAGAGTTGTCCATTTCTTTATTTAAAAAAAATTTTACTTTAGATTCCAGGATACACGTGCAGAACATGCAGGTTTGTTACATAGGTATACGTGTGCCATGGTGGTTTGCTGCACCTATTGACCTGTTGTCTAAGTTCCCTCCCCTTGCCCCCCACCCCCAACAGGCCTTGGTGTGTGTTGTTCCCCTCCCTGTGTCCATGTATTCTCATTGTTCAGCTCCCACTTATGAGTGAGAACATGTGGTGTTTGGTTTTCTGTTCTTTGTTAGTTTGCTGAGGATGATGGCTTCCAGCTTCTTCCATGTCCCTGCAAAGGACATGATCTCATTCCTTTATATGTCTGCATAGTATTCCATGGTGTATATGCACCACGTTTTCTTTATCCAGTCTATCATTGATGGGCATTTGAGTTGGTTCTGAGTCTTTGCTATTGTAAATGACGCTGCACTAAACATAAGTGTGCATGTGTCTTTATAGTAGAATGATTTATATTCTTTTGGGCATATACCTGGTAATGGGATTGCTGGGTCAAGTGGTATTTCTGTTCTAGATCCTTGAGGAATCACTATACTGTCTTCCCACAGAGGTTGAATTAATTTACATTCCCACCAACAGTGTAAAAGCATTCTAATTTCTCCACAGCCTCACCAGCATCTGTTGTTTCTTGGTTTTTCAGTACTCACCATTCTGACTGACTTCAGATGGTATCTCATTATGGTTTTGATTTGCATTTCTCTGATGATCAGTGATGTTGAGCTTTTTTTCATATGTTTGTTGGTTATGTAAATGTCTCCTTTTAAGAAATGTCTGTTCATATCCTTTGCCCACTTTTTGATGGGGTTGTTTTTTTCTTGTAAATTTGTTTAAGTTCCTTGTAAGTTCTGGATATTAGACATTTGTCAGATGCGTAGATTGCAAAAATTTTCTCCCATTCTGTAGATTGCCTGTTCACTCTGATGATAGTTTCTTTAGCTGTACAGAAGCTCTTTAGTTTAGTTAGATCCCATTTGTCAATTTTGACCTTTGTTGCAATTGCTTTTGGCATTTTCGTCATGAAGTCTTTGCCCAATGGTATTGCCTAGGTTTTGTTCTACGGTTTTTATAGTTTTGGGTTTTACATTTAAGTCTTTAATCCATCTTGAGTTAATTTTTGTATAAGGTGTAAGGAAGGGGTCCAGTTTCAGTTTTCTGCATATGGCTAGCCAGTTTTCCCAGAACCATTTATTGAATAAGAAATCCTTTCCCCATTGCTTGTTTTTGTCAGGTTTGTTGAAGATCAGATGGTTATAGATGAGTGGTTTTATTTCTGAGGCCTCTGTTCTGTTCCATTGGTCTATATCTCTGTTTTGATACCAGTACCATGCTGTTTTGGTTACTGTAGCCTTGTAGTATAGTTTGAAGCCAGGTAGCCTGATACCTCCAGCTTTATTCTTTTTGCTTAGGATTGTCTTGGCTATACAGAGGTCTTCATAGATTCCATATGAAATTTAAAGTAGTGTTTTCTAATTTTGTGAGGGATGTCAATAGTAGTTTGAGAATAACATTGAATCTGTAAATTACTTTGGGCAGTATGGCCATTTTCATGATACTGATTCCTTCTATCCATGAGGATGGAAGGTTGTCCAATTTGTTTTCTCTTATTTCCTTGAGCAGTGGTTTGTAGTTCTCCTTGAAGAGGTCCTTCACATCCCCTGTTAGCTGTTTTCCTAGGTATTTATTCTCTTTGTAGCAATTGTGAATGGGAGTTCATTCATGATTTGGCTCTCTGCTTGTCTATTGTTGGTGTAAAGGAATGCTTGTGATTTTTGCACATTGATTTTGTATCCTGAGACTTTACTGAAATTGCTTATCAGTTTAAGGAGTTTGGGGGCTGAGATGATGGGGTTTTCTAAAAATAAAATCATGTAATCTCTAAACAGAGACAATTTAACTTCCTCTCTTCCTATGCGAATACTCTTTATTTCTTTCTCTTGCCTGATTGCCCTGGCCAGAACTTTCAATACTATGTTGAATAGGAGTGGTGAGAGAGGGTGTCCTTGTTTGTATCAGTTTTTAAAGAGAATGCTTCCAGGTTTTACCCATTCAATATGATATTAGCTATGGGTTTTTCATAAGTAGCTCTTATTATTTTGAGATATGTCCCATCAAAACCTACTTTATTGACAGTTTTTAACACGAAGGGATGTTGAATATTATCAAAGGCTTTTTCTGCATCTATTGAGATAATCATGTGGTTTTTGTCTTTGGTTCTGTTTATGTGATAGATTACGTTTATTGAGTTGCGTATGTTGAACCACCATTGAATCCCAGGAATGAAGCTGACTTGATCGTGGTGGATAAGTTTTTTGATGTGCTGCTAGATTTGGTTTGCCAGTATTTTACAGAGGATTTTCGCATTGATGCTCATCAGGGATATTGGCCTACAGTTTCTTTTTTCACTGTGTCTCCTCCTGGTTTTGGCATCAGGGTGATGCTGGCTTCATAAAATGACTTAGGGAGGAGTCCCTGCTTTTCAACTGTTTGGAATAGTTTCAGAAGGAATGACACCAGTTCCTCTTTGTACCTCTGGTAGAATTTGGCTGTGAATCCATGTGGCCTTGGGCTTTTTTTGGTCAGTAGACTGTTAATTACTGCCTCAATTTCAGAACTTATTATTGGTCTGTTCAAGGATTCAACTCCTTCCTGGTTTAGTCTTGGGAGGGGGTATGTGTCCCAGAATTTATCCATTTCTTCTAGATTTTCTAGTTTGTTTGCATAGAGGTGTTTATAGTATTCACTTATGGTAGTTTGTATTTCTGTGGTGTCAGTGGTGATATCCCTATTATCATTTTTTTATTGTGTGTATTTGATTCTTCTCTCTTTTCTTCTTTATTAATCTAGCTTGCTGTCTATTTTTTATTTTTTTCAAGAAAACCAGCTCTTGTCTTCATTTATTTTATTTTTGGAGGGTTTTTTGTGTCTCTATCTCCTTCAGTTCTGCTCTGATCTTAGTTATTTCTTGTCTTCTGCTGGCTTTTGGATTTTTTTCTCTTGCCTCTCTAGCTCTTTTAATTGTGATGTTAGGGTGTTGATTTGAGATCTTTCTAGCTTTCTGATGTGAGCATTTAGTGCTACAAATTTTCCTCTTAACACTGGGACACTCTGTGTCCCGGAGATTCTGATATGTTGTCTCTTTGTTCTCATTGGTTTCAAAGAACTTCTTGATTTCCGCCTTAATTCCATTATTTACCCAGGATTCACTCAGGATCATGTTGTTCAATTTCCATGTAATTGTGTGGTTTTGAGTGAGTTTCTTAATCATGAGTTCTAATTTGATTGCACTGTGGTCCTAGAGACTGTTATGATTTCAGTTCTTTTGCATTTGCTGAGGAGTGTTTTACTTCAAATTATGTGGTCGATTTTAGAATAATGCCACGTGGAACTGAGAAGAATGTGTATTCTGTTGCGTTGGGGTAGGGAGTTCTGTAGCTGTCTATTAGGTCCGCTTGATCCAGAGCCCTCCAGAGCTGAGTTTATGTCCTGAATATCCTCATTAATTTTCTGTCTTGTTGATCTAATATTAACAGTATGGTGTTAAAGTCTCCCACTATTATTGTGTGGGAGTCTAAGTCTCTTTGTAGGTCTGTAAGAACTTGTTTTATGAATCTCAGTGCTTCTGTATTGGTTGCATACATATTTAGAATACTTAGCTCTCCTTGTTCAATTGTTCCCTTTACCATTATGTAATAACCTTCTTTGTCTTTTTTGATCTTTGTTGGTTTAAAGTTTGTTTTGTCAGAGACTAGGACTGCAAGCTCTGCTTTCTTTTGCTTTCTATTTGCTTGGTAAATTTTCCTCCATTCCTTTATTTTGAGTCTATTTGTGTCTTTGTGTGTGAGATGGGTCTCCTGAACACAGCACACTGATGGGTCTTGACTCTTTATCCAATTTGCCAGTCTGTGTCTTTTAATTGGCGCATTTAACCCATTTACATTTAAGGTTCGTATTGTTATGTGTGAATTTGATCCTGTCATGATGATGCTATCTAGTTATTTTGCATACTATTTGATGCAATTTCTTCATAGTGCCATTGTTCTTTATATTTTGGTGTGTTTTTGCAGCAGCTGGTACTTGTTTCTCCTTTCCTTATTTAGTGCTTCTTTCAGAATCTCATGCAAGGCAGGCCTGGTGGTGATGAAATCCCTCAGCATTTGCTTGTCTGGAAAGGATTTTATTTCTCTTATGCTTATGAAGTTTAGTTTGGCTGGATATGAAATTCTGGGTTGAAAATTCTTCTCTTTAAGAATGCTGAATATTGGCCCCCAGTCTCTTCTGGCATGTAGAGTTTCTGCTGAGAGGTCCACTGTTAGTCTCATGGGATTCCCTTTGTTGGTGACCTGGCCTTTCTCTCTGGCTGCCCTTAACATTCTTTCCTTCATTTCAACCTTGGAGAATCTGATGATTATGTGTCTTGGGGTTGCTCTTCTTCTGGAGTATCTTAGTGGTGTTCTCTGAATTTTCTGAATTTGCATGTTGGTCTGTCTTGCTAGGTTGGGGAAGCTCTCCTGGATAATATCCTGAAGTGTGTTTTCCAGCTTGTTTCCGTTCTTCCCATCCCCTTCAGGTACTCCAATCAGTTGTAGATTCAGTCTTTTTATGAAGTCCCATATTTCTTGGAGGTTTTGTTCACTCCTCTTCATTCTTTTTTCTCTAGTCTTGTGGAACTCTTTGGGAATTTCCACCTAGATATAAAAGGATGTATGGAAATGCCTGGATGTCCAGGCGGAATTCTACTGCAGGGGCAGAGCCCTCATGGAAAACCTCTGCTAGGGCAGTACAAAGGGGAAATGTGGGGTTGGCACCCCCAAACAGAGTCCCCACACAGAGTCCCCACTGGGGCACTGCCTAGTGGAGCTGTGAGAAGAGGGCCACCATCCTCTAGACCCCAGAATGGTAGATCCACCAACAGCTTGCACTGTGCACCTGGAAAAGCCAAAGACACTCAACGACAGCTGTGAAAGCAGCCGTTGGGGAGTTGGGGGAGAGGGGTGTACCCTGCAGAGTCAGAGAGGTAGAGCTGCCCAAGGCCCTGGGATCCCTCTTCCTGCATGAGCATGCCCTGGATTTGATCCATGGAGTCAGAGGAGATCATTTTGGAGCTTTAAGATTTAATGACTGCCTCACTGGGTTTCGGATTTGCATGGGACCTGTGTCCCCTTAGTTTTGGCCAATTTCTCTCATTTGTAATGGGAACATTTACCCAATGCCTGTATATCCCCATTGTATCTTGTAAGTAACTAACTTGTTTTTGAGTTTACAGGTTCCTAAGTGGAAGGGACTTGCCTTGTCTTAGATGAGATTTTGGATGTGAACTTTTGTGTTAATGCTAGAATGAGTTAAGACTTTGGGGAACTGTTGGGAAGGCATGATTGCCTTTTGAAATGTGCAAAGGACATGAGATTTGAGAGGGACCAGCACTGGAATGATTTGGTTTGGCTGTCTTGCCATTCAAATCTCCTCTTGAATTGTAATCCCCAGATGTTGAGGGAGAGACCTGGAGAGAGGTGATTGGATCAGTTTCCCCCATGCTGTTCTCATGATAGTGAGGGAGTTCTCATGAGATGTGGTTATTTGATAAGTCTCCGGACTCTCCCCTGCTGGTTTTCTCTCTCTTTCTCTCCTGCCACTGTGGGAGACATACCTTGCTTTCTCTTTGCCTTCTGCCGTGATTGTAAGTTTCCTGAGGCCTCCCCAACCATGTGGAACTGTGAGTCAATTAAGCCTCTTCTCTTCATAAAGTACCCAGTCTCTGGTAATATCTTTATTGCATTGTGAAAATGGACTAATACAACATCAACCAGTATAGCCACGTATTATCATTATCAAGTATTATGTACTTTACGTCAGTAGCCCCCAACCTTTTTGGCACCAGGGACTGGTTTCATGGAAGACAATTATTCAACAGACAGGGGTCATGGGGGATGGACAGTTTTGGAATGAAACTGTTTTACCTCAGATATTCAGGCATTAGTTAGATTCTCATAAGGAGCATGCAACCTAGATCCCTCGCATGTGCAATTCACAATAGGGTTCATGCTTCTATCAGAATCTAATACCGACTCTGATCTGACAGGAGGTAGAGCTCAGGCAGTAATGCTCACTCACCCACTGCTCACCTCCCACTGTACTAACAGGCCACAGATGGGCACTGATCTGCAGCCAGGGGGTTGGGGACCCCTGCTGTACCTAATATGCAATACTTTTATATGACTGGCAGCACAGGTTCATTTATACCAGCATCACTGCAAACACATAAGTAATGTCTTGTGCTATGTCATTAAGACAGCTAGGATGTCACTAAGCAATAGGAATTTTCCAGATACATTATAATCTTATAGGACCACCATCATATATCCAGTAAATTGACTAAAATGTCATTACGTGGTGCATGACTGTATATATTTATGACCCTTCCTCTCCCTCCCCAACCATAGGTTTTCCATGCCTCTTGACCATTGTGTTTTGGATCAATTGGTATGATAGTCATCTCCTAGGACACTCAAAACTTTGTTTCTGAATATTTGCAAATGCTTTTGGGCATCACTGCATAACACTGTAACTTTGATGTCAGTTAAGGGACAAAGTCATATTTTCTTTCTTCCTTTGAGAATCAATAATGTGATCATACTTGCAGAGAAAGGCACGTCTGAACCATGGGCAAGCAGTACATTATTTTCAAATCTCTTTTCTCCCTAAGGCCCCTCAAGTCTAGTCCTCTTTGACAGTTTCATCATGAATGTTCTACAGTGTTGCTGTCCTGGGCAACCTTAGAAAAGTTCCATGGAAAACAATATAATTAATACAGTGTCTTTTACTGGATCCCATCTGTAATTCCCAGAGCAATAGTTATATTGCGTTTCATTTCAATAGCACACTCTGTGCTATGTGGCTTGGATTTGATATGTGGTGTGATTATACTCTCTGTGTCATTGGGAATTTTGAGTTTGTCTTTTATGAATACTTTTTCTGTGCCTTCAACATACTTTTATTTCATGTATTTGTTCATTTGTGCAAAAAAATGGAGCACCTTTTATGTCTAAAATGTTTTACAAGGTAAGTGAAGCAGCATGCAATATAGTGGGAGAAAAAGGTTATATGTAATGACTGTATCATAATGCCTGGCACATAAATGGTGGTGATTTTAGTGGCATCCTTACCCTGCTGCTCTTGAAGCTGTCATCATCATCATCATCACCACCATCACCATGATCGTTACTCTTCTCATACTTCTGCCAGATGCATTCTATTGTTTTTTTATGTAAAGTGCACTTTCTTTGCCGCAAGAGGCACTAAGAAATGACATAATCATAGTTAGGTCTAGAGATGGTAACACAGTCCTATCAAAGCCTACTTTGTTTTCAGTAAATGAAGTTCATTCATATTTGCTTGATTCCGTTTCCCTTGAATTTGTTGGCTAGGATTATTCCCCGATACATTGGCCAGCAAAAGACCCAGGTTAGTTAACCAATTGTTTGGAAGGGCCCTGGCTGTGCAGTCACACTGCCTGAGGTTAATTCCTGGTTCCCAATTTTGGTAGCTGTGTGAACTTCCTTTGTCTCATTTCTTCATCTGTAAGTGGGATGCATAAGGTTACTGCTGATTATTGGAAGAATTATGTTTGGTAGTGAAATAGGGCGCTTATCCAGTGCCTGGCATATTATGAGCAATCAGTATGTCAATGCTGTAGTTTTTATTGTTGCTCTAATTGTTGTTATTATTTTTGTTAGTACTTTTGTTGCAATTATTATTTTCTGCTGTGAAGACCAATTTCCTATTACCCAGCAAAGAATCTCCACGCTTCTCTATGGTATGCACTTTCTCCTTCCAGGGGTGAGCAAGCAGAACTCAAACTAGACCAAGATAATTCACCTTTCATTCGTACTATGAACAGGGTGAAAAAGTGTTGCTCCCTATCATATTAGAGAAGTTTGGGTAAAATCATTATAGGTTCTGAATTGATGATGATGAGCTCTCTGCCCTCCTTCCAAGATAAAAATGTTTACTATGGTCTCTACCTGATTCCTGAGACAAATGCAAGTTTGTGTTCTATACATGTTTATATCTACATGCCTATACCGATTGTTTACATATGTATATAAAAGGTTAAGTTAATCTTTTGGCATGAAATTCATCTACCAGAAAAATAATATGTGATTATTTGCAGTAGATCTAAAATGCAGACATTAATATGAAACTTTTTAACAGTAGCACTGTTCTCACTGAGCTGTGTGGAGATCTATAGAAATTATTACATAGTGTGGTTAGTGTGATGCCTGGCAAGAGAGTACACATTCAGTATGCATAAGCTAGTAATGATGTCAGAGAAGACTTAATAGAAAACCCAGCAAAAGAAATCCAAAGGCAGGCATAAACACTCAAATCCTCTCTCTGCATCTCTCTCAAAAGAAAAGTAGATGATCAAAGGAAAAGAATGAAATATTTTCTCATGCTCTTAGTAGCCTTCATTTTGTGTACAAGCCATTTTCCTGGTTTTTGTTATATTCAAGGTTATGTATAAAAAGATTCTGACCAGGAAATTGCATTAGAATAAGAACTGAAAAAAAAAAATCCATTTTGAAGACCTCAGGTAGTTAAAATTGTTCCTCCTTCCTCACCGTGGGTTAATGACAGACTTGCTTTTAATTCATTGCTTATTTTTGTAGGAAAAAAAGGTGGTGATTGTTTGAATATGATATTATAATACTTTGCTTAAAAGTACTGAACTATATTCAGCATATGCATGTAAACGAAACTGTATATACGTACTTAAACATATACAAACCATACATATATATATATATAGTTTGTTCTGTTTATGGTAATGTTGAGCTTTACCTGAGCCAAGTATTTTGGAAAATAGCACTAGGTGAAGAAATCCCCCACCCTTTGTCTTCTGGAAAAGGCTTCTTAAAAAAAAAAAAAATCCTTCCCCGGGTGTCCAGGACGAGACCAAATGATGCTCACTTAAGTACCTCCGACAAGGCCAGAAGCTGAGTTTTCACATTCCCGTTCTGCGCCTTATAAATGGTCAGCTGATTTGTTTATACCCAGTGCCCAAATAATCAACCAAACTTCAGTCAGGTGTGTCTCGCTCCCTAGGCCCTTGAACTTTGACCATGCCTTCAGCATTGGGATGCAGAGCAGCCTCTCCTTGAATACCCCTCCTGAGAACCAGCTGACCTTCAGGAGAAGCTTTCCCTAGTCAGTGCTCCCAGCTGATCTTTCTAGCCTTGCTTACCCCTCCCTATAAAAGAAAATTCCTTTCTGCCCAATCGTTGAGCTACTTGCACATCTCATGACCAGAGCTCTCCCTATTGCAGTAGTCTCACTCCCCTTATAGCAGTTACTTTTTCAAATAAAGTTTCTCTTATGTCTGGATTTGGTTTTAACTGGACGTTTGCGTTTATTCCCCCTGTGGCCTGTACCTGTTGCCTAGTTTGAGTTCTTAAAGCGCCTTCATACTAACAGTAATAGGAACTTCCTGTGTTCCAGTCTCTCCATGTGGTACTTTTGACACATTAGCTCTATTTTTCTGTCTCATACCAGGGAAATATTTTTATTTATATTTTACACTCAGGGACACTGAGGCTCAGGTACGTTAAATAACTTTGCAAATGGTGCATATCTCCTCAATGAGAGATGTAGACTTGGAAGATTTCTGTGACTGCACAGCCATCAGTTTTTCTACTATCTCACTTCTATTAACTCTTTGGGGTCACAGTTACTATAAAAACCAGTAATGATGATGACAGCTCTACTATTTCGGGAATTGTATGCCAGTTCTTGTGCCAAGTTCCCTGTGTGTTATTTCCCACATAATACACAATACTTTGTGGCATGCTTGTGTAGGGAAATCTGGGCATGAGTGGAAAAGATACGCTGAAGGGGACTGGAAGGGCCTTTTTCCCCTTGGAGACTCTTAATAAACTGTGTTATGCAACTGCATTTTGATTATGACCCATCACATGAGGTCAGGGGTGGAATTTTCCACTTGTGGCGTCAGCTCAGCACTCAAGAAGTGTCAGATTTGGGAGCATTTCAGATATTGGGTATTTGGTGTAGGGGTGCTTAACCTGTATTTACATGAAAGAAACGTGAGGTTTGAGCAAGTTGGCTGATTGGCCCAGGCCCATGAAGTTGACAGGTATCAAAGTGATGACAAAACTGATACCCTGCACCTTGTGAATTTCTGCAAACTACCTGGGTCCCTGGGTTGTAGCCCCTCCAGTGCCTACATCAGCTGCTGCAGTTTTAAGCGCACAAGTGCACCTCCAATTCATCAGTCCTTGTTTGCTTTGCCAGTATGAGTTTCTCTAAAGATGGAGCTTTGGTTTCAAAGTAATAATCACAGTATTCAATCTATTTTCTGTTTATGTTGAGATTAATGTTTATCACTTAAATAAATGATTGAATAGGGAAAGAATGTTTTTCAAACCTGTGGCATGCATCATTTCAGCTAAGGGAGAAAAACATTTAAGTTACTGAGTTACTTAACTCCCCTAACCTTTGCTTTGTCTCCTTTTCAGTACAATGGACATCTCAAGATACCTACTTTATAGAAATGTAGTGAAGATTAAAGAGATGAACAAAGAGTCTCTGGCCCAGTGCCTGGCACATAGTAAAACACTTCGACAGTTGCTACAGCAACTAGTAGTAATTCTAATAAGAGTTTTTCGTTTTCCCCCAAGCTATCTGTTTATATCAAAGGAGTATTTTGTATATTTCTGACATGAGCTAAGTTCTAAAGTAAGTAATGGCAGATAACTCAACCTGGTTCATTGTATTAATAACAGTCAGTTGTATTTGTGATTTAAGTAGTACTATTTAAAAATTGGAATTGTATTGTGTTGGCCAGGTGCGGTGGCTCACGCCTGTAATCCCAGCACTCTGAGAGGCTGAGGTGGGCAGATCAGGTTAGGTCAGGAGTTTGAGAACAGCCTGAGCAACATGGAGAAACCTCGTCTCTACTAAAAATACAAAAGTAGCTGGGTGTGGTGGCAGGCGCCTGTAATCCCAGCTACTCGGGAGGCTGAGGCAGGAGAATCTCTTGAACCCGGGAGGCAGAGGTTGTGGTGAGCCGAGATTGTGCCACTGCACTCCAGCCTGGGTGATAAGAGCGAAACTCCATCTCAAAAAAAAAAAAAATTGTATTGTGTTGAAAATAATACATTTGTGAAAATGAGCCTCCTAAGCTTTACTTCTACTGTTTTGAAAATGTAGTTAATGATTTCTTGCCTAATTATTAATAAATTCAAAAACTGCAATAAAAAATGAATATTGTAGAATTTCTAGAACACTCCAAAACTACTCATCAATTTAGCTCTATAAAATTGAACTGTAAACATGACTGGTGTTTTTATTATATATGAGTGTGACAGAAGCCCTTTGGGGCTTCATCTATTCTCTGTTGCTATATTCAGTTGATTTAAGATTCTGAGGCTTATTTTTTCATTAATTCTGAATTTTTCAAGTTAATGTAATATGAACACATGTTCCTTTTCCCATGGATGAAAAAATAAGCTTAATGAAGAAAATTATTTAGGCTTTGCTATACCAGAAGAAACTCTAGCCTTTGGTGCTGGTGCAGTCAGGGTTGACCCTCCCTGCCCTCTGTCTGCTTCATCTCCTTCATCTTCCTTGATTGCTGGGTAAGCAGACACATTCCCTGTCCTGATTGTGTCACTGCTGGTATTAGGATGAAAAATGCATCAGAATTTATGAAGATGTCTTTTTTTCTAGTTCTGAGTATGAGGTTCTTTAAATGTTTCCAAAATAATGTGTCTTTCCCCCATACATCTCCAGGTACAATTCTCTGTGAGGTTAGGTTTTCTTTTTTTCTTTTTTTTTTGGAAATGGAGTCTCGCTCTGTCACCCAGGCCAGAGTGCAATGGCGTGATCTCAGCTCACTGCAACCTCCTCCTCCCGGGTTCAAGTAATTCTCCTGCCTCGGCCTCCTGAGTAGCTGGGACTATACAGGTGCATGCTGCCACGCCTGGCTAATTTTTATTGTATTTTAGTAGAGACGGGGTTTCACTGTGTTGCCCAGGCTGGTCTCGAACTCCTGAGCTGAGGCAATCTACCAACCTTTGCCTCCCAAAGTGCTAGGATTACAGGCGTGAGCCACTGCGCCCAGCTGAGGTTAAGTTTTCATGTGCAAGTACCTCAAATCAGTATTTCCAAAGAAAATTTTTTGCCACCAAAGCACCACCTTTGTAGTTAGCCCTATTGGTTAATGGCCTTTTCATTGTCATGTATTTTAAGCCTGGCAATATTTTTCTCCCTTCTCCCAGGTTGTCTCTTCACATTGTATTTATTCTCTCTTGATAATGTCTCTCACATTCCCCTTTCTATTTCCACATCCATATCCTAAATTCAGATTGTCCCTCTCTCTTGAAATATGTTGAATAGGTTCTTAATTGAGCTCCCCACCTCCAGCTCCCCTCAGCCCTTTAGTTAATCTTGGAACAGTGCTCATGCAAATTAAGTGCTTTAATTACTCTTTGATTTGAATTGAATTTTATCGAAGAAGCCAGCTATCTGTGGATATGGAGTTTTCAGCGTTGGTTCATATCTTAACAGCAACACCTTGAGAGCAGAGTAGTACCACTTTCAAGTGCATATACCTATTTGTCAAAATTTCTTTGCATCATTTACTGTAACTCACTTCGGTTTGTAATCAACATAATAGCTTTTCCTTTTTCAAACTTTTTTTTAAAGCAAAGGATCAACTCTGGGACATGCATTTCATTGGTTTTAAAAGTTCTCAGTCTCTGGAAAATGAATATAATAAGAAACATTTCTATAATATAGCACTAAAGGAGATAAATGTCAGGTTGTCAGAAAACTTAAATGAATAATGGTATTTGAGGCATTTGTTTTTCTTGCAAATTGAGATACGATAATTACTGCTATTTAAATTCTCCACCCCCACCCCCAACTTGGTTTTGCTTAGATGTCTTTGGGATTGGGGGCTTTGGGACACACAAGTCATTTTTCTCTCCTGTCAGAAGTTCTTTAAGGATTAAAAACAATTTTTATTTTCTCTATGAGAAACCAAAGCATGTAAAGTTGAAAGGCAGCAAAGACGAGCGCTGCTTTTAAAACAGCATTGTACATGGCTCATGCCTGTAATCCCAGCCCTTTGGGAGGCCGAGACGGGCGGATCATGAGGTCAGGAGATCGAGACCATCCTGGCTAACATGATGAAACCCTGTCTCTACTACAAACACAAAAAAATTAGCCCGGCGAGGTGGCAGGTGCCTGTAGTCCCAGCTACTCGGTAGGCTGAGGCAGGAGAATGGCGTGAACCTGGGAAGTGGAGCTTGCAGTGAGCCGAGATCACGCCACTGCACTCCAGCCTGGGCAACAAAGCAAGACTTCGTCTCAAAAAAAAAAAAAAAAATACAGCATTGTACAATACTTTGCAAAATGAAGGTGGGCATGTAGTTTGAAGACATGCAAACCTTTATAAAATAAAAAAGTGGGCATACAGTTCGAAGTAATAAATGGGCCTAAGGACCTAAGGATGAACCAGTTGTTTTTGCCTCATTGAAATGCTTTTTTCTTAAATATATATCTTTCCTCTTGCTGTTGTTTTTGCTCTTTTTTTTTTTTAACAAAAAAGTAGACTGAGAGCTACTAGTGCAGTTACGTTACGTGGATATATTGTGTAGTGGTGATGTCTGGGCTTTAAGTGTACCCATCACTTGAATAGTGAACATTGTACCCAATAGGTAGTATTTCATCCCTCACCCCAAAATTGATTTAAAAGATGAAAACTCACTATGTAATTGTGGCATGCAATTAGGTTAATAAGTTATTAAAAATATGATCATTCATGTCAGCCTAATCTCTTTATTTGAAATATGACTCTGTTCATCTTACAGTTCAACATGGGAAGATTCCATGGCCATGCTTAGCGTGAAGGCTTTTTACTCATTTCAAGAATGTGAGAGGGGTGGGGTGGCAGGGGGAAGACAGAGCAAGATGGCCAAATTGAAGCCTGCAGTGGTTGTTCCCCGGCAGAAACACCAAATTGAACAACTGTACATACAAAAAAGTACCTTCATAAGAACAAAAGACCAGGTGGGTGATTGCAGTATCTGGTTTTAACAGTATATTAAGGAAAGAGGCACTGAAGAGGGTAGAAAAGACAGTCTTGAATGGTTGATGTCACCATTCCGCCATTCTCCTGCACAGTCCATGAGACGTGGAGAAAGAATCTTTGTGCTTGGGGGAAGGAGAGTGCAGTGATTGTGGGACTTTGTATTGTAACTCAGTGTTGCCCTGTCACAGTAGAAAGCAACACCAGGAAGAACTCAGCAGGTTCCCAAGGAGGGAGCATTTAGACCAGCCCTAGCCAGAGGCAAATTGTCCATGCCAATGGTCAGAACCTGAGTTCCGGCAAGCTCCACCACCACAGGCTAAAGTGCTCTGAAGTTCTAAATAAACTTGAAAGGCAGTCTAGGCCACAAGGACTGCAAGGAAAGTCCTGGTCCTGTACTGAGCTCAGAACCAGTGGACCTGGGGTACACATGACCTAAGAAGATATCAGCTGGTGAAGGGAGTGCTTGAGCTGCTCCCCACTAACTCTAGGCAACACAGCTCACAGCTCCAGGCAGCTCCTTCTTCCCTTTGTTTCAGAAGAGGAGAGGAGAGAGTAAAGAGGATATTGTTTTGCAACTTGGATACTAGTTCAGCCATAGTAGCATAGGGCACCAGGCAGAGTCCTGAGGCCTCTGTTCTAGGCCTTGGCTTCCAGACAGCGTTTCTAAACATACCCTGAGCTGGAAGAGAACCTGCTGCCTTGAATGAAGGGAGGGACTCAGTTCTTGCAGAGTGCATCACCTGCTAACCGAAGAGCACTGGGCCCTGAATAATCAGCAGTGATAGCCAAGCAGTACTTGCTGCAGGCCTTGAGTGAGACTCAGAGCCCTGCTGGCTTCAGTTGTGAACAGCACATTCCCAGCTGTGGTGGCTACAGGGAGAGATCCCTTCTGCTTGAGGAAAAGAGAGGGAAAAGTAAAGAGGACTTTATCTTGCCGCTTGGGTACCAGTTTGGCCACAGTATGGCAGAGGATCAAGTGGGCTCCTAGGATCTCTGATTTCAGGATTTGGCTCCTGAATGACATTCCTGGACCTGTCCTGGGCCAGAGGAAAGACAACTTCCCTGAGGAGAGAGACTCAGGACTGGCAGCATTCACCACAAGCTCACTGAAGAGCCCTTGGACCTCGAGTGAATGTCATTGGTAGCCAGGCAATACTCTCCATGTGCCCGGAGCAGTGGTGGTCAGAGAGATTCCTCTGCTTGAGGAAAGGAGAGGGAAGGGCAGAAAGGACTTTGTCTTATGGTTTGGGTGCCAGCTTAGCTGCGGTAGAATAGAGCACCAAGTAGATTTCTAAATTTCCCAACTCCAGGCCGTGACTCCCAGAAAACATCTCTGGACCTGACCAGAGCCAGAGAGAACTTACTGCCCTGAAGGGAAGGACACAAGCCTGGCAGGATTTCCCATATACTTATTGCAGAACCCTTGGGACTTGAGTTAACATAGGTGGTAGCCAGGCAGTAATTGTTGTAGGCCTTGGGTGAGACCCAGTGTTAGGCTGGCTTCATTTCTGACCCAATATAGTCCCAGTGGCGGTGGCCACAGGAGTGCTTGTGTCACCCCTCCCACAGCTTCAGGCAGCTCTGGAGAGAGAGAGAGAGAGAGAGAAAGAAAGAGAGAGGAGAGGGGAGAGAGACAGAGAGACAGAGACAGATTTCATCTGTTTGGAGGGAAGTAAGGGATGAGAACAAGAGTCTCTGCCTGGTAATCCAGGGAATTCTTCTGGAAGTTACCCAAGACCACCACGGTGGTATCTGTACAAGCCTGCAATAGCCACAGTGTTATTGGGCTTGGGGCACCCCTAAAGTAGAAACGGGTAAAGTGACCAAAAACTTAGATGACTACACCCATGTCCCTTCAAATACCTGGAAAGCCTTCCCAAGGATAGGCAGAAACAAGCCCAGACTGAAAAGACTACAGTGAATACCTAACTCTTCAAAACCCAGACACTGACAAACACCCAAAGCATCAAGACCTTCCAGAAAAACATGACCTCACCAAACTAAGTCACCTGTAGCCAATCCTGGAGAGAGAGAGAGATATGTGAGCTTTCAGAAAGGGAATTCAAAATAGCTGTTTTGAAGAAGCTCAGTGGAATCCAAGATAACACAGAGAAGGAGTTCAGAGTTGTATTAGACAAATCTAATGAAGAGAGGGAGATATAAAGAATCAAGCAGAGATTCTGGAGCTGAAAAATGCAGCTGGCCTACTGAAGAATGCATCAGAGTCTGTTAATAGCAGAAATAAGCAAAACAAAGAATTAGTGAGCTTGAAGACAAGCTGTTTGAAAATACACAGTCAGAGGAGACAAAAGAGAAAAGAATACAAAACAATGAAGCATGCCTGCAGAATCTACAAAATAGCCTCAAAAGGGCAATCTAAGAGTTATTGGCCTTAAAGAGGAGGCAGAGAGAGAGAGAGAAAAGTTAATTCAAAGGGATAACAGAAAACTTCCAAAACCTAGAGAAAGATATCAATATTTAAGTACAGGAAGGTAATAGAACACTAAGCAGATTTAACCCAAATAAGACTATCTCATGGCATTTAATGAACTCCCAAAGGTCAAAGATAAAGAAAGGATCCTAAAAGCAGCAAGAGAAAAGAAATAACAAAGATCTCCAAAATGTATGGCAGCAGATGTTTCAGTGGAAATCTTACAAGCCAGGAGAGAGTGATATTACATATTTAAAGTACTCAAGGAAAAAAAATCTTCTAACCTACAATAGTATATCCAGTGAAAATATCCTTCAAACATGTATATTTAGGAGAAATAAAGACTTTCCCAGACAAACAAAACACCAGAACTATCCTGCAAGAAATGCTAAAGGATTCTTTCTTCAATCTGAAAGAAAAGGATGTTAATGAGTAATAAAAAACTATCTGAAAGTAGAAAACTTACTGGTAATAGTAAGTACACAGAAAAATAAAGAATATCATAACACTATTGTAGTATGTAAACTACTCATATCTTGAGTGGAAAGACTAAACAATGAATCTATCAAAAATAATAACCACAACTTTTCAAGACATAGATAGTATGATATAAACAGAAACAACAAAAAGTTAAAAAGCAGGGGTATGAAAAGTATAGTGTTTTTATTAGTTTAATTGTTTATGCAATCAGTGTTGTCATCTGTTTAATATAATGGGTTACAAGATGTTATTTGCAAGCCTCACAGTACACTCAAAGCAAAAACTTAAAACAGATCTAGAAAAAATAAAAAAGCAAGCAATAAAAACATATCACTTGAGAAAATCACCTTCATTAAAAGGAAGACAGGAAGGAATGAAAGAAGAAAGAGAAGACTACAAAACAACCAGAAAACAAATAACAAAATAGCAGGAGTAAATCCTATTCATCAATAATAACATTGAATGTAAATGGACTAAACTCTAATCGAAAGATGTAGAGTGGCTGAATGGATAAATAAAACTAGCTGCAATGATCTGTTGCCTGCAAGAACACACTTCGCCTATAATATAAAGACACACATAGACTAAAAATAAAGAGATATGGAAGAAGATGTTGCATGAAAATAGAAACCAAAAAGAGCAGGAGGAGCTATGCTTATATCAGACAAAATAGCCTTCAAGACAAAAACTATGGTAAGAGACAAAGAAGGTCATTATATGACAAAGGGGTCAATTCAGCAAGAGATATAACAATTGTAAATATATATGCACCCAACACTGGAGCACTCATATATGTTATGTAAAGTTATTATTAGATAAGACCCCAATACAATAATAGCTGGAGACTTCACCCACTGTCAGCATTGGAAATATCATCCAGACAGAAAGTCAGCAAACATCTTACTTAATCTGCAGTACAGACCAAATGGACCTAATAGACATTTACAGAACATTTTATCCAATGGCTGCAGAGTACACATTCTTCAGCTCATGGATCATTCTCGAGGAAAGACCATATTTCAGGCCACAAAACAAATCTTAAAACATTTTTTTAAAAATTATGTCAAATATCTTCTCTGACCACCATGGAATAAAATTAGAAATCAATAACAGCTGAAATTTTGGAAATTATACAAACACATGGAAATTAAACAATATGCTTCTGAATGACCAGTGGGTCAATGAAAAAATTAAGAAAATTTTAAAAATATATTGAAACAAATGAAAATGGAAACGCAATGTATCAAAACCTATGAGATATGGTGAAAGCAGTATTCAGAGGAAAGTTTATAGTAGTAATTGCCTACATCAAAAAGTAGAAAAACTAATGATACATTTTAAACAACTAGAAAAGCAAGTGAAAACCAGACCCAAAATTAGTAGAAGGAAAAATAAAGATCAGAGCAGAAATAAATGAAATTGAAATGAAAAAATACAAAAGGTAAATGAAACAAAAAGTTGTTTTTTTGAAAAAAGAAATCAAATTGACAAATCTTCAGAAAAAAAGAGAAGACCCAAATAAAATTAGAGATGAAAAAGGAGACATTACAATTGATATCATAGAAATTCAAAGATCATTAGAAGATACTGTGAGCTACTATATACCAATAAATTGGAAAACCTAGAAGAAATGGATATGTTTCTAGACACACACAACCTACCAAGATTGAACCACTAAGAAATGCAAAACCTGAACAGACGAAGTAATGAGATCAATGCCATAATGAAGTCGCTCAGCAAAGAAAAGCGCTAGATTTGATGGCTTAACTGCTGAATTTTAGCAAATGCGTAAAGAACCACTAATACCAATGCTACTCAAACTGTTTCATAAAACTGATGAGGAAGGAATACTTGCAGATTCATTCTAGGAGGCTAGTATCACCCTGATACAAAAACCAGACAAAGGCACATTAAAAAAAAAAAAAAAAAACTGCAGGCAAGTAACCCTGATGAATATAGATGCAAAAATCCTCAACAAAATACTAACAAACTGAATTCAGCAACACATTAAAAAAAGCATTTATCATGACCAAGCGGGATTTATTCCAGTTACGCAAGGATGGTTCAACATATGCAAATCAATCAATGATACATCATATGAACACAAGGACAAAAACGATATGATTATTTCAATTTTTGCTGAAAAAGCATTTCATAAAATTCAACATCCTTTCATGATTAAAAACCCACAGAAACTGTGTATAGAAGGAACATACCTTGACACAATAAAAGCCATATATGACAGACCCACAGCTAATATAGTGAAGGGGAAACACCTGAAGGTTTTCTCCCTACAATCTGAAATGAGACAAACATGCTCACTTTCACCACTGTTATTCAACATAGTACTGGAAGTCATAGCTAGAGAAATCAGACAAGAGAAAGATATAAAGGGTATCCAAGTTGGATGTCAAATTATCCTTGTTTGCAGATGATACGATCTTATATTTGGAAAAATCTAAAGACTCTACCAAAAAACTATTAGAACTGATAAACAAATTGAGTACAGTTGCAAGATATAAAAATCAACATACAAAAATCAGTAGCATTTTTATATGCCAACAGTGGACAATCTGAAAAATAATTCAAGAAAGTAATTCCATTTACAATAACTACAAATCAACTACCTAGGAATAAACTTAACCAGAGAAGTGAAAGATGTCCACAGTGAAATCTATAAAACATTGATGTAAAAAATTGAAGAGGACACAAGATAAATGGAAAGATATTCCATGTTCATGGTTTGGAAGAATCAATACTGTTAAAATGCCCATTCTATCCAAAGCAATCTGCAGATTCAATGCAATCCATATAAAAATACCAATGACATTCTTCATGAAAATAGAAAAAAATAATCTTAGCATTTACATAATACCACAAAAGACCCAGAATAGCTAAAGCTATCCTGAGCAAAAAGTACTGGAGGAATCACATTATCTGACTTCAAATTATACTACAGAGATATAGTAACCAAAACAGCATGGTACTGGCATAAAAACAGACACATAGACCAATGGAACACTATAGAGGACCCAGAAATAAATCCATACATCTACAGCAAACTCATTTTCAACAAAGTTGCCAAGAATATGCATTGAGGAAAACACAATCTCTTCAGTAAGTGGTGCTGGGAAAACTGAATATCTATATGCAGAAGAATAAAACTAGACCCCTATCTCTTGCCATATACAAAAATCAAATCAAAATGGATTAAAGACTTAAATATAAGACCTCAAACTATGAAACTTCTACAAGAAGACACTGGGGGAACTCTCCAGGACATTGGTCTTGGCAAAGATTTCTTGAGTAATACCCTACAAACACAGTTAACCAAAGCAAAAATGGACAAATGGGATAGCTTAAGTTAAAAAGCTTCTGCATAGCAAAGTAAACAAATTTGAAGAGCAAATTTGAAAGCAATTTGAAGAGACAACTCACAGAATGGGAGAAAATATTTGCAAACTATTCATCTGACAAGGGGTTAATAACCAAAATATATAAGGAGCTCAAACAATTCCATAGGAAAAAAAATCTAATAATCTGATTAAAAAATGAGCAGAGATCTGGATAGACATTTCTCAAAAGAAACATACAAATGGCAAATATATGAAAAGGTTCTCAACATAACTGATCATCAGAGAAATGCAAATCAAAACTACAGTAATATCCCAGTTAAAATGGCTTATTGAAGAGGACACAAAATAATGAAAAGATATGCAAAAGACAGGCAATAACAAGTGCTGGAGAGGACGTTGAGAAAAGTGAACTCTCATACATTGTTGGTGGGAATGTAAATTAGTACAACCACTGTGGAGGACAGTTTGGAGGTTACTCAAAAGACTAAAGAGCTACCATATGATCCAGCAAACTCGCTGCTAGGTATATACCCAAAAGAAAGGAAATCAGTGTATTGAAGAGCTATCTGTACCCCCGTGTTTATTGCAGCATTGTTCACACTAGCCAAGATTTGGAAGCAACCTAAGTGTCCCTAACAGAGGAATGGATAAAGAAAATATGATACATATACACAATGGAGTACTATTCAGCTATAAAAAAGAATGATATCTTGTCATTTGCAACAACCTGGATGGAACTGGAGGTCATTGTGTTAAGTGAAATAAGCCAGGCACAGAAAGACAAACATCACATGTTCTCACTTCTTTGTGAGAACTAAAAATTTAAAACAACTGAGCTCACGGAAAGAGAGAGTAGAAGGATTGTTACCAGAAGCTGGGAAGGGTAGTTGGGGAGGGGGAGATGGTTAATGCATACACAGATGTTGTTACATATGATGTATAAGATCTAGTATTTGATAGCATAACAGGGTGACTACAGTCAACAGTAATTTGTTGTACATTTTAAAATAGCTTAAAAATATGATAGGATTGTTTGTAACACAAAGGATAAATGCTTGAGATGATGTATATCCCATTTACCCTACGTGATTATTATGTATTGTATTCCTGCATCAAAATATCCCTTGTACCCCATAAATGTACCTACAACATATCTTATATGTACCCACAACAATTTTTTAAAAAAATGAATGCAGGGGAACCTAGAAATACCTAGTTCTTTTCCTTGAGTCAAGCCTTTTGAGCAAGAGACAAGATCTTTTAGTGAACTCAGTTCTGCCATAGTGTTGCTATGGTGGTTTTACTTGTTTACTTCTGTTTTTTCACAGGATTTCAAGGCATATTAGGATGTTATGATGATGATTCCAAACTGTGCAAATAAAGGGCAAATTACATGTTCTTCCACAAAAGGAGCTTCTGTTATCCCTCTTTGCCACACACTTGCTAGAATGGCCAAAGTAGTTGTTATTTTCTTAAAGTTAAACTGATTCGTGGATAATAATTAACAGCTGCTATCATTAACCTTTATTGTGTCAGGCCCTGTGCCAATTATTTAATCTTACCACAACAGGGTAAGGTACATATTGTGATTGTCTCCATTTTACATAAGTTAACACTGATGCCCAGAGAAGTTAAGTAAATTGCCCAAAGCCAGAGTTTCAACTGGTCTAAGTTTTTTTGATTGGAAACCATGTCTATTTTCTGGGCAACTTCTCTGGGCATGCTATAACCTCCCACATGGACAGCTTGGCAAGTTCATGCCTTATTACAGTTTGAAATGTTACACGTCCCCTTCCTTTCCCCAGTAAATGATGGGTTTCCTAGACGTTTTATTTCTCTGTTCTGAGAAGGAGAAATGGAAGGAGGAGAAAGGATGGCGGGGGAGAGGAGTAATGTGTATATTTAGTCACTATCAATGACATTTTAGGGCCAATAGGGCCAACTGAAACAGAGTTCTGCCCACAGTTAGTGTTTCATTGGTTAGCCTTATGTGATTAAATCCTTCTAAATGCAATTAAATCCTTATCAACCAAAAGAAGAAAAATTATGTTCTCTTTAGGGAAATAAGTATAGATATATCATTTTCCTTAGATTTGTGAACTATTTCTTCAGAAAACCAAAGCTGATTCCCAAGAGACAAGAAAAACAGGATTTTTTTTTCCTTCTCAACATTTACATGAAATAACACCTAAGTACTTTAAAGTGTGAACACATGTCCCATGGTACTCAATGATGTGATATATCTGTTGCCTTCTGCCACCTACAAATGAAGAAAAGATTTTGAAGAGAGTAACATCATTTTTAAACTTTCTTATTTGTGAAGTTCCCTTGCCATGCTAAAGCCTGAGGAGCCAATGCATTGCCTCCAGGTGGTGAATGTTGGGTAGAAATTAGCTGGAGCAGCTGCTCCCTCAGTGTGGCACAGCACAGAGGTGGTCAGTGCACATCAGGCTGTGACAATATGACCAGGAATACATGGAGTGATACAGAGCAGGGTTGGTTTTGTGTCGGCCTGCCTATTGGGAGGACTGTGCCATGACTGTGTAGATACAGCCAGAAAAGTCTTTTGGACTCACAAGTATTAGCCCAGTGATCTCCCTGCAGCATGCCCTCAGTGGCTCCCCAGCTGTCTTAGCCCGGTCCAGCATGGTTGGCACCTTCCTGTCTTTCCTTGTCCGCCTGGGGCCATAACCTCCTGTTTGCCACCCTCCTATGTTCTCTGTCCTGATGGGCTGAATTCTAGTCCTCCTGCTCTCCAAGCCCTTTATCCTGGCGGATCTCTTGCTTTTGCTCCTACCTCGATGCTCTTCCCTCCTCTCTTCACTACCCTGCTTTCCGCTCTCAGCTCCTGCATTAATTCCTCAGTGGTGTTCTCCCTGCCTTGGTCAGATCCTCTAATTATACATTCTTTTCACACCCCATGCCTTTCTGTCGAGGACTTGCCCTAGGTGCATTTGACATTTGGGTTCTTACAGTGTTTGGGAGAGGAGGTAGGGTTGAGTGGTTGAGCCATGGGCACTCAAGCCATACCGTTGGCTTCAAACCAAACTTGGCCACTTAGCAACCTTGCCAACTCTGTGCCTCAGTGGCTCCTCTGTAAAAGGGGAGTGATCACTGTACCTCATTCTTAAAGGTGTGGTGGAGAGTAAATGAGTTGATATTAGAACGGCAGCTGATGTCTAGAATGGGCTTACTGCATGGTAGCTCTCTTTAATATTTGATGTAATGATCATCCTTCCATTAGATTGTGAACTCCAGGCAGACAAGGGCTATAACTGTTTTTGTTGCATAACATCCCCCCGGTCCTGCTGAAATGCCTCACTCACTGTGGGGCACCCATTCAGTGTTAGTTTTTACTGTGTACCAGCACTGAGTCAGGCGAACTGAAGACTTCAACCTCGGTTTCAACCGGTAGTCTGTCATAGGATTTACAGATTCATGTAACGCTCTTGACAGGGATGGTTATAGTTTTTACCTGGCTTAAAGGGGGGCGGGGGTTCCCTTTTTTTAAAATCAATTTCAATCTTATTTGGAAGCTCAGTGTATCAAACACATTCAAAATAGAGGTGCTTTGCTTAGGAAAGAGCATGGCTTGTTTGGGATCCCCCATCCTTATCCTGCCTCTGACTGCCTCTGGAAACCTTTGCCCTAAATAATGATGGTCTGCTTTCTAAGGCTATTGGGTGAGAGACCAACTTGGAATGCTTAATAAGCAAGCATGGAAGTAACTTGCAGAAGAAAAAAGACTTCAGCCTTTTAATGTCAAAAATATCAAATAGGGAATAATTTCAAGTGGTGATGTCAGGGACAGCTGCGTTGTCTGTACAGCGTTGGAGAGAAGATCCTGCTTCGGCATAGCCTATGATTTTGAAGGCTACTCTATAGCTGCCACCTTTCATCTTAAAGAAAAAGGATTTTAATTATGACAATGAGAACAAGATGACATATTGTTTTATTAGTTGCTTAATTTTATTTAGCTGACTCACTTAGTATGGGAATGTCTCTAGGGGCTGCTGGAGAGTCTCTTTCTATAAAAGGAGAGAGATCCCAAGAGGCAGATTTGTTTAAGAGTGTTGCATAATGTGCTCTACGTCTTGGGTTTCTACCATTCTCAGGTTATGAACTGTAGAGCTGGATTTTTTTGGTAATTTTTCTAATCAAAAGGAAAATCAATAAGGCTCACTACTGAATAACATATTTAATAACTTGATAAAATAATCAGAGTTTTTGGCACTTACAGAATTAGATTAAATAAAGATTTTATTTTTCAGTGTGAAGAAAAAATTTTTATTAGTTACCATAGTGAAATGGGAAGAGTATTTTTTTGCCGTTAACGTTAAGGGAGTTTTCTTAAAGAAAGTGTTCTGTGCCAGGGTTGTTACATATGGTATTCTCTTTTGTTATTTTTTAAACTTAACCTTAAAATATATTTCCTTTAAATAGATTCCTAAGTTTGGGACTGATGACTAAGGTTCCCTTAAATTTGTACGTACTTAAGTTGATTCACTACTTCCAACATGAATTATATTCTGAACAAGGAAAGAAAAAATATTTAGCTGTTATGGGCCATCTGGCTTTAAAATGTAGAGAATTGTCTTCCAGCCTGCATCTATTTTAGAGTGACTATTGGATCAGAATTCCAATGAATCTGAAACAGTAGATTCACAAATTAAACTTTAATGCTTTGAGGATTGTAAATCACAGCACATGTGGGGTGATACATGTTTTGGGAGAGATGGATCCTCCTGACCCACATGTAAAAAATTAAAGCTGTCTGTATTCTGTGTTTATTGAATGTATTTATTTTACCAAGGTGGATCTGAATAAACAGTTTCTAGGTTTATAATATTATTGGGATTTTTTAAAACTAAAAAATTCGTTTAGTTGAATTATGCAATATAAATCCTTAGCAATATCCCCAAAAAGTTTTTCCAAAGAAGTAATATTGGTTCTTGATGTTTCCTCATGGTTCTTTTTTTTTTAACCAATATAAAAGCAAATTTTAAAAAAAGGTGTTATTTCCCTTGGAAGGAAGCTGTGATTCCCATGGTTGGTTATTAGTCCAAAGCCGTGGAACTTCTTTCCTTATAAACCTCTCATTCTGGCAAGACAGGACACTTGGACAATGATTTTCCTAATAAGTATAACCAAAAGACTTTCCCTAATTTTAATGTTTCCCAAAATAAGTCCTCATCAGATTTGCCCCCCGAAAGGTAAGTGAGGAAAGTTCAAGACAAGTTTGATAGACATATTTGTTGAAGACATTTCTTAATTTCAGATTTTTTGATATGTGAATATGCCAGTTACGAACTTCTGAAAAGAGGGTTGTGGAGAGGAGGACTATAAGAAGTAGTGTTTTCTGAACTATTTTGACCTTTGGCTATTTTACAGGACTTTTGGGTTGCTGATTGCAACATGAGAGAAGGACATCTTGTCTGGTGGGCATATACATGTACATAGCCTTTTTAAGAGAAGCTTTTGGGTTTGATATGGCAGTAGATTGCCCTGCTCACCTCCCCAACCCCAATATATTTGAACATTTCTGAAATTGGGATGCGGTTTACAATCATTCCATGTGTTTTCTTGTTTTTTAACTTGCAGGAATGCTGTTAATGAACTGAGAGTGCCTTAAAATTAATTAAGTAATTCAGCTTTTAATTTTAATTTGTTCATGCTCAGCCTACTGACTTTGCAAGAAGTACAGTATTAAGTGAAAAGCATTGAAGGAGAGGAAAAAGGCTATTTTGTGGAAAATGTCTTTATAATCAGCTTTATTGTTTAGAAGATCTAGAATCTGGTTAAAAAGCAAAATGAGCCATGCTTTTTGGCAGCTTATTGTGGTTTCAAACCACTGCTAAGCGCGTTGTACCTATGTATCTGTGGTAGCTATTACTGCCCCATTTTGAAAGTGAGGGCATTGAAACTCAAAGAGGTGCTGTAATTTATCTACCTTAATAGCTGATGGAGAATGAGATTTTAGTCTCAGGCAGTCTCATTTTTCCCAACCCACTCTTTGTTTTAGTTAATTGATCTTTGACATTTATTTACTTGGTGTATACTATCTTTATACCTTTGCATTATGGCATATACCAGTGATTTCTGGAACTAGGTCATTATTAGAATCACCTTGGAAACTTTGGTAAACTATAAATTTCTGGCTCAACCCTTAAAATATACTAATTCACTAGCTCTGGGATGTAGCTTGTATTTTAAACATTAATGTAAAAGCTCCAAGTGATTTTGATGAAGCTAGAATTGAGTATGACATCTAAACACATTATAAAAAATGCTTTTCTTTCCACCAACGATAAAAATGGGCTGGGCACTGTGGCTCATGCTTGTAATCCCAGCACTTTGGGAGAACAAGGTAGGAGGATCGCTTGAGCCCAGGAGCTCGAAACCAGCCCTAGCAGCATAGTGAGACTTTGTTTCTAAAAAAAAAAAAATAAGACAAATTAGCCAGGTGTGGTGGTGTACATTTGTAGTCCCAGCTTGCTTGGGAGGCTAAGGTGGGAGGATCCCTTGAGCCTAGGAGTTCAAGGCTGCAGTGAGCCGTGATTTGTGCCACTGCACTCCAGCCTGGGCGACAGAGTGAGACCATGTCTTTAAAAATATATATAGTAGAATGCACATAGCCCCCATATCATGAAGAACGTAATTGAATGATGTATGACTCCTGTATCAGCTTTTGACATCTAGAGTTGGCGGTCAAGGTGTGTTGAGAAAGCAGATGGGCATAAAAACCTAAAGCTACTGGGTACCTTTGCCTGAAATATATAACGGTGATTTCTTTTATTATTATTATTATTATTACACTTTAAGTTTTAGGGTACATGTGCACAACATGCAGGTTAGTTACATATGTATACATGTGCCATGTTGGTGTGCTGCACCCATTAACTCATCATTTAACATTAGGTATATCTCCTAATGCTATCCCTCCCCCCTCCCCCCACCCCACAACAAGCCCCTGTGTGTGGTGTGTGATGTTCCCTTTCCTGTGTCAATGTGTTCTCATAGTTCAATTCCCACCTATGAGTGAGAACATGCGGTGTTTGGTTTTTTGTCCTTGCCATAGTTTGCTGAGAATGATGTTTCCACCTTCATCCATGTCCCTACAAAGGACATGAACTCATCATTTTTATGGCTGCATAGTATTCCATGGTGTATATGTGCCACATTTTCTTAATCCAGTCTATCATTGATGGACATTTGGGTTGGTTCCAAGTCTTTGCTAGTGTGAGTAGTGCCGCAATAAACATACGTGTGCATGTGTCTTTATAGCAGCATGATTTATAATCCTTTGGGTATATACCCAGTAATGGGATGGCTGGGTCAAATGGTATTTCTAGTTCTGGATCCCTGAGGAACCGCCACACTGACTTCCACAATGGTTGAAGTAGTTTACATTCCTACCAACAGTGTAAAAGTGTTCCTATTTCTCCACATCCTCTCCAGCACCTGTTGTTTCCTGACTTTTTAATGATCACCATTCTAACTGGTGTGAGATGGTATCTCATTGTGGTTTTGATTTGCATTTCTCTGATGGCCAGTGATGATGAGCGTTTTTTCACGTGTCTTTTGGCTGCATAAATGTCTTCTTTTGAGAAGTGTCTGTTCATATCCTTCGCCCAGTTTTTGATGGGATTCTTTGTTTTTTTTCTTGTAAATTTGTTTGAGTTCATTGTAGATTCTGGATATTAGCCCTTTGTCAGATGAGTAGATTGCAAAAATTTTCTCCCATTCTGTAGGTTGCCTGTTCACTCTGATGGTAGATTCTTTTGCTGTGCAGAAGCTCTTTAGTTTAATTGGATCCCATTTGTCAATTTTGGCTTTTGTTGCCATTGCTTTTGGTGCTTTAGACATGAAGTCCTTGCCCATGCCTATGTCCTGAATGGTATTGCCTAGGTTTTCTTCTAGGGTTTTTATGGTTTTAGGTCTAACATTTAAGTCTTTAATCCATCTTGAATTCATTTTTGTATAAGGTGTAAGGAAGGGATCCAGTTTCAGCTTTCTACACATGGCTAGCCGGTTTTCCCAGCACCATTTATTAAATAGGGAATCCTTTCCCCATTTCTTGTTTTTGTCAGGTTTGTCAAAGATCAGGTGGTTGTAGATATGTGACATTATTTCTGAGGGCTCTGTTCTGTTCCATTGGTCTATATCTCTGTTTTGGTACCAGTACCATGCTGTTTTGGTTACTGTAGCCTTGTAGTATTGTTTGAAGTCAGGTAGTGTGATGCCTCCAGCTTTGTTCTTTTGGCTTAGGATTGACTTGGCAATACGGGCTCTGTTTTGGTTCCATATGAACTTTAAAGTAGTTTTTTCCAATTCTGTGAAGAAAGTCCTTAGTATCTTGATGGGGATGGCATTGAATCTATAAATTACCTTGGGCAGTATGGCCATTTTCATGATATTGATTCTTCCTACCCATGAGCATGGAATGTTCTTCCATTTGTTTGTATCCTCTTTTATTTCATTGAGCAGTGGTTTGTAGTTCTCCTTGAAGAGGTCCTTCACCTCTCTTGTAAATTGGATTCCTAGGTATTTTATTCTCTTTGAATGTAAGGGTGCTTTCATGCCTCCTGATCCATATAGTCTTGATGTATTAAAAGTCTTCATTAAGAATAACTTCAGTGTAAACTGTCATGGATGGATTTGGGTAAGATGTCAACACACACATGATCTTCCACTCTTCAGTGCTGATATCAGTAAAAAAGAAGCCTCTCTAATCTGCCTCCAAATAGCTGCAGCTTCTTTGATCTAGTCTAATCAGAGGAACAAGCCCATTAGGGGTTAAAAGATTCTCTGCTGCTGCTGCTGCCATTAACTTAATTGCTATGATACAGTAAACTATGGGGAAGTCGAGTTAAATGCTGAAGTCTTTAGGGCAAGAGACTAAATAGGTTAGTTCCATAATTAATGTTGTATTTAAGAAGGTACATAGTGTTCCCCAAAGTGTGACCTTGCAGAAGTGACAATTATGTCTGAAGTCAGCATGAAAGTGAAGTAACAATTCAATTCTGGTTTGGGGAAGTGTGTGGGAGTGAATGTGGCAGAGTAGGTGTGAAATAAATGTTCTTTAGCATCAGTGAAGATTTGTCGGTAACCATCATTTCAGATATCTGGGAGTTGTGCAACCCTTCTGTTCTTTCTGAGTCATATATGTTTTTTAAAAAGTTATACTTTAAAAATATTTGTGAATATTTAAAGGCAACACTGTATCTTGTGTGTACAAACCCATCTGTGGGCTGACATTATTCAGGGGCATGTGATCAGATGTGGATTAATTGCATGTGGTGGAGCTTTTTATGCCAACTCTTTCAGATATTCTAGCTCACTGGCAGTGTCTTCATGAACGTGGATTGGCCATCTTTTGGATTAATGGGCTAGTTAAAGAAATCGAATCATTATGAGTCCAACCACTTGCTAGACTCAGTTTATCTCATTGCTAAAGGTATTAGAGCTGCATTTGGTGAACATATTTTTCTAATAATAGGCTTTGACTTCTTAAAATTATGTATTTTTTTCCTCTTGATGAATTTCTCTGAAAGCAGCCTAGTCCTAAAACTCACTTCTCCCCACTGACCAATGTTTATTCAAATAATTTTCCTCCATTTGGGCATGCAGCTACTACCACAAATCAAGCAGGGAAGTCATTCTCAGGATCCTTAATTGCAGAAGCTACTCATTTGTTTTAGTTATTTTCCCATGTAGGTTGCATAACCTTGAGGAAAGGGCATCTAGTATATTATATTGTTCCCATAATAGTTAAATGACTCTTTTTAGGAATCCTGATAATATCCATAATAATTATTATTCATACTAAAGCAAATAAACAAGCAACCCACTATGTGCCTATCTCTGTGCTCAACAAAACATTATCACATTTTGATCCTCACACTAAACTGGTTTTGTTCTGTAATTGGTTCATTTGGTTGGTTTTGAAGACGTGCATGTAGGCAAGTTGCTTTCATCTTGTTTTATGATGAAGGCTCATCAGTCACCTTGTAAATGGCCGTAAGATTGCTGAGCTGAAGCTCAATGATGGAGGGAAAAGACCTCAAAGTCTAATAATGGATGAGGGCCCTTGTTATCTAAGACATTGACTAGAAATTGAGTTCAGTCTTTGGTCAAGAAGAGTCTTGTCTGATCATAATGAAAACCCAACCCGATTGGGGTTGATATCTGAATTCTACTTTAACATCTGACTGTAGTGGCTGGATAATTTGCCTTCCTTTCCCTTCTTTCATCCATTCACTCCCCTCACCCTACCTCACCCACCCCATCTTAATTTGTATTTTGAATTTGAGTATTGTTTTTTAAAAATAAGGAAATTTAAAATATATATATTCTCAAGGTACTCATACTATAATATAGTCACTAAAGACATTGAGTTCAAAGTTGGGTTCATATCAGAGCTCTGCTGTTTGATAGTAAACTTGGGTTTATTATGGTAATATTAAACTTGGGTAATACCCAAGTTTGTTATGGTAAAACTTGCGTAAGTGACTTAAAAATCTCTGTGCCTCAGTTTCCTTATCTTTACAACCCTGGATAAGTAGTGTCTCCTGGGAAGGATTGTGGGAAATGAGGTTATGTGTGTAACAACTTTTGCACAGTGACTAGTGCCCAGAAAGGGCTCCAGATGTGCACAAGAAATGGTGGCCCTTTTATTAAGAAGATATATTTAGGACTTTAAAAGTTAGGTTAAGGCTGAGCGTGGTGGCTCACACCTATAATCCCAGCACTTTGAGAGGCTAAGGCAAGTGGATCACGAGGTCAGGAGATTGAGACCATCCTGGCTAACACGGTGAAACCCCATCTCTACTAAAAATACCAAAAATTAGCCGGGTGTGGTGGCAGGTGCCTGTAGTCCCAGCTACTCGAGAGGCTGAGGCAGGAGAATTGCTTGAACCCAGGAGGTGGAGGTTGCAGTGAGCCGAGATCATGCGAGTGCACTCCAGCCTGGGTGACAGAGTGAGGCTCTGTCTCAAGAAAAAAAAAAAAAAAGTTTGGTTAAAAAATAATGACTTTTGGTGCTGTGGGATTTGTGAGCTCAAGGACTTGTGCTGCAAGAACAACAAATAGCAGCCTGCTTATTTAATAGAAAGTGCCCTCAGTGAGGGTCTGATCTGCTTTTGGCTTGAGGAATGCTTCAGAATTTTAATTATTTGGAGGAGCTTCCTTGAAGTTGCTTTATGGTTGCTTTCTCTTCACATCAAACTGAAGACATAACTGTAACAAATGAGTATTCCTACACCAAGATGTGACACAGCAAATGAATTTATGGATGATGACATTAATGATCATCATCAGCATGGCTAGGGTTCTGGTTTGATTAGTAGCTCAGACTGCTTTCTTAAGATGAAATAGTCATTTAAATGAACATGGCATCTTCTCTTGAACAATGCTTAGGTTATTTTTTTTTCTCATAGAGATTGAAGACCCATTACTCAGCATTATCTCCCTCTCTCCCCTGAAACTTTTGTCTGTTCGGAATGAGCTACTCCAGGAAGATTTATTGCTTTTCCTCAGTGTTCTTATTAGCATGCTTTATATAGCTTATTGTGACACTTATGATAATACAAAAAGTAATAAAAATACAATTATTATCATTCGGTAGCTGCTGATATTCACTGGGCATATACTATGTGCCAGATTTGCATCGTCATCTCATTTGAACCTCACAACTTGTGAGGGAGAGATCTTCATGGCCCCCATTTTCCAGGTGGTGAAGAGATTAACTTAGAGCTGAAATACTTACATAGAGTCAGGGCTAGGATTTAAAACAGGACTGATGGTGAAACCTGAAGGCATAGACATGACCCATAGCTGCCTTTATGTTTTACAACTTCCTGTTGATTTTCATTTTCCTCGTTTGTCAGTCATCTCCCTTGACTTCCCACATCTATCTATGTTGCATCCTAGCCTGGTGCCTGGCCTGGCGGAGGCATTGGAGCATTGGAAAGAATGAATGAATGAGTTTAGCCCTCTGGAGAGTGTATGCTGAAAAACTGTTACCTCGCCTTTAAGAGCTTAAAAGTGAAGAGAATGAATTTTGATAGAACCATTTTTTAAAGTAAGGACCATCCTTCTGTGTCCCCAGAAAATTAAATAGAGTCAGAAAATGGCAAAGCCAAGTTAGAAGCATTCAGGTGTGGAAGTTGTATAGGGCACTTGAGTTAAAAAAAAAAAAAATCTGCTCAGGCATAAAATAATTAAACTGTTCATGACAGCGTATAATTGCATCATTATATTCCCAACTCTGTTACTGTAATTTGGCTCATAAAAGAGCAAAGTGTCAAAATCTTTCTAATGGTATTTAATTTTGTTTTAGCATTTCCTAAAGGAAGTGTTCATTTTGTACTTTGAACTTGTAAACTTTTGACACATCCTTACATTCTTTGCTGTTGCAAATCATTCGTGTACACTACAGAAATGACTAATTTTCCATTTTTCATAATTTGGAGTCAGGTCTTTATATGAACTTTAGATATTTCATTGTTGAAGACACTTACATTTGCATACTTTCAATGTACCTTGTTTTTTAATCTATCTTATTTGGAGTTAATATTGTTAGTAATATAACCTGGAAAAATAATAACTCAATTGATTCAAGACCATTTTAATTAAAAATATGTGCTAACTCTTCAGGGACCAGCTAGAGGTTTACACTTCTCTGAAGACAGGGGTTATTGAGCAAATTAATAATGTAAACAAGATTTTTGGAGAGAATATTTAATCAGCTTGAGAGAAGGCACTTTTCAAGCAAGCTGCAGCACTTTAGAATTATCCATTGACATTCAAAGATTGATGTGTTAATTACTAATCATTGTTTTGAATTCATTAAACTGGTCATTTAAATATCTTTATTTGGTCACATTCTATTGGTCTCATGTAAATTCCAATGTCTTTTGACTATAACGGTGATGCATGTTGAATCCTTTCTTAATAATTACTATGTTACCACTTACTTTCCAATAATTTAGTCATCTTGGGTACACAGTAAAGCCTCTCTGGTCCTAACCTTTCACATCTGTCAAATGGGGCCACTTTAAACCACTTCATAGGGTTTTCCTGATACTGAAATGAGATAAAGCATATGAATCGCTTGGTGCAGTGCTCAGGAAGTAGGTTACTAATTATTAGTCCAAATTAGTGTGATTTTATTATTGAGTGTGGCTGCTATTGCTGCATTTTTTTACCTTAGAGTTGCACTGTAAATTGATTTATGCAGGGCCTGAAATGAAGATATGTGGTTACAGTATTTCTCCTCCCAAGATTTGGGCATTTATTTATATGAGAAATCTCACAGAAGTATAGAAATAAAGTGTGGTATGTTTATTTGCTCAGAGGGAAAGCAATAAACTTGTAGAAAATTACAAGTCTTGAGACATCAATTGGAGTTAGGCCCACTGAATTGTGGCTCGGATTTGAGATTAAGGGAGTCTCAAATTTGGAAGTGGGTGGCCTCAGGGTCCCATGTGGGCCTAAGGATTGTATCTTTAAGTCATCTTCATAGTTAGGACTTTGTTCCTTTGCTAAAGCTGTGATTTTCTTTTTTTCCCATATTGCTAGAAACCTTCTGGTCCTTATGCAATCTCCCAGTGCTACCTATGGGGTCATGCTCAGTTTGGAATGCTTCTCATAGTTGGAGAGTCAGGTTTACTTGCTTAATGTTTTTTCTAAAAAAGTTGAACTAGTTTTAGTTGTACTAAGTTATCTTTGTGCAAAATGAGATTTTCCGTAGATACTTATATTCTTTCTTGGGATTGTGGCACTAGTATAATCAACTGATATTTAATATCCTTTATGAAATTTTGTTTACCTGAGATTTTGCATTCATACAACTTCTGGAAAATAGCACCAAAAGTGTATGTACTATATGGTTTCATTTTTTTCTAGTATCAGTTTTCTGGAATTCTTGTAACAGTTAAATATGTCAAAGACAAGATGTACCAGTCCATTAAGGAGATGAGTTTATTCGGGTTATTGAAGTGGGGGGATGTTCAGAAATGAAGAAGGTCTGAAAGAAGAGGGAGAAAAGGTGAAGATTTATAACACAGGGAACCAGGAAGGCTGGAGGTGGGCCTTATGATATGCAACGGCAAGTTGGTTTTCGTGGCTTAGGACGTTTCCCAAAAAGCAAAAGGGTAAAGATTTCTGAACCTTGGTTATTGACTTCAGGAGCACTGGGCCCCTGATAACCATTTGATAAAATGGTTAAAAAAAATAAAGTAAAAATATTTTTTCAAGTAGTAAGAAAAACATATTGGGCTTTTCATTAGTTGTTGTTTTACCGATGTTTAATTCAAACTATGTTAATGTTGCGATTGCCTTCTTCGTTGGCCCAAGAACTCCTAAAAACAAGTTTTCATTATACAAATTGAAAATACCTATTCTAACTCTAAACTATTGAAAGCAATTAATTAAGAAGTTTTATCTGCTTATATCTCTCACTTAAATAGCCCATATGAGAAAAATAGTCTACTATTTATTCTCTATATGGACCTGGCTGTTAAATAATTCGAAGTCACTAGTACCTAATTCTTAAATTGGTATATACCTTCACTGGCTCGTTACAAGCAGGTTCCTTCTTGAAAACATGGTTTTTGTTGGTGTTTTTGGTTTATGGCTCCTTGCACACAACTTTTCTATATCAAATGATTTTCCATTAATAAGTGAGGCATTGTCTGCTGTTATTTCATCCCCAAATTCCCCACTTAACCCAGTGCTGGCATTACTGGAACTCTCTGGAACCCACTTCTGTAGCTGACCTGCAGCTCCTCATTTTTTAAAATCTCTCTTCCTGCTCTGCATTATCTTTCTCTCATTATGAAAATCCAGCATCCCCTCTCAAACTCACTTCCTCTGGAGTGGCTTAATGGACTTTTTCTGTTTATTCTTTTCTGCTTTGTCACTTGCATAGTTCTATACAGTTCTATACAGGACCTGGATAATATGCACAGCTCAGCTCTTAGAGATATATATACATATTTATATCTTGGGGATATATACACATATATATATATTTATGTACCATAAAACATTTCAGTCAACAGTGAACCACATATATGACAGTGGCCCCATAAGATTATAATGGAGTTGAAAAATTCCTATTGCCCAGTGTTGACGTAGACATTGTAATGTCATAGTGCAATTATTAATACTTTATTTTTTAATAAATTTAGTGTAACCTTAAGGGTACAGTGCTTATTAAAGTCTACAGTAGTTTACAATAATATCCTAGATCTTCACATTCACTCACCACTCCCTCACTGGCTCACCCAGAACAATTTCTAGTCCCGTAAGCTTCATTCATGTTAAGTGCTCTATATAGGTCTACCATTTTCATTTTCTACCTTTTATGCCTTTTTTTTTTTTTTTTTTTTTTTGACAGAGTCTAGCTCTGTCGCCAGGCTGGAGTGCAGTGCCCCGATCTCGGTTTATTGCAACCTCTGCCTCCCAGTTTCAAGTGATTCTCCTGCCTCAGCCTCCTGAGTAGCTGGGACTACAGGCGTGTGCCACCAGACCTAGCTAATTTTCGTATTTTTAGTAGAGATGGGGTTTCACCATATTGGCCAGGATGGTCTTGATCTCTTGACCTTGTGATGCACCCACCTCGGCCTCCCAAAGTGCTGGGATTACAGGCCTGAGTCACCACGCCAGCTACCTTTTGTGCCATATTTTTATAGTATCTTTTTTATGTTTTGATACACAAATACTTGCCAGTGTGTTACAATTACCTACAGTATTCAGTACAATAACATGCTATACATGTTTGTATCTAGGAGGAGCAATAGGCTATACCATATAGCCTGGGTATGTAGTAGGCTGCACCATCTAGGTTTGTGTAAGTACAGTTTGTGATGTTGGCACAATAAAATAGCCTAACAATGCATTTCCCAGAACATAGCTCCATTATTAAGTGCCACATTACTGCATATGTGTGTGTGTGTGTGTGTGTATGCGCATATGATGTCATATTTGAATAACTTCTAAGTGCTTTCACTTACGCTACCTTTATAAGAACATCATCATCATCTTCAGTTTATTGAGAAGGAAGCTGAGGCTTACAGTGTGACTTTCTCACAGTTGCATAGCTTTTCGGCACAAAAGGCTAGAACAAGATGTTGCATACAGACCGGGGCACTGGTTCTCTTTCCTGTCTGCTTACTTAGTAGTTGTTCACTGAAATGCAGATTTGCAGCTTGAAGTACCTAGGCAATCAAAGCGAGTTTTTCCCTCTCAAAGATACTTGGTCTAAACAGTAATAGGTAGTTAACAGCCGCATTCTGGGAAGTAACCTTCAGAGGCCAGATCTGGAATTTTTCCAACCCTTTCTGTATCAAGTGAGTGATCTTTATTCAAGCTTAGAAACTTGTGGAAAAGAGCAGACCAGATGCTTCATTTTCCAAACCTACCGAATTACTTGGAGGAAAAGCACTGGTTGGAATGAAGGCTTCTTAGCCCCATAGGAATTTATATTGCCTGTGTGTGATATCCCTATAAAATGAGCTTCCTGGCAAGACTTAGTAAACACATTTCAACTAGCTATAAAGATTTCATAAACCATGTTCTTAGTGAGATGTAGTAGGGAAGAATCATGGCTCCCAGGATGTCATTAATTTTATATTAAGCTCAGAATTTAAGAATAGCTAGGAAAGGCACGTGTCCATAATCCGTAGTTACATTCTTAAAGTGCAGGGAAAATGATCAATGCTGTCCAGGAGGCCAGTAAAGCAATGCGGTTAAGAGCTTTCAATGTTGCATCCAGAGAGCTAGTTCAGGTTGTCTCTCTCTGCTTACTACCTTGACTAAATTACTTACCCACTCTCTGCTTCATTTTCCTTATCCGTAAGAATGAGGATTATGACGGTATTTAATTCAGAGTTACTGTGAAGATGAGCAGATTTTATGTAATATCCTTGGCACAGTGCCTACCACATACAGAAAATGCTCTTCTTTTTATTTTTTGGACATCAGTTGATACCACTTGATACTGCACACATAGCTAAAATTATTTTTTGTTTGCTTTTAGACCTAAGTTTTTTTGTGTGATTTTTTTTGACTCCATCTTAACACTTGATAATTATGAAAACCAATTAATTGGTTAGGATGTGTGCCAAACTTGATACCATTCTACATCTCCATCATTTGAATGCCTGGGCATTTGATCTTAGTAATCCCACCCTGGGATAAAAGCATGTTAAGGAAGAGACTAAAGCCCTCTCAAGAGATCCACTGCTATAGTCCGTTATAATCCGAGAGCAATTGAGGTCAGTATCCACCATGGACAGTCCCTTCCAAGGCTTCTGCTACGTTCTTGAGCTACCTACATAATAGAGGGCCCCTGAATTCATTGATGAGATGATCTAACAGGGTAATATTCTGAAATAGCATTCAAAATCATTTCATGGTGAGAATTTGTTGTTTCTCTTTTACTTTCTTCTGCAGGTGAATTTTCAGGAATATTGGAAGTCCCAGTTGGAGGTAACACATGGTAATCGAATAATTTGGTCATTTCCCCCATCTTTACTACATACGTCTTCATCTAGGACACTATATTCTACAGAAAGGCTTAAGTTGGATAGTGTCCCCATTTAAATCTCCATCTCTTTGCTTCAAGGGTGAATTATTACTGGCAGCTGCAGGAGTGGTATTCTGTCAGCAACATTCTCCATCTTGCTCCCTGATAAACTTACTAGTGGGTGTCTTGTGATTTTTTTTATTATTGTATTAGATGAAACTATTCCTCTGCCTAGTGTCCATCTACCATCAAATATTTATCTAGAGCATCTCAAGTACTCCAAATGATAACACTGATTTATGGTTATTTGAAGTTTCTTTGAGGCCTGCTGACAGATTACAAAAATTGCTTGATATATCTGTCTTAAAAGAGATCATTGAACTAAGAATGAGTTGTCATGTTGTTTGGAATAGAATATGTGTATTATCATATTTGAAGCTAATTCTTAACAAAATAATTCCTATGTAACATATGGATTAAGTTTAAATTTGAATTTAACCTCATATTCAGAATAAAAACATTATTTCTTGGGGAAGTAATTATATTATTACTCTATTAAATTAACCTGAGGACTTCTGCTTTTGGCTAAATTAGAGTGGCTTGTGACAAACTGATGTTTCTTTGAAAACAATAGAAAAGCCACATGTAAACCTAATTTGAAGATAACAAAGAACTGCCAAGACAACCAAGAGACCCAGAAATCAGGGAACTATAGAGTGCTGAGCCGGGAGTCCACAGGCTGCTTTTCCCTTCAGGGAATTTGCTGGGTTTTGGCTCAAGGAGCAGTTGAGAAAACAGGCAGCTAGAAAATCATACCTTGTGGGCAACATAATTTTTGGTGATCTCATAAGGCTGAAGAGACAAGCATAGAAGTTTGGGTCTGCCAAAGCAGCCAGGATTCAGAGGAACCAAGACCTAAGAGAGAAGATGGGTGCCTTGGGTAGATTTATACCTGAAGGCTTTTTATTATTATTATTATTATTATTATTATTATTATTATTATTATTTTAATGAGATAGGGTCTTGCTCTGCTGCCCAGGCTGGATTGCAGTAGAATGATCATAGCTCACTGCAACCTCAAACTCCTGGGCTCAAGCAGTCCTCCCACCTCAGCCTCCTGAATAGCTTGTACTATAAGTGTGCATGAGCATACCTGGCTAATATTTTAAGTATTTTGTGGAGACAGGGTCTTGCTATGTTGACCAGACTGGTCTTGAACTCCTGGCTTCAAGCCATTTTCCTACCTTGGTGCAAAGTGTTGGGATCACAGGTGTGAGCCACTGTGTGTGTTTTTGATAGTCTCCTAGGGCTGAGGTTAAAATAAGTAGAGTTGCACATCCACGAATGACAGGTGTACTAGTGTACCCCACAGGCCTTAAACCACACCTATGGAGTGTGTGTAAACCAGAGGTGGACCACATCTTTCAAAACACTAACCAGCTTTGAGTCAACTCAATTCCAAATTGGATGAAAGTAACGCCCCATTTCAGACTGGCTGCCAGAGAGTAGGATGAACCTTCTTTGGTGGGAGATACCATCATGCAGAGTCTCTATAATTCTGCATTCACAGCTTCTGTAATTCTACTTAAAATCCTCAGACACATCAAGAAAGAGGACCAAGAGAAACAAACAAAAAATGGAAAGAATCTCAATGATGCCCCAATTGGCATTATCAGAATTGGATTTTTTTCTGAAGCTAATTAGTTGCAGTTCTCCCAGTAATGCCAGGACTCTCAAGAACTCCATTGTCCCTCCTACCCTCCCTTGCTTCACTCCTGGCTTGGTCCATTAATTTTGTTACTACTTGTACTGTAGGCATTTCAGTTTCCAACTGCTGCTTTTCAGTAAGAAGCAGGTCTATTTTTTCTAGGATATTAGGTCTTCCAAGAAACACAATATGGATTTGCACACAAAAGATAGGAATATGTTATCAACACAGGCTTTTGAATGATTTTTATTTAATCAGTCTTGAAGAGTGGCTATTACAGTTTCACATTTTCTCTCTGCATAGGAAGATGAGTAGAGGGATAACAGGGAGTCTTGCTATAAACAGAAATGGATGATTTTTTTTTTTTTGCTTTAAAGTTTGCTAGTTTGGTGAAATCACATCTGTGTCTTTGTCTTTGAATTCTTTCTTACAAAGAAAGAAAATCGTGTGTCTACAGGGGGAAAAATAAGAAAAGCAAGTTCAGACAGGCTTAAGTAAAATTACATTCAGCCCTGTGAGTGGCTTCCTGGGAATGTTGAATGAGCATTTTTGACATAGACTGTTCACACCTCTCTCAAATGATAAACGATCAGGAATGAGATAGGCCTTCGTAAACCAGAGTCAGCTTTCTCTCAGTTCCAAGAGAAGAGCCATTACTTTGTTTCTTTTTTTTTTCTTCTTCTTCTTCTTTTTATAAAAGTGGATAGCTTGCCATCACAGCAGTGTGCTTTCTTTGATGACCTTTGGTAAGAAACGTATCATAATTGCTTCTTAAAGCTACAGACCACTGTAATCCAAGAACAACATTTTAGATACAGTCTGTGATACAGGTTACCCTGAGTGCTTTGGAATCCCAGTCCTCTAGAGTGATTCTCAAAATGTGGTCCTCAGGCTAGCATTTGGCATCATCTGTGAGTTTATTTGAAATGCAAATTCATGAGCCCCACCCAGACCTAGTGAATCAGAATCTCTGGAGATAGGGCCGGGGAAACTGTCTTACTCTGTTTTCCAAGCAATACTTACGTGCATTAGTATTTGATTACCATATTTTAGAGTACTTATGGTAATCCACATGGAGTTACCAGGTAGGGCTCAGGTAACTAAGCCACATCTGTGGTGAGGCCATAGTGCCCCATCAAGAAAACATTGCACTGTTCCTTTCATCGCTTTTCAATCTAACGGAACTAGGGTCTTTGGGCAGTTTCTCCTCAGCCAGAAAATTGTGCCTAAGGAATTAGATGGCAAAAACAAAGTTTCAAGACAATGGAGTCAGAGTTTTTCTTTTCTTTCTTTTTTTTTAAAATTTTTTTTTATTATACTTTAAGTTCTAGGGTACATGTGCACAATGTGCGGGTTTGTTACATATGTATACATGTGCCATGTTGGTGTGCTGCACCCATTAACTCGTCATTCAGCATTAGGTATATCTCCTAATGCTATCTCTCCCACTCCCCCCACCCAACAACAGACCCCGGTGTGTGATGTTCCCTTTCCTGTGTCCAGGTGTTCTCATTGTTCAATTCCCAGCTATGAGTGAGAACATGCGGTGTTTGGTTTTTTGTCCTTGTGATAGTTTGCTGAGAATGATGGTTTCTAGTTTCATCCACATCCCTACAAAGGACATGAACTCATCATTTTTTTATGGCTGCATAGTATTCCATGGTATATATATGCCACATTTTCTTAATCCAGTCTATCATTGATGGACATTTGGGTTGGTTCCAAGTCTTTGCTATTGTGAGTAGTGCCGCAATAAACATACGTGTGCACGTGTCTTTATAGCAGCATGATTTATAATCCTTTGGATATATACCCAGTAATGGGATGGCTGGGTCAAATGGTATTTCTAGTTCTAGATCCCTGAGGAACCGCCACACTGACTTCCACAGTGGTTGAAGTAGTTTACATTCCCACCAACAATGTAAAAGTGTTCCTATTTCTCCACATCCTCTCCAGCACCTGTTGTTTCCTGACTTTTTAATGATCACCATTCTAACTGGTGTGAGATGGTATCTCACTGTGGTTTTGATTTGCATTTCTCTGATGGCAAGTGATGATAAGCATTTTTTTCATGTGTCTTTTGGCTGCATAAATGTCTTCTTTTGAGAAGTGTCTGTTCATATCCTTCACCCAGTTTTTGATGGGATTCTTTGTTTTTTTCTTGTAAATTTGTTTGAGTTCATTGTAGATTCTGGATATTAGCCCTTTGTCAGATGAGTAGATTGCAAAAATTTTCTCCCATTCTGTAGGTTGCCTGTTCACTCTGATGGTAGTTTCTTTTGCTGTGCAGAAGCTCTTTAGTTTAATTGGATCCCATTTGTCAATTTTGGCTTTTGTTGCCATTGCTTTTGGTGTTTTAGACATGAAGTATGAGGCCGGCATCATCCTGATACCAAAGCCTGGCAGAGACACAACAAAAAAAGAGAATTTTAGACCAGTATCCCTGATGAACATCGATGCAAAAATCCTCAATAAAATACTGGCAAACTGAATCCAGCAGCACATCAAAAAGCTTATCCACCATGATCAAGTGGGCTTCATCCCTGGGATGCAAGGCTGGTTCAACATATGCAAATCAATAAATGTAATCCATCATATGAAGAGAACCAAAGACAAAAACCACATAATTATCTCAATACATGCAGAAAAGGCCTTTGATAAAATTCAACAGCCCTTCATGCTAAAAACTCTCAATAAATTAGGTATTGATGGGATGTATCTCAAAATAATAAAAGCTGTTTATGACAAACCCACAGCCAATATCATACTGAATGGGCAAAAACTGGAAGCATTCCCTTTGAAAACTGGCACAAGACAGAGATGTCCTCTCTCACCACTCCTATTCAACATAGTGTTGGAAGTTCTGGCCAGGGCAATCAGCAGGAGAAAGAAGTAAAGGGTATTCAGTTAGGAAAAGAGGAAGTCAAATTGTCACTGTTTGCAGATGACATGATTGTATATCTAGAAAACCCCATCGTCTCAGCCCAAAATCTCCTTAAGCTGATAGGCAACTTCAGCAAAGTCTCAGGATACAAAATCAATGTACAAAAATCACAAGCATTCTTATACACCAGTAACAGATAAACAGAGAGCCAAATCATGAGTGAACTCCCATTCACAATTGCTTCAAAGAGAATAAAATACCTAGGAATCCAACTTACAAGGGATGTGAAGGACCTCTTCAAGGAGAACTACACACCACTGCTCAATGAAATAAAAGAGGATACAAACAAATGGAAGAACATTCCATGCTCATGGGTAGGAAGAATCAATATCATGAAAATGGCCATACTGCCCAAGGTAATTTACAGATTCAATGCCATCCCCATCAAGCTACCAATGACTTTCTTCACAGAATTGGAAAAAATTACTTTAAAGTTCTTATGGGACCAAAAAAGAGCCCGCATTGCCAAGTCAATCCTGAGCCAAAAGAACAAAGCTAGAGGCATCACACTACCTGACTTCAAACTATACTACAAGGCTACAGTAACCAAAACAGCATGGTACTGTTACCAAAACAGAGATATAGACCAATGGGACAGGACAGAGCCCTCAGAAATAATACCACACATCTACAACTATCTGATCTTAGGCAAACCTGACATAAACAAGAAATGGGGAAAGGATTCCCTATTTAACAAATGGTGCTGGGAAAACTGGCTAGCCATATGTAGAAAGCTGAAACTGGATCCCTTCCTTACACCTTATACAAAAATTAATTCAAGATGGATTAAAGACTTAAATGTTAGATCTTAAACCATAAAAACCCTAGAAGAAAACCTAGGCAATACCATTCAGGACATAGGCATGGGGGGAGTTTTTCTTTTCTATAGACCATCTTCCCACCACCAGAAGTTCTTTTGATTCTATGTAAAAAGTCTTTGTCACTTAGGAGGATGAATCAGGAACCTTAGGTATGTGGCAAAACAATTAGGCATTATAATGAAATCACATCTCTTTTCAAAAAAGAGAATGACATTCCTTTCAGAGTGACCAGGGCTGGGCATGGTGGCTTATGCCTGCAATCCCAGTGCTTTGGGAGGCTGAGGCAGGAGGATCGCTTGAGCCCAGAAGTTCAAGACCATCACAGGGAACACAGTGAGATCCCATTTCTACAATAAGTTAAAAAAATTAGTCAGGCATGGTAGCATGCACCTGTAGTCCCAGGTATATGAAAGACTAAGGCAGGAGGATTACTTGAGCCCAGGAGTTTGAGGCTGCAGTGAGCCATGATCATGCCACTGTACTCCAGCCTGGGTGACAGAGCGAGTCCTTGTCTCTTAAAATTAAAAAAAAAAAAACACAACTAAAAAAAGAATGAGCGGGAGGAAAAATGACCTGATATATATATATATATATATATATATATATATTTTTATACATATAAATATATATATATTTTTATATATATAAATATATATATATAAATACAAATATATATATATATATATATAAATACCTACAGATGCATCAAATATCAATTCTTCAAGAATGTATTGGCCTAAGATTTACAACAACTTTTATAAGACAATAGCCTAATTTACTAACCAGTTTGTATGTGACTCTTTCTAAAGGTGTGTCTCTATCTTGAGTTCTCTATGTGTTAAGTGATTTTATTTTCCTTTGCCTATTCTCTAAGGTAAATAAAAAAGAAACAGTTGTTCAAGGAGAAGTTTGAGATGATAAATTGTTTTTTAAAGATTTTGTTGTTTTCTTCAGCCCACTATTTAAATGATTCAGTGAGCTACTTCATTGTTAAGTAAGTGGAGACACCTCTTTTTCCCGAGAACATAACTTCCAAGAATAATATATTTATTGCTAGACATTTTTAGAAACTTGTACAGTTATGTGAGTAAACTCCCTGCATTGACATGGTCAAACTTACTGGTAGTACAGCCAAGAAGGAATCTGAAGAGGGCAAAGGTATAGCTCATCAGTGATTCATCGAATATTGGTGAATCATTCAGAATTAGGTCCCTTCTGTGTAAAATGGCCTTTTTTTTAAATTCTTTTCTGTCTCCTGTATCAGGTAAAGATAGTGATATCACCTGGTTCTACCTTATGGGACTTTGCAAGAGGTACAGCAGCAAGTTCTAAGAACAAAAGCAAAAACAAAAGGGGTGAACATGCTGATTTCCAAGAAAGGATGACTCTTTTTAACTTGTTATTATATCACACAAGTTCATAATACATTTCTCTTGCTGGGTTGTAATTTGGTAGAGTATCAGAATCGTATGCCAACATAAAACCCAAAGCATCTTAAATTCTAAGTATCACTTATTGCCCTATGTTATTTGTACTTTGGTTGAGTTCCTCCAAGCTGAGCAACTGGAGAGAGGTTCCAGGAGAGTGTGTGAAAGAGTCTACTTTATTAAAAATATACTGAAATGACAGATTCCAGAGATTTATTGCCCCACTGAATATTGCAGAAAGACAGGCAAGAAAAAAACTTTGGATTTATATAAATTTTATCTGTTTGGTTACCTTTGGGGAGTCTTTGGGTTATATAGTTTGGATTGGAAATTTGACATAAATGAGTTTACATGACCTGTGACTTTGGGCAAGTTTTTAACGCTGAGGTTCCTCATGGTAAGATATCAATAGTACTTTATAGGATTGCTGAGCGAATTAAATGATAGTGCAGGTAAAGTTACAGGCGTAGGACCTGGTACATATTATACCTCAATTGGTGGCCTCTCTTATTATTTAGAATGTTATTATTTGGTATGAGCCCTATTTGACATGCCTACAATTCCTTTCAAAATTAGAATGGCACTGTGTAAATGATTTCATTTATATACCATCTTCCAGATAGAGACGGGTAACAGGGCACTCAGAATGACATGTCATGGAAATGTAACAAGCCCAATTTCCCTGATTGGGAGAAAAGTCTAGTCTTGGGAACTGATGACTGGGAAGATACCAGTTACTTGTTTGAAATTTGGATAGGGAAGAGAAGTGGACCAAGGGCAGCAAGTTGTTCCTGAAATCATTCCAAGAAGCCTAGGAACCATTCAGTGATTTAAGAAGTCTTTGACTTGCTAATGGACAATGCGCCTACCTCTGTTGTGCATATAAAATGAGACTCTGGGGGCTAGGTTGGCTTAGAACTGGCAAGACTGTGACTGAGGATGACCAGCTGTGGGGCTGTCGATGTGAAGTAGGGGTGAGAGTACCTCAGTAAATGGTGAGAAAGAGTAAAGGATTGGAAACATGATGGAACGCAGCATGAACATAAACACAGCAGTGGTTCATTTAGACTGGCATGTGCATCTCTTGCCCACAGCACAAAGAAAGAAGGGGTGTACTTTTGAACAAGCCCAAAGACACTTGCATCTTTTGTTTCTTGAGCAGCAAGTCTGGAATATTCCTTCCGTTCTAAAATGATATATGCCTGCACTTCTGCTCTTTGAGGAGCCTGGGAGTTTAGAAAAGAGTGATTCTTGACACTCAAGGGTTGGGAGACACATGATGCCCAGAGAGAAGTGAGTGTTACTTGCTCTTTTCCCAGGCTGCTGTTCTGGTATTTAGGAGTATCAGAAGGGAGATGTGCCTGGAGGAATCACTGACTGAGACCAGGAATCACTGACTGATGACTCAGGATGTCATCCATCTGATCACCTGTAATCCTTCGAGGCCGTACCCAAAACTAAAAGCAGGGTTCTGAAGTGGGTAACCGGGGTGGGTAGAGCTTGTGTTGCTAGAGAATCTTGCCTCTAGCTACCCAAGGCTTTGCACAGAGCACAGTAGAAGCCCTTTATTCAAATCAGTTAGGACTTCTAGTTTGTCAGTTGATTGAAACTCTTGGCTAGAGCAACAAATGTTGCTTTACCAAGAAATAAAAATGCTATTTAAATGTTTTTAGGACATTATAATGTGCATCTGTTTGGTAATTCTTGGTTCTAGACCTCCTTAAATATGAATTGACTGGTTGGAGTCTCACCTCTACTTTCTCAAATAAATGTTACCCACTGTGCACCAGTGATGATTCCTTCAAAGTGGAGTAAAAACTTGGATGCCTGCAAAGCAGTCTAAGGCACAGTTCTTCTGGGCTTTTGTAATCATCTTTCTCACCTTGTAAAGATTTCTCCATCTAATATAAAGCCAATCACTCTCACCAATTCGATTTATCTCATCTTTCGAAAAAAGTAATGGAAGCAATGGCTCTATTTTCTTCCGCATATTTCATCAGTCTCTTATATTCTTAAATCATGTAAATACACTAAAAGTATGATGGGTTTGGGAATTGATATTTTCCTGGTAAACATACAACTGAGGTGATGGAACTAGATTGTACAGTGTTCTAGAAGGTAGTCTAGGCAATTTTGGTGTTCTGGGTACCACGGACATCATTATGTTCTCAAAGGAATTGCAGAGGTTTGATTTAACCCAACAATGTGGTTAGTTGGTGATCAGCATGAATGTTATTTTCCCATTGTCTTAGTAAAAAGGGGATTGATTATTAAACAGGAATAGTTCTCTTTAAATTTGAACTGTCAAGTTGTTATTTAAGTTAACAGTGTGTAATTTTTGAAGGCTGTTGTGAGACCTCAGTTCTTCTTAGTTTAAAAGAAATTAAACAAGACACAGCAAAGGATATGCAGCACAGAGTCATTTACTGCAAAAGAAAAGCATATTTTGAAAGTTAAGTGCGGAATAGACAGTACACCCTGAGAGACAGAGAATTCAGGGTGGGCTGCTTGTAAGGATGAGACAGCAAAGACTGGCAATAGGGAGTTTTGGGGAGTTTTACATGATTATTCATAAGGAGGTGGAAAGCAGTGTTACTAGTAAGCATGTTCTGGGTGGTCGTCTGGACGCACATGTGCAGTAGCTGTACATGCTTGTCCATGTGCCACATGTCTCATTAGCATCTTAAATCTCCACCCATCGGTGTGTTTTTCACTATTATCATCAGCACAGGGTCAGTCTGAGGACAGGTGAAATCACATGTGCATGCTCCCTCCAGGGGAAGTTCCCTACTGGAGATAGCTTTGCTTGAGTGAGCTGGACTACGGTGCAAATGCTGGGGCTTATTGTTTTGACTGTACGGTTGCCACAGTTGCCATATCCCAAGGACATGATTACTTCCTTGACTACTTATCCTGCCTCATGTAATTATATAGAATCTTTTTATATAATATGACTATATGAAAGTTTACATATGTTTATACAATCATACTGTATCTTAATTTTAAAAAATGTAAATTACCATGATACATTATTCTAGGTAGCTGTTGTTGAAGTGTGTAGATATCTATTAATTCAAGTGACTAGTCATGATTTTGGTGCATGGGGTAGAGAATATCTTAAAGTATGTCAGCCAAACACCTATTAACTCCATATTTTTAGAATATAGGTCTGGATTTCCCCTGAATTTAGATGTTGATTGTTTTGCATGAGAAGGCCTTTATTTAGTAACATAAATATGAATTTATATCTTAGAACTACATACCCTCATATGACATCTGATTATTTAATTGCCATGTGACCACAGATAAATAACACAACCTGAGTATCGTTTACCTAATCTATATAATGATTATTAAAAAGAACACCCAGCTTATAGGGTTGATCATTGCTGGAATGAGATGATGCATGTAATCTCTGAGCACAGTGCATAGGATGTAGTAAACTCTTAATACACAGTAGTGATGATGATGTGTCATGGCGGGCATAGAGCAGGATTCAGCAAGTTTTGGCTAAATGAATGATAAATGGAGCTTTACTTGCTTTTCTCTAAGTTAAGTGCCTGACAGGAAGGCCTCCTAAGAACATATAGAGAGAATTTTATAACTTAATGGAGTATTTATTTATGGTTTTAATGTATTGTATAATCACTCCCTTTTATTGTAAATATGCCTTCCTTCTCTCTGCCTCAGTGACATCACTGTCCACATTAAGAAAAATCCTTGCCTGGCTCCAGCAGTCTTGCCCACATGTCTACGATTTATTTATGCCAACTATTGATCAAGAACATCAGTGATGGGTTTTTAAGGCATACGATTTTCTCAGTTTGTTTGCCACTTTGCAGAATTTCCAGAAAGTTGTACTAAACTTTAGGTTTTAGTTGGCCTCTCCTGTGAACAGGGGGAAGAGATTGAAAACATAATCAAATCAAATAGGAAAGTACAAAATACGAGGTGCTTGTTAGGTGCTGTTCTTTACTTTATTTATACTTGGATTTTATCTTTTCCTGTAGGCTGTGTAGTTTAATTCACAGCAAAACATTTTGTGAAGTAGATGGGTAGTTAAAAGAACCTCAGACCAATAATGTTTTTCCTAGACATTAGGTAAACATTTTCTAATGATGATTCATTTTAAAAATCCATACTTTGTAAAAAATGAATAAAATTTGACCTGAGTTAATATTAATGCCTTAGAAATAAAAAGAAACCTCTTTTGGCTCAGATCTGTGAAGATGAGCAGCGTATGTTGCTTAGAATATAGACTCCATGAAGGCAGCGTTTTTTGTCTGTATGGCCACAGACATTACATTCATGATTTAATAAAAAATGATTTTTTAAACCAACAACTTGATTTATGAAGAATGGTGTACACATCTGCTGAAATATCAAAGTAAACATTTCCTTTACATTGGTGAAGAAACTAAAAGGCTAATATGTCTAGGACATATAAAAGCCTAGAGCTTCTGTTGGTCTGTTTTATTCACTGCTGTGTCCTCAGCACCTAGGACAGTGGCTGGCATGATGGGCACACTGCATATACTTGTGAAAAATTGTTGAATAAAAGTTACTCAATCTGAATGCCTATCATTGATAAACTGGATAAAGAAAATGTGGTACTGGCTGGGTGTGGTGGCTCACACCTGTAATTCTAGTGCTTTGGGAGGCCGAGGTGGGTGGATCACTTGAGGTCAGGAGTCTGAGACCATCCTGGCCAACATGGTGAAATCTCCCATCTCTACTAAAATTACAAAAATTAGCTGGATGTGGTGGCGCATACCTGTAATTCCAGCTACTTGGGAAGCTGAGGCAGAAGAATTGCTTGAGCCCAGGAGGCAGAGGTTGCAGTGAGCTGAGCCAAGATCGTGCTACTGCATTCCAGTCTGGATGACAGAGCGAAACTCCATCTCAAAAAGAAAAGAAAAAAGAAAAAATGTGGTACATATACACATGGAATACTATGCAGCCATAAAAGAGAACAAGATCATGTCCTTTGCAGGGATAAGGATGGAGCTGGAGGCCATTATCCTTAGCAAACGAATGCAGGAACAGAAAACCAAATACTATACGTTTTCACCTGTAAGTGGGAGCTAAATGATGAGAACACATGGACACATAGAGGGGAACAACACACACTGGGGCCTGTTGTCAGAACACGGAGTGTGAGAGGAGGGAGACGATCAGGAAAAGTAACTAATGAGTACTAGGCTTAATACCTGGGTGATGAAATAATCTGTACAACAAACCCCCATGACACATGTTTACCTGTGTAAGAAACCTGCACATGTACCCCTTAACTTACAATATAAAAGTTATTAAAGTCTTAGATTTAAGTATTAAAAAACAAAGTAACTCAATCTGGCATTTATCTTCACCCTGAAAAGAAACCAAAAGAAGGCCTAAGCTTTTATGTGCCCTGGAGGTATTAGCCTTTTAGCTTCCTCGCCAATGTAACCAAAGTTTACTTTGATATTTCAGCAGACGTGTGCACCATTCTTCATAAATCAAGTTGCTGGTAAAAAAAAAAATCATTTTTATTACGTTATAAAGTATATAATTCCCCAATAGTACATCAACTCCTCAATCACATCAGGAGAGTTGTTAAAAACAGCCTTGCCATCATATCTGAATTTTTCATTTACAAATCAAGTCCAATAACACTAAGTCATTTAAAAGTTAGACTCCCTAGTAATGTTGGTGGCTCTATTTGCATACTTTTTCTATTACAAATGTCTGTAAAGGACTGGAAGTTTATGGTTTGCAGTTACTTCCCACAGGGCTTTGGCTGAAGGCTAGTATGAACTGGATAGCCTACATTTCAGCACAAATCAAAGAGAAAAGGCTGTGCATGCTAATGGCCTGCTGCTGGCCCAGCACACAGTCATCTTTGCTGTGAAGTGGCTGATAAGGGGTGGTCTGATAAGGATACTTTGTATTTTAACTTTAGATTTATTTGTTTGGAGACAATGTAAAATAAACCAAAAAAGAAGATCTTTGATACATGCCACAGTGGAGAAAAAACACTGTTACAAATGATACCTGTTTTCTTTGGTTTAACTATGAATGTTGTAGTTAGTAAGATGTTATTTCCAAAATGACAACCCAAAGAGTAGAAACTATGATTTGGTGGGTGGGCAGCAATGGGTAAAGAATGAAAGAGATATTTTAATTTAATGGGACCAAGGAATATACTGTAAAATGTTTCAAAATAATTAGGCAAAATGCAGGAGGAAATTGAAGAGAAATTATTCTGATATCTCTTTGGTATAAAGCAGGCATTTATCTACGGTAACACTAGTACCAGTCTGTCAAGACATTTAAGAAAATGGTTTGAAAAGACAGTTTGAATTTGTTATTAAAACCTGAAATAGAGACAAGGTAATGTACATCAGGTAGCATTTTCAGTGGCAAGGAAATGTGACATTACTCCAGAGGTCCTGGTGGGGGACTAGGATAGTGTGATCATTCTCACCCTGCTGTGTGAGATTGATGTAAACCTCAAATGTATCCCCTATGCAACCCTGCCATCCCTCATCTCACAGGATGAAGGAGGAAAGCAGGGAAGAAAATGTGTCAGAAAGAGAAAGACAGAGTTGTACTTTTTATTCCTGCTGAGTATTTAACTTGCCTATTCTTTAAAAGTGACTATTCACATATGGATTTACTTTGAGATTTTGCTGTCAATAGTGATTTGGAAGAGAAAATATTTATTTTCTAAATGCTGAGAGGTAGATAGTGGGATGTAACTGCAAAAGATTCCCAAAGGGAAATGCAAATTTTGAGAGAAACGGTACAGACAAGGTATACAGTAACCACCCACTGTCATTAAAGTAATTGGTTGAATATGGTATAATAAAAGGGTCCAATTTTAATGTATTCTGTGGTACATAAAAATAAGCTCAAAGTGAAACAAAGATTTAGAAGTAAAACCTGAATCTATAACGTCTGTAGAAGGAAATGGGGAAATCTCCTTAACATTTGTCTAGGCAATAATTTCTTGGATAGGACACCGAAATCACAGGCACCAAAAATAGACAATTGAAACTACCTCACACTGAAATGCTTCTGCACAGCAAAGGAAACAGTCAACAGAGTGGAAAAGCCACCTATGGAATAGGAGAAAAAATGAACCATACATCTGATGCATCTAATATGCAAAATATGTAAGGAATTCCTATAACTCAATAGCCAAAAAAATCCACTCAACTTGGTTACAAAATGAGCAAAAGGACTTAAATAGAAATTTCTCCAAAGAAACATGCTAATAGCCAACAGGTATATGAAATGATGTTCACCATTACTAATCATCAGGGAACTGTGAATCAGAACCGCAGTGAGAGGACACCTCACACCTGTTAGGATGGGCTGTTGTCACAAAAGCAAACCCAAAACCCAAGTGCTGGTAAGTGTATGAAGAAATTGGAATCCTTCTAAACAGTTGGTGGGAAAATAAAACGATGCAATGATTATAGAAAACTGTATGGAGATTTCTAAAATTTTGAAAATAGATTTACCCCATGATCTAGCAATACCACTTCTGAGTATTTTAAAGAATTAAAATCAGTATCTCAAAGGATATTAGCACTCTCATGTTCATTGCAGCATTATTCATAATAGTTAAAATACATAAACAACCTAAATGTCCTTCCACAGATGGATATATAAAGAAAATGTGATATACATGTATAGTACACCCCCCACATATATATATATGAACATTATTCACCTTGTCATAGGAGATAATGTAGATGAACCTGAAGGTCATCATGTCAGATGATATTAACCAGTCACAGAAGTGCATGATTCCACTTATATGAGAAATCTAAAACAGTCAAATTCAAAAAAGTAGAATGGTCATTACCAGGGGATAGTGATGGGGGCAGGGATGAATAGAGAGTTTCTGTCTGACAGATATAAAGTTTGTTATGGAAGATGAACTATTAGTTCTAGAGATGATCTGTGTAATGTGTGTACAGTTAACAATATTATCTAGTGCACTTAAAATTTTCTTAAGAGTATGTATCTTAAGTGTTATCACAGTAAAAAAAAAAAAGACAATTCTTCTAGCAAATGTTTTGATGTGTTTTAATCTTATAAGTAAAAAACAAACACAAAAATGTGTTTTCAAAAACCATAATCAAATATAAACAAGTATAGGTGATTTGATGTTAATAGGTGACAACATCCAAGAAAAGCACATTGGTAGGTTGGCAACATGTTAATTTTACTCCTGTCACCAATGCTTCCCCCAGTAGATCCATGTGAGCTATTTGAGGCAGGAGCTATTTTTCATAAACAGTTTTTAAGGATCCTATGACCCTTCTCAATTGTTTAGCTGTGAAAATTAGAATTATGTTTATTTGTAAATTGCCTGCATGCTAGTAGTCTCTTGCTTATGAAGTACTGATAAGCCATCCTCAGAAGCTTTTAAAAGAACCTCTGTGTTAAGATAAAAATGCTATATAGTGATATATTTACCACGGTTTCACTATACACTCAGTTTTTATCACTATCAGTATATTATAGATGACGCATATGGATGGAAGCATGTTCCCTCAGAGCTCTTTCCTTTTCATTAATAATTGTAGTAGCTATCTAGATTAGGTCCAACACTCATTTATTGGATGTTGAATGTTGAGTGCCTACAATGTGTCAAAAACTATAGTCAGTCCTGAGAATTAAAAATAAAGGCCCAGACTAGGCATGGTGGCTCATGCCTCTAATCCCAGTACTTTGGGAGGCCAAGGCAGGTGCATCGCTTGAGCTCAGGAGTTCAAGACCAGCCTGGGCAACATGATGAAACCTTATCTCTACAAAAAATACAAAAATTAGCTGGGCATGGTGGCATGTACCTGTAGTCCCAGCTACTCAGGAGGCTGAGGTGGGAGGATTACTTGAGTCTGGGAGGCGGAGGTTGCAGTGAGCCAAGATTGCGCTACTGCACTCTAGCCTGGGTGACAGAGTAAGACCCTGTCTCAGAACAAAAACCCAAGCAAACAAAAATAAAAGCCCTACTGCCAAGGAGCTGTAGGTCAGTGGGGTGAGCAGAGGAATAGTGTATTTGCATGTTTCCTCTAATAAAACTATGCAGGAGACCACGGATACACACATGGGGCAACAGTTAATTTTGTCTCAGGGTGGCCATAAAAAGCTACTAAGAGAAGACTCTGAGCTGGACATGAGAGAGTCTGTAAGTGCTCACCAGAAGGGGGTGTTTGAGAGGCGTTTTGAGCTGAGGGAAGTTTGTAAGCCAAGTTGCAGGATGTCAGTGAGGTGCTTAGGAAATGCAGACTCCCGACTTTGGTAAGATGGCTTTGTCATTTACTGCATGTGTAGCCGAGGACAAGATAGAACTTGAGCCTTCGTCCTTCACCAGTAAAATACTAAATGATTTGAAATAATTAAAATATATACTTAAATAATATTGAAAGCATAAACATTAGTTCCCTTTCAAGTATGTGTGGGAGGTGGGGAGATAGTTTTGAGGGAGCTGTCGGCAAGAGATAGGTCAGTGAAACAGCCAGCGACAGCTACACTAAGCATCCTGAATTGATTCTACGGATAAGAGTGAGCGAGCAGTGGTTCTGAGTTGGGAGAGCCCCTGCTTTGCTATAAAATTGTTAATTGTTATCCAGTTTGTAAAGAAAACTTAAATACTAAATCATTAGGCCAACATCATAAAAAGAAATGATGGAGCAAGAATGTTGCATGTAAGGGATAGAATGAAGTTAATGGTCATTCTTTTTTTTTTTTTTCTTTTGAGATGGAATCTTGCTTTGTCATCCAGGCTAGAGTGCAGTGGTGCGATCTCAGCTCACTGCAGCCTCTGCCTCCAGAGTTCAAGCTATTCTTCTGTCTCAGCTCCCAAGTAGTTTAGACCATAGGTGCGCACCACAATGGCTGGCTAATTTTTGTATTTTTAGTAGAGACAGGGTTTCACCATGTTGTCCAGGCTGGTCTTGAACTGTTGACCTCAAGTAATCTGCCCACTTTGGCCTCCCAAAGTGCTGGGGTTGCAGGTGTGAGCCACCGCACCTGGCCCAAAACCAGGACTGAGAAAAAGGAGCAATCTTGCTTTAGAGTAGTTGAGAATTATCACTGCCCTGAATCTCACCACCCTTGCAACTATTGGCTTAATCTCAAGGAATGAAAACTGCTGGAAGCAATAGAAAGAGATCTTTAATTAGTAGAGTACATCGAACCTTACATAGATGTAATCTCCCAAAGTTCAGTAAAAGCTTAGAGTCATCAAGAAGTTGGTGACTGTTATCTAAACTTGATGGAGATAAGTGCAGAAAACAGACATAAAAAAATACCAGATGAGAGTTATAAAAATACAGTGAAGAGTGAAGTATCCTGCCTTAGAGAGAGAATGATATAAGAGAATAAAATGCAGTATTTTTAGCTAATGTGATTTGTAAAAGTAACAGTGCAAGAAAGCAGTTTATGGCAGAAAAAAAAATATTGCCCTTAGACCCACAATGAACCAGAACAAAATGGGATAGGCTGTGTAAGAATCAAGTTGGCTCAGAAGTAAGACACCTCATAAAGGTACTATATTTAGAATTTTGAGGTGGAAGTCAGAAGTGGGTTTCTGTATTATACTTCTGTGGTTCTTCCTCTCTGTGGAAGAAAAAAGGTAATGTTTGTTCAGAAAATGGCTACTGTGTTTTAGACACAGTGTTAAGTGCTAGTAAGAGGTACTTAGTGAAAAAATCACTTTTAGACACTTGAGTAAACTGGTTACTCGCTCTATTCTCCAGTGGAATGCAACAGTCTCATTGTATCCTCACAGCTCCACAGAGCAGCTGAGGGCATCTTTTTAATACTGCAAATCTGCAGGTCAGAAGACGGCTCTGCCCCATATGTCTCATTTTGGTGCCATGATCATGGCTTTGTGTTTGCCTGGAAAGTGTATGTTCTTCTCCAGTCAGTCAGTATCTCCCAGAGGTACAAGCAGAAACTTCTTAAGGCACGGGCTTAAGCTGGTACATGGTCTTCTGTTGCCTTTTCATGCGAGTCACATGACCAAGTCCAACAGTGAAGGCAGGGAGGTATGCTTCTTCCATAGGTGTTTAGGAAAGAATGGAAATGCTTGCTCACCAATGACTTCTTCCACCTCCTCACTTAGCCTCTTAGTACCTATGCTTCCACACCTATACAGTGAGTATATTGATATTTTAGAAAGTTGTTGTGGGGATAAAGTCAACTATTATACATAAAATTACATGTAGGGTTCTCAACAACTAGTAACCTTTTATTCTCTCTTCTTTATTGTTCCATCCTCATCCCAACCACATTGGGTTTATGGGTTCCCTCCATCACCCTGCAGAGCCTTATTAGAGCATCATCTATCACTGTGTGATAGATACCCTTAAACAGGGCCGGGCCATGTTAAACCTGCTGCCTGGGGAGGCTCTTGCCAGGGTTTGCTTGTTCTCTAGCTGGTAAGGCCATCTAGAACTTCTTTTGTTTTCCCATCCCTCATGGGTCTGAAGTTGTTGTGCCTGTTCAGGAAATTCCTCCTGACTTCCTTCCTTCTTTTTGCTTGGGTTTCTTTGAATTTTGTCTCCATATTTAGCTCTTGCTCCTTTCTGGGACAGTCTTCCAATAGAATTTTTTAATGTCTTACTCAAATCTTGTCCAAAGCGTAACCATTTCTAGGACTTTTTTTTATTTCATTACTATTGATAAGTGGAAGAAATCAGTGAAATCTTTTAAAATCACTTAAAGAAGGTATTTATAAGAGTTTTAACTGATGCCTCCTGGTTTATTTTTCATAAACTAGACCAAAATTTTTATGAATGTCGTACCCTCAGTGTTTGGCAGGAAATAAAGTTGTGTCATTGTTTTGTACTCAAAGTAATAGCCTGCGAAGTTTCCTAAGAGATAACTAGGTCTCAGTGCTGTCCTCTCTTTGGTAAGGTGGTTTGAAGTTTTGCATTATATAGAGAGATTTTCAGCTGCACTAGGTAAAAGCTAGATTTTCAACTCTTAACACCTTAAGGCCAAGCAGAGTAACTGAAAGTTGTCAAGCATATCCAATTATTTTTATTCTTTCCCTTTGTTCAAAAGAATCCCATTCATATTGGGTATTTTCTTTGGGTTGCATGTGATGAGGTGAACAACACTAGTATCTGCCTCTCTCCCGTAAGAAAATTCTAACTGTCCTAGAAGAAGATCAGATCTCAGTGATGACATTTATGTCCCAAGGGACTTTCTCATTAAGAGTAACCTTAGCCTGCTGGGGCATCATTGCTTCACTTTGAGTTTAGCTAAGATGCAGCCTACCAATTGCATTTACCCCTGTCACTTGCTTCTTTGTCCTTTTTCCTTTATGCTGTCAAGTTTCCATTTTAACAACTCTTCAGTTTCTTTATCAATGTTTATTGCTGAATGTGGTAGTCAGTGTTCACAGAAAGAAGGATAAACAAGCAATATTGCTAATGTTTTCCAAGAGTTAACAATCTGGATGCAGACTCAAAACGTGCTCTGATGAAGCTACCAAGTAGGACATTGATTCAGTTTACCCTGATGGTTCAGTAAAGGGATATAGGAAGAAGAATTGAAGGCCTTGTTAAGCTTTCAAGTCCGATTGACAGGGAAATGGGTCCTATTGCCACGATTCCAGGTAATAATTCGAACAGTTATCATTGATTGGATTCCTTTACATGTAATACAATAGCCCTGTGAGATAGATGTTACCTTCTCCAATAATTGAATGAGGAAACTGAGACCCAAAGATATTAAAAATATGATTAGGTCATTGCAATTAAGTGGCAGAGCTGAGATTGGAAACTTACATGTATTGGACTTTGAGAGCCCTCTTGGGGTTGTGCCAATTTCATTAACTTTGGAAGACCTACTTGTAAATACTTAGAGATTTTGAACTAAGGTTTTAATAAATTAGGAAGAAAAAGGCCAACCTAGTACCTATTGGGAATAGAAAAGAAGCCTTGAATATAAACTTGTTAAAACAGGAGTTGGCCAATTATTGGTTCTAATGGAAACAGGAGAGGAAGAATGTCCTAGTGATGTTTACAAACTAAATGATTGGGAGGATGGAGAAGACATTAACAGGACTGGCCCAGCTAGGAGGGAGAGATATTGAGCAAGAGGTAGATGGGGCAATAATAAGGTAGATTTGGGAGATATCAAATGAGGAGTTTGGTAGTGCCCACATGGAATTGACCAGCAGGCAGTAGGAAAAATAGGACATGACTTAAGAGAGAAGAGCAGTCTAAAAATCTAGCAATAATCACATATAGATGGTTATTAAAGTAACTCAATTAGGCATAATCACTTTGGAGAGTGTTGAGAAAGAAGAAATTCCAGGAAAAATTAACCCACATTTAGGTGTTGGATCAAGAAAAAACAGCCAGAGGAAAAGACAGAGGGAAGGCAGAGGGTACGGGAGATTGCTATTGCTGTGTAATACATTACCACAAATGTAGTGGCTTAAAGCCACAGAAATTTATTGTCTCACCATTTTCATGGGCTGGAATATTTAGGCTGGAACATGGCATATTTTAGCTGGGGTCCTCAGCTAAAGGTCCTGGAAGGCTGAAATCAAGGTGTCAGTTGACTGTGCTCTTATCTGGAGGCTTGCTTGACTAGGGAAATACCCAGTTCCGAGCTGTCTCCTGTTGGCAGAATCTGTTTCCTTGTGATTGTAGGACTGGGGCACCCATTATCTTTCGGCTACTGCGCAGCGTTCATTCTCAGCTCCTAGAAGCTGCTCTCAGGTCTCCGCCACATGGCTATCTCTTGAAGCCCTCTCACAACTTGAGAGCTTTCTCCTTCATGGCCAGCAGTAGAATTTCTTTTAGGCTTTGAATTATTTCTTCCTTTAGGAAGAAAAAAAAGCCTCAGCCCCTTAAAATGGCTCACCTGAATAGGTCAGGCCCACCCAAGATAATTTCCCTTTTGATTAACTCAAAGTCAATTGATTTTGGCATCCTAATTACATCCGAGAAATCCCCTTACCTTTGTTGTATAACATAACCTAGTCACAGAAGTGTACTCCGTCTTACCCAAGTGTTGCCCATACTTAAGAGGGAGGAATTATATGGGTTACATATACCAGAGGCAAGAATCTTGAGGGACATCTCAGAAGTCTGCTGACCAAAAGTCGTAGAGAGCACTGTCTAGTAAAGCAATTTAATTGAACATGCTACTGCATGCCAAGAGATGTAGGTATGAGGAAGAGCAGTCCTTACTTCTCGAAGCCAAAATTCTGATGGCAATGACAGAGCCTAGGAAGTAGAAAATTGTGATGATCAAACGGTGAATAATTTGTAATGTTCTAGAGAGGGTGTTGACTAAGGAGAAATGGGAGTTGGATTTAGATTTTAGGGTTTTTGTAGTGCTTTCTGTAGAATGGTAGGGGTTGGAGTCAGGTTTTGAGCTATAAGGGAATGAATGAATGTGAGCAGTGATAAATAGATGCATATGTAGAAGAGTCTAACATTTTTTACAGGGAGTTTACAAAGTAGAGACTATTTATCATTTTTAATCTTTAGTATGGTCTAGACCTAAGAATGTTTGTAGCAGTAGGGAGGGAATTCGTGGGAAGGGGAAAATGAACATGATATCATCCGTCACTGCTTAAACCGTCCTAGGACTTTGGGAGACTTTAGAGCAATGGAGATCTTTCTCTTCTTTCAATTGTATTTTGCCCATTTAATACTTCCATGGCAATTATTGTATGCCAGGCCTTATTTGCAAGCACTTGGCAAGTATTCACTCACTTAATTTTTACAATCATCATGTGAGTCAGGTTCTATTTTATTCCTGCTGAAAGACTCATAACTAGTCCAAGGTCAATGAGCTTATAAGTGGTAGAGTTGAGATTCAAATCCAGGAAGTCTGGCTCTGGAGCCCAGGCTCTTGACCATTGCATTAATACAAATGCTCTTTTCTACATGGTTCTGTTGGTCATGACTTGTGTGAGGCCTTGTGACACCCCTTGTATTGTTATTGCTGTGCACATAAATTCTCTGCATATTACATATCAATTCCCCAGCCAGGTGGTGAGCTGCTCAGAGACAAGGACATATTTCCATAACACTTTTCCTTCTTCATGGCATCTTATATGGGATGGCTATCAATAAATATATATTGATTTGATTTAAGCTGGGATCCTATCATTTACTTTACTTCCTCATTTCCTTTAATCTCTATTGATTATAAAATTAATTGGGTGGTGTGTAATTCTGATTTAACTACTTAGCCTGTAACTATAATTTTTATGACTTTTAACATCATGATAAATCTGTGACCTTTTTGAGGAGTTTCTTGCTTTATAAAATTTTTCACTTTTAAAAAGTGGATGAATACATCATAGTTCTGAGAACTATTTTCTATAAGGAAAAAAGGGATGCTTCCCTGTTGGCCCTTTGGGTTGTGTTAAAATCTTCATTTTCTTTTTTTAACTGCTAGGTTCAGGGGTACATGTGCAGGTTGGCTATATAGTTAAATTGTGTATCATAAGGGTTTAGTGTACAGATTACTTCACCATCCAGGTAATGATTTCACATTTGAATGATGGAGGCCCAGGGTGGGAGAGAATCATGGAGTTGAGTAGAATTTACTGAACATTGGAGAGAAAGATCATCTTTGGCAGTGGTCTTGGCTTTATCTCCTTCTGGTTTTTAATTTTTGTCTTTGTAAAGAATTAAACAAAATCATTGCTTCTCTATTAGTGCCAACCACAGTTCATAATTGAGCCAAGTGGCCATTTCCATCTGAATAGTCAGCCCTGTATTCACTTCCACTGCAGGATGACATTTCCCATCCCCTCCTGTAGGAGGGTGCTTCAGATAGTTGCAGTGGGTTCCTGATAGGGATGTGTTGCAACCATCCTCCCTTGATCCATGTGTTTCTACCACCTAGGAAGGCACGTTCAGCTAATGTGGTTTTTACTTGCCTACCTGTGTCTCAGAAAGGCTCCCAATTTGCCCCACGCTTATTGCAAAAGTATGTGCCATAATGTTAAAGGGAAGATAGGATTAAAATCCCTTTTTGATTTATTAATCCATGCAGAAGGTGACTACTGATAAAAACTTCAGAGCCTGTGGATCAGTTATTTTTGTTTGATCATCTATATGCACTACAGATAAAGAAAACAAACCTCATTGTTAGAAATGACACCCCACAATGGGGGTTGGATTTTATAGCATTTTTTTTTCTTTTCACAATGCTACATTAAAAGTTGCTCTTCTATGTTCTTCTTCAAAGCACTTGTACCTGAGGTAAGCATCAAGATATTTATCCCCTGCTGACTCTTCAGCTACATTTGATCAACAACAAAGAGAAGACAGCTAATTTTATCTTTCTTCCATGTATTTTGGGCATGTTTGTGTGTGTGTGGGTGTGAAATGCACAATGCATGTGTGAGTGAGTGTGTGGAGTGCATCAGAGCACAAGAGATTGTGACTGATTGGAAACCAAAGCTTTAGGATGTAGAAGTTTAAAGATGACCAGACAGGACAGAGTGGAGATGCATTTCTGACTTTAGCTTTGTAAGCTCTTCAAGAAATACATTTTGTTTACTTTTGTTTCTCTTTGAAAAGCAGTCTTTATCTCCCTGTATCTAAGAGCTTTGAGATGTATGTGAGTTCATTTTCTAATAATCTCAAAACATGTTCTCCGATATTAGCCAGTATTTTCCCCAGACTGCTCTCTGTATTGAGACGCAGGGTAGTCTAGTGGCTAAGAGCACTGACCTTCTGTTCAAACCTTGGCTTACAGCTGTGTAACTTTGGGCCAAGTGATTTAACCTCTCTGAACTTCAGCGTTCTCATCAGTAAAATCAGTGTTCTCATCAGTAAAATAAAAGTAGTAATCACCATTGTAGGGATATTATAGGGTTAAAGGAGTTAATGTTTTCAAAGTGCTTGGAATAAAGACCTGCTACACAAATGGTTCCATGTAAGTGTTTACCTTTATCACTATAGTTACTGTAGTACAATTATAATCTAGGATAAAAGCAGAAAGAAGTACAACATAAATTGTTATACTATCAGTGTTTTAGTAGCTGTATTACTTTTGGGAAAGAATGAAGAGAAAAGGTGGGGGAAATGATTTTGTTATGGTATTAGGAAAACTACACTTAAAAAATTGAAACAAATATTTGCTGCAAGAAGTTAGCTAGGGGCACTGTATTTCCTCATCCTGCCCTGAAAAGCCACATTAGTGTGGTAGTTTCAGGTGTGCTAATGGTCAGCTGCATTACTTAGCTGCACCAGGACTGGTAGAAGGAGTTGGGGTGAGTAGCTTTAACAATTTTTGAATATTATTGCGCCATTGCCTTAAATGCCTGAGAAGTATGTTAGACCTTAATACATAAGAAATTAGAAAATGTCATTCTTAAACTTTAAGAATTATTAGGGGAAACATTACTAAACATTTAGTTTAGGCTGTTCTTTAAACACATCATCTCTATGAAGTCTAAGATATCTCATTCATATCAATCAGAAAAAAACCTCACTAATTTTCACATATTCTCCTGATAATTATATAAGCATGCTTTAGACAAGCTGTTGAGAAAGCACTGTTTCTCACGCTCTGTTTTTGACTGGGTATGTTGGTTATAATGTTTTATGTCATACTCAGAAAACCCATTGTAGAAAGTTCAACTGTGAAAGGAATTTGTTTTGGATCATTAAAAAGTCTGAATGTAATGTGGGCTTCAGGGTTGGTTGATTCACCAGTGCAGTGAAATCTGAATTCTCTTTGTCTCTCTACTCTACCATCTATACTCTACTCTACTCAAGGACCTGAATTCTGTCTCTCTACTCTACCATCTATAGTGCTTAATTCACTTGAGGCTGGTCCCTCGCTTTGCCATGAGAGGCTGCTGGTGGCAATTGAGGCTGCCTGTTCCGTTGGGTATGTCTAGGGGAATGAGAACTTCTATAACCATATTCTGTCCCATTCTAATATTTCTTTTTAGTATTAAAGTTAAGATATTATAACATTTTTAAAAATACAAGTGTAGGTAGAGTATCTTAAGAGTAGATTTCATCTCAGGAGAGTGAAGAGGGTAATACAAAATATTTGTATTAAGGAGGGTTGGGTCTACCAGAGTTGGAGAGCCCTGGCATAGAACCATTTAAACTAGGTTGAAGAATTTGGATCTCATTCTTAAGATGATGGAAAGCCATGAGAAAGTTTTAATATTTGGAGTTTGTGATAGAATTTTCATTACAAAAAGATCACCCAGGCTGCTATTTGTGGAAGAGATTAGGGGAGAAGAGTGGTGTGTCCCAGAGACTTAAGTCTTTTTTCTCCATTACGAAATGAAAGCCATTTTTATGTCTAACACCTCACTCGGGAAAGGCATGCCAGCTTCAATCTTAGTTACTGCAACTGTCTTTTTAAGTTACCCTTGAGTTTATGTAAATCAGAATTGATTGTCCTTCAACAATAGCAATAACAACAACAAAAAAGAATGTTGTAAAGAACAAGAAAATATTGATTCTTTTTAGGTATGTAAAATGTGATAAGGTATGAGAAGAGCTTCAAAAACCTTAGACTAGTCATGAAAGGAAAAAGCATTGAAGTCTATGCCCTGTTTGGGTACACATAGACACTTTGTGTCCATGCTGCTTGATTCCAAGCATTGCAGGGCTGGCTATACAACTGATTCTTTTGCACAACTGCTTATACCTAACAGCTTTATTGGCTGTTCTCACCTTATGTGTCACACTTCTGTGTGCAAATCTTTGGAATATTTCCATATGACTCTCCAGTATTTGGACTTTGGGACATACGATAAAGCAAACATTTGAAACCTGGAGTCATATGGGGGCACTCAAAAAATCTGCTGCTTATAAGCAAGGATAACCAGGCTGAGATTTTGATGGACAAAATTGACAGCTGGTCAGAAATTTTAAAATGCAGAGGCATTTAAGATGTCAGAATATGCCCTCACACTGCCTAAGAGCTCTCCAATATGTCCTTTTAGCTCACCCTCTAAAAATCAATCTCTAATCTTTTACCTTTGCCTCTACAACCTTGCTGCAGGCTGATAGCGCCTTGCCAGTGGAGTTTTGCAATGGCCCCTGAACAAGTCTCTCTGCTTCCGTTGGAAGTATGCATTTTCCATACTCATCACATACATACCACATTCTATACAACAAAAGCTGTATTTTCCCAATTCTCAACATAAAAATAATAGAACAGAATGTCCTGTTTCAAGTTTTCCACCTTAATATTTTCTTAACAAGAAAAGCAAATTGATATTAATAGGGAAAAATTGGAGAAAGTTAAGGTCAAACCTTTAATTTTTCTGGGTGGTACTGAGATTTTATTATAATAATGCTTTATGTAATAAATATCATAATACTTCTATAGTATTAAATGGAATACCTAACAAAATAAAATAATACTTTATAGCATAATTGCATATATCAGCATCATGATTTTCTCCTAGTAAAAATGTTTTCAGTTCATGGATGAAATTTAATGTCAGTTTTTAGCAGTGTTTGGAAAAATAATTAAAATTTCTGGGTCTCACCATCTGAAATGATCTGAAAACATCTGTGCTATTGGAATTGAACCCAAGTATGCTAAAATGTTTATCGATTGAACTAAATTTCAATCGATAAACATGCGAGTCTGTGAGCTGGAAGTGCCTTTTCTAGGATGGGGTTCAGAATCCAGGGAGGGAATGAGATTAGATACAGTAAATCAGTGAAACCAGACCAAACCTGGCAGCTAAACAGTTGAAGTGGAGCAAAACAGAATGTGGAGTTAAAGCAGCAGAAGTCAAGCCATAAAGCAAAGATGGATAGAGGCAGTAGAAATAAATGGGTCCCAAACCACTGAGCAATATTTCCAAAATGCCAATGAAGAAAAGCAGTTTTTCTAGCCATCTCATCAAAACTGTCTTCGGCCAAAGCTTTATTCTCTCTTTAGAAAAAAAAAAAAAAAAAGTAGTGGGAGAAATCTTAGTTCTTTACAGAGGTAATTGTGATAACTGGTGAGGAGGAGATAAAGACGAGAAAGTTAGAATTTGAAAGCAAGAGAGGCCAGGAAGAGAAATGATGGTAATACGATGTGGGGTGGAGAGATGGAAGGCAAGCCAGAAACAAAGATGTATGAAAGCATGTATTTTCCTAAACAGACTTTCATTATGTGTGTTGGACAGTAAGCAAATGCAAACACTGAGCTAGGTGAAGCAGCATTTATAACACACATGACAAACCAATACTTAAACCATTTAAATACCAAGACACTCCATGCAAGTTTTTTGAAAGTGAACCACATGAAAACTGGGCAATGATTATGAATGAGCAGTTTGCCAGAGAGAAATAGCCAGTAAAAAGGAAAAGTTAATCTCAGAGAATTGCTAAGTAAAATAAGATAGATTTTTTTCCCCTGGGATGTAGGCACAACTTAATAATATATGACATCCAATGCTGTTAGAATGTGGAGAAATGCTAGGAGCTATATATATTGCTTAGCAGTTTGGCTGTATCATTTTAAATAAAAAAAATACACATAGCCTTTAACACAGTAATCTCTTTGTGAATTATTCTGTATAGATAAAAATATATATACAAAATTATTTATTGCAGCATTGTTCACAGTGGCAAAAAAATGAAAACAAAGAATTTTGATCACTTGAGACTAGTTGAATGAACTGTGTTATACATGCTATGGATGATTATTAGGTCATTAAGAATTAGAATGTATATCTGCTATGGATGATTGCACATGATATATTGTAAAGTTAGCAAAGCAAGTTACAGGAAATATGCAAAGCATGATGGCCTTCAGTAAAAAAGCCTTTATATTTGTGATTTTAGGTGTATATTTACGCACAATGAAAGGTATTCAATTAAAACACATCAGACTTAACATTTTGAGTGGTCTGGGAAGAGAGAATAAGAAATAAAGCAAGATTCAGAATTGTCTAGACCCCTTGACCCAGAACCTTTAGTTATGTACATTTATAAGGACTAGAAGGATGTAGAATAGACTTTTGACATCTGTAGTGGGATTATGAATGGTTTTATCTTTGTTTATTTCATTTTTTGGTCTTTGTTTTTCTAAAATTGACATGAATTCTCTAAGTGGTAAAAGCCAAATTTATTTCAAAACGAAGAAAAAGTATAGATGATATTATGCCCATTTTACCCATTAAGAAACTGAACCTAATTGATACCTTTTTAAAGATTCCAGCTAGTAAATAGCAGAGATGTGCTTGAAGCCCTTAGGTTTCATCAAAGTGACAGCAACTTATAGATCAATAAGAAAAGACAATTAAAAGTAAGAAATTAGAGAAAGACGGAACTCTTAGCAAAAAGAATACTGGAGGAAAATACACACCACACATGTGCTAATGGAAATGTCAGCCAAGAGCAAAAGTCAATGAGCCCACCTCACCCCTAGCATTAAACTGCATTGAGAATTGTTAGAAACAAGGGCATGTTGGAGCCCCTTGATTTGTAACAGAGTGAAAAGCTTTCAGAAATGTAAAAAACAATTATTTTATTTGGGGCTTACAGTGGTGGTGGGAGGAAGCAGAGAGACACAGAAAGTGCCAACTCTTGCCCTTGTTTAACATTTGGCAAATTAGAAAATGTAATGACTAAGGAAACAAGCACATTTCAAATAATAACTGAGGCAAGATGAAGAAAGTACTAGCTAAGAATGATAGAGAGGTGAGTGTTGACGACACTTGCTAAGGCATGTGCTATACGGCTATTAAATCACAACCCTCACGAAACTTTATGAGACGGGCACTGTTGTGCAAATGAGAAAACAGCAGAAGTACTGGAAAATGTAGTAACTTGTCTAAGATGACTTGGCCAGTAAGTGGTAGATATGATTTGAGGCACACTTGCCTGACTGCACGGCACATGTTCCAAACCACTGTGCTCTGCTGTTACTGGGTAGAAGGGACCATGAAAATCTCTTTCTAGTTGTGAAGATGATGAAGGTCATTTGGGATAGGTACTTCCCATTCGGGCTAAAAAAGGCAGAACCAGATTGCTTGTAAGACCTTGTAATTCTATATGTTTTCAGATCCTTTCTTGTGTATACAGGAATCTAAAGATGCACATATGTGGAGTTGGGCTATTATAGCACATTTATTTGCATCATAATATGCTATCTAATGTTCAGCAGCTTGATTTTTTCCACTTCATATGTCATAGATGTCTTTCCATATCAGTACATGTAGACATTCAATATATTTTTTTTTGACAGTCTCACTTTGTTCCCCATGCTGGAGTGCAGTAGCATGAATACTAGATGTTGCATAATATTCCATCACACACAATTGTTAGTGGATTTACTTTTTTCTCATTACTTTGCTAGACTAAGCAAATAAGAATGAAGAAGGATTTAATGTCTGCTGCCAGCTCTGCTCCTCTACTAAAAAAAAAAAAAAAAAAAAAAGTTGGGAGGGATGTTAATTAGTTGACTTTCAGTTAACTGTAGGAAGAGTTAGGTTCAATACCATTTAAGAAAAGCAAGAAAAATACCTTGGTAAGGGCTGTCTAATCGTCTGTGGTGTGTGTGTATACACGTATATATATATATATATATATATATATATATATATATATATATATATATACACACATTCAGATACATATATATAGGTTTGTATATGTATTAATATTTAATGTATGAATATAGCATGACATAATTATGTAAAATTAATGTTAATACATATTTTTAAAACTAAAAATGAGTAGACAAAAAGCTTCTCTGAAGCCTTTTTGATTTCTGACTTTTGCAGTTTTAGTTTGAGACATAAAGCGAGGTTTTAGTGCATTCTGCCATCTAAATACAGTTTAGTCTTTTAGCCGAGATCACAAAATGTAACAATTAGTTTAATGCACACAGATTAGCAGCCTTTTATAATATTAATTGCAACAAGAGGCCCATTTATGTGCCATAAAATCTAAACCTTGCCTGCTTTATCTGTGAAACAAATGTACATCTCAGACATTCGTTGTCCTTTCTAGGAAGACCCTGGTGTATTTGAAACTCTGAGTTGATGACATGGGAGTTCATAAAATGCTCGGGAGATTTCGGCCATGTTTGGCTGAGACCTTCTGAAAGGAGACAAACATGTAAATGAAGTCAAGTTTGCAGACCTCTGGGATCCATTACAGCCTGAGATGCTCTTAACACATAATTAGCCAGGGCCGTTAATCACAGTTAACAGGTGTTGAGTAATGAACTGAGACAGGGTATTTGCTGTGACCACTTTCTTCTCTGATCTGGTTAGTCAGGCTAATGCTGATCAGAGCCCCGGGAACATTCTGAAATGTGACTTGACACCATATTGTCTTGATGCTGTCATCTGCCTCCTGATCATTGAGAATGATGACATTCAGTATAAAAACACAGTAGGAATCTGTTCAGGAGTCCCCCAAGTGCTTTTAATTATGTGTTCTTTGAGTTTTTCTATTATATTTTCTTTGCCTCTTTTCTCATTTAAGCCTATGCCTTTGTCAGCTAGTTGTTGAAAGACAAATCCAAACATTTATGAACAGCAAATGGCTCCGTCTCAGCAAATGGACCCACTGTGTTCTGTGATCACAGAATGATGAACCAAAAGTGACCGACCTCATTCTCTAACGAATTTTTTCACTGCCATAATGGTGCAAGTACTAAAACCTCTAAGTCCGAGCATAGCTTGCATTTTTACTGAACAGTTGCAACTTGCTTTTTCACCATGAAGTTTCTTGAGTATCTCTTACAATTGTATGTGATAAATTATTCTTTTTGCTAACATAGTATTAGCATAGAATAACATAATATTCCAGATTATGGATGTAGCCACACTTTTTTAGCCATTTCTCTATTGATGATCTAATAGTTGTTCTCAAATTTTTTTTTTTTTTTTTCTTTCTGAGATGGAGTCTCCCTCTGTCGACCAGGCTGGAGTGCAGTGGTGCGATCTCGGCTCACTGCAAGCTCCGCCTCCCAGGTTCATGCCATTCTCCTGCCTCAGCCTCCCGAGTAGCTGGGACTACAGGCGCCTGCCACCACGCCCGGCTAATTTTTTTGTATTTTTTTAGTAGAGACGGGGTTTTACCATGTTAGCCAGGATGGTCTCGCTCTCCTGACCTCGTGATCCTCCCGCCTCGGCCTCCCAAAGTGCTGGGATTACAGGCATCAGCTGCCGCACCCGGCCTGTTCTCAGATTTTTAACGCTACAGTAAATGTCTTTGTCCATGCCTCCTTGTGCACATGAGTAGGTATCACTCTAAGGTAGCAGTTAATAACTACAGCTAGCTGCTAAGCCAAATCATGCCTGCTGCTGTTTTGTTACAGCCTGCAAGCTAAGAAATGTTTTTACATTTTTAAGTGGTTGAAAAAAAATCACGATATGAATATTTGACACCAGAAAATTAGATAAAATTCAACTTTCAGTGTCCATAAATAAAATTTTATTAAAACACAGCCAAGCTAATTCATGTATGCATTGTCTGGGACTGCTTTCACACAATTGTGGTAGACTTGAGTTATCATGACAGACTGTAAAAAGTTTCACAAACTCTAAAATATTTACTCTTTGTCCCTTTACAGGAAAAGGTTACCGAAATCTGTTCTACTGAGTGTAGAATCAATAGGAAAAAATAGGATTTCTGTATCACAGCATTTAAAACAATTTTTTTAACAAACTGTCAAATGCCCTTTTATTGGTTGTATCAATTTATGGTTTATGAGAGAGAATACCTATTTCTCCTCTTCTTCACCAATATTTTTATCCTATGAATATTGACTTTTTTATGATCTTATGGGGAATTTTGTGATATTTTGCTGATTTATTTATTTAATTATTTGCCTTTTCAAAATTCTGATTAGATTGGCCATCTTGTTATGTTTATTGGGCCTTTATGTTTTTTCCACTATTTTATTAACTGCATCACATGCCTCTTAAAAGTAATAATTTAATAAGAATTAAGATAACATGTATTGAACAACTGTGTGGTAGGTACTATGCCAAATGATTCAAAAATATGTAAGCTATTATATATAATATATTTTACACTATAATTATAATTAATGGAATTAATATGTTATATATAATTATATTGTATGTAATAATAATATATAATAGTATTATATAATAATATCTTATATAAAAATCCCAAAGTAATTATTATTATTTTATAGATGAGGAAAGTGAGGCTCAGAGAAATCAAATCATTTACCCACTTTCACATAGCTAATCCATGATAGAGACTTTTTTTTTTTTTTTTAACTCAGGCGTTTGTCTTCAGTTTCTACCCTTCACTGCTAAACATTCTGTCTCTGAGCTTGATGTTGGATAGATATGTCCAGTGTAATATCAGTGGACAAGACTTTAAGTTAGGGATTCTCTTATTGATTCATATACTTGGTTGTCCAGCACCTGTGAATATTTTTAGACATCTAAGGATTTTTCAGAGTCTCAAGATATGATTACACTCTGTTTCTCTTTATTTTAAAAGGCCAAATCACATAATGCTTTTAGGAGAAGCTGTGGTTGCCAGGAAATCGTTTAATGATTGTCGTAGCTTCACAAAGGTTAGCAATCATGAGCTCAGTATCATTGAAATAAATGTATTATTGGAGTCAGAAACCCTCAGTTTACATTCTGGCTCTATAAATTATTTGGTACATGATCAACTACAGACAAGTTGCTTTGCTGAATCCCATTTTCTCATCACTTGAGTATTATTTTTTTAAATTGTTAAAAACTAAAGGGAGTACTTTTAAGAAGTGCCCAGCAGTACCTGGCACATAGTAAAACTTCAATTATCTCTATCAAAATCCATAAGAGATTATCCATCTGGGTTTTGCCATTTACAGGGTACCATGCCTTAACTAGGTATTTCTCAAACTGTGGTCCTTAATCTACCAGCATCAGAATGCCTGAGGATGCCTATTAAAGTGCACATTCCCGGGCCTCACTTCATCTGATTCCATCAGAAACTCTGAGGATGGCTCTGGTAATCTACACCATTAACAAGCTCCCAAATGATTTGGGGGAAGACTAAAGTTGAGAGCTACGAAACTATCAAAATTCTGGTAGCTTTCTATCTAACTTTTCAAATACTAATAAAGATTATCTTCCTTTGGAAGCCAGTTAAATGTTTCAAACCAGATGAGGTCAAGGGTATCTTCTTTACTTATAATTTAGATCATTCTTACAATAATTGCATGCTCACATCTTCTACTATTAACAGAAATGCCTTCCTTGCCGTAATCCTCAGAACGCTCTATGTTTGAAGGCAGATGCCACCTTTTGATCTCTTTTATCTTCTCTATTAAATATGCTCTGATAACATCAGGTTCTTTGGATGGTAGATACTGTGTTAATATAGCAATGCTTTGTAAAAAATATTGTTTGATTTTAGAGTTGGTTCTTTGTATTCCTTGATAAATTTGCTTTCAGGTTCTTAGCTTAGAAGAGGGAGTAATAGAGGTCCTTCCTTTGGCAAAGATAACAGTAGTGGTCATAGTTGTCTTGATCATTAGACTCACTCCAAGTCCTAGACAGGTTCTGAATTTGGCACTGATATTGTCACTGAGCATGTGTCAGGGTATCTAGAGCTTCCCTGCCTACTCTTCCAACCTCAGCTCAGGCCCCTTTCTGTCTCCTGCACTATGCTCTAGTCCGGTAATTCTGCAAAGTGTGCTTCCTAGTTCGGTGACATCAGCATCACCTGGGAACTTACTAGAAATGCAAGTTATCTGCCTGACTCCAGAACTACTGAATCAGACACTTTGGTGGGTGGGGCTCAGCAATCTAGTTTAACAAGCCCTCCATGTGATTCCAATATATGTTTAAGTTAGAGCTCCATCTAGATCCTAGAATTTGGATTCATAAAGGCGTTTCCTAACCACTGTATGTAAATGCATTTCTCTGTCATCCACCCGCCTATCATTCCAGTCTTTATCATTGTGCCTCATTTATTTCCTTCATATTCTATCACAATTTGTAGTTACATAGTTATTTCTGTTGTACTTGAATTTTGTCTGTTTTTCTGACTAGATTGTAAGCTTTGTAATTGCTAAAACCATAACTATTTTATTCACCAATATATCCCCTAACATGTAGCACAGTGCGTAGCATGTGGTAGTTATTAAATAAATATTTAAACAAATGGATGAGTGAATGGTCTGTTAATATGAAGTGACTGAGGTTATGTTTCTTCTGATCTGCATTTTTTGTGTGTTTGCTTTTTTGTTATTGACATGGACAACTACATACTACCAGTTTCACAGCTAATTTGTAAGCAGTTTAAAAGAATAATTTACAAGCCACATACACATACACACACACACACACACACACAGAGTTCCCTGCAGTCAACTTGCTTTGCAGCTTTCAAATCCAATGGCAATGCCTTTACCACTATAGACATTTCCATTTCAGAAGAGACAGTGGTCAATTTACCTAACATGCACTTATTGAGAAATGAACATGTGGTATATCAGGGTCTGGCAACCAGAAATGGAATTTGCATGGTACTTCTTAAGTAAGACCTTTAACTCTATTGGCCAAGTAACTCCTATGTTCTGAGCTACTTTCATTGTTAAAATCAGGGAAGTCGTTGCATGGTTCTCTGCCTTTCTTTTCTTAGTGTTTCTCTCCCTCTCTCTCTCCCTCTTACTCACCCTAACTCCATGTCTAGTCCTCTGTTCAACACCTGGCTCAGTTGTACAGTTTCTGAATTTATTAACTCTTTGATGTCTTTCCCTTCTATTTAATAAATTTTCCTTCTGACTAGTGCTTCAAATCTTTTCTCAAGGGCTGGTGAAAATTAATTGCTGTATGTAGCTAAAAGAATGTTCATTTGGTATGGACTCTTTTACCTTCTGTCAACATCAACAACATGTCTGAGAGTTAGATCTAGGTTTGTGTGTTAGTCCATTTTCACACTGCTATGAAGAACTGCCCGAGACTGTGTAATCTGTAAAGAAAAAGGGCTTAATTGACTCACAGTTCTGCATGGCTGGGGAGGCCTCAGGGAACTTACAATCATGGTGGAAGGGGAAGCAGGCACATCTTACATGGTGGCAGGTGAGAGAAAGCATGTGCAAACAGGAAAAACTACCACTTATAAAACCACCAGATCTCCTGATAACTTACTTATGATCACAAGAGCAGCATGGGGGAAACCCACCCCCATAATCCAATTACTTCCCTCCTTTGACACATGGGGATTACAGGTCTCTCCCTCCACATGGGGAAATTACAATTCAAAATGAGATTTAGGTGGGGACACAGAGCCAAACCATATCAGTTTGAGACTCTGCTCAGTCCCTTCCTAGGTGAGAAACCTTGAGTTACAGTTTGCCCATCTGCAAATGGGCTACCTCCTGGTATGGCTATGAGGAATGAAGTGAGATCTGCAGAGTACCTGGCTTTTCTTCGGTGGTCAATAAATGGCACTCTCACTTGACTAATACTGAGTACAATTCCAGTTATCTTGGGAGAGACTAGGAAATCTGCAGAGAGAGGGAAATGCGTAAGAGAGGCCACATTAAAAATAAAATTTAAATCCTGGCAGACAGAAGGGAGATGATGATTGTGAATCTCTAGGGACCTAAATGTGAAACTGGTCTTATTTATTTATTTTTGTCCTCATACACTATTGAGAAAATTATCTGCTAATGGACTATGAGGAACGCAAGCTAGTACATGCCTTTTCCCCCACCTTCCTCAAGATTTTTATTAAGGAAATGAAAATATACTGCCTTTGTTTTATTTACCTATGTATCTACTTACCTTTAGAGATGGGAGTCTCACTATGTTGCCCACGCTAGACTGAAACTCCTAGGCTCAAGCCATCCTCATGCTTCAGCTTCCTAAGTAGTTGAGACTACAGGTATGTGCCACCATGTCCTGTTTACTTTTTAAAACTTTCCAAGCTAAAACACTGCAGGTGTATTATCTTCTCTGAAGATAATACAGGTGAAAAAATGTTTCCCCCCACCCCAGGCAAGAGAAAATACTAGAGTAGACAATAAATACAAAGGTACCACTGAAAAATGATTTTTTAAAAAAACATGGGTTCTGACTTAACTTTTCTAAGAAGTCATCCAGCAGTTTTTCTAGAGAGAAAAGTCAGATTCATACCTCTTTGGGAATTGTTTCTACTAGATATTTCAGCATTGTCAGGTGGATCCAGCTCCAATATATTTGTGGCAGGACATTTACATCTTTTGTATTTTGTCCAAGATTATACAACATGTGAGGTTTGTTGAAAGCATTTTCTTTTTTGTTAACAACCATCTGGCACACTTTTTTGTGACCTAATCTAAAACACAATTTTAAGTTTTTACCCTGCCAATCACAAAATAGACCAACATCCTCCCTGTCATTTGCATGATGTGGGAAATAAACAACGTTCAGCTGAGAAGACACAATCCAGAAAGATCAGCCAATATATTGCCAGTAGGTCCAGAAATACAATATACATAGTAATTAGCTGTGGCTGTATGAACCCTACAACGTTTGGCAGTTCCTCAATGTTTTGTAAATGGCTTTTTCCCTGGGAGTCTGTTCTCCCCTAATGTAGGGTTACTGCCCTTCTAGACACATTAAGTGGATTATTTTTCTACTCAAGTAAGAGGAGGTTATAAAAAATAATGTGCCATTTTTCCCTACAATGAATGCTGTTTTCTTTGTTAATTTCCAAGTTGAAATAAGAAGAGTGTTTCTTCTTAATAGGAGTCAAAATGTCTTATTGAACAGACTGGGGAGACCCAAGTCATCAGATTTAAGAACTAGTTCAAGATTTTTCTAATATGTAAAGAATACTGGCATCAGTATCATGTAATTTTGGGTGCTTGAATCTTAGATCGTTCTATGATGGTGCAGACAGAAATCCTTTATGTGTATTTAACATATATAACATACCATTTTAGATATATAGGTATAAGGGGTTAATGCTTCTCCATCTCCTGTCAAATTTGTCTCCTTTACATTGACATTTGGCACACTACTCCAATTTTTCTATCTGCCTCAGGGCTCAAGAATTAATGGTCAAGAAGAAAGTACACATATTTTGCAAAGACCAAAACTTTAAGTTCTCTGTCTTATTACTCCATATAGGAAAGAGAAAGATCTTGGGCTGTGGTGTCTGTGTTTGCAGGAAGTCATTAAATAAGCAATATGAGAATGGAAGTGAGCTTGGATGTATAAACCTCTTAACATTTGAAAAATTAATTTTAGGGTCTTGAATCCTCTGTCCTACTTAATAGTTTTCCAGGGAAATTATTTAGCTAATTAATCTCTTATATTTTTAAAAATGAAATGAAGAATATACTGTTTATCTTACATATGGAAATTTGACTCTGCATTTTAAATACAATTTCATGAATAGTAGCCAGTATATATGTTAAGTAGTCACCCAGGAGGTGTTATTTGCTTATGCTAATTACTTTTCAAAGTAAAAAAATGCTGTGAATACTTTGGAAATTTATTTTTGGCAATTAAAATATTTAAAATCACGTATTACAATTCTTTTATCCACGATAAAACCTTGTGAGAATTTATTAATAATTGCTTGATGGGAATGAAATTAACCTGTGTCAGTCTTATAAATAAAAATCTCCAATGTAACCAGCTTGTCTGTCTTCTTTTCTCCTCTTTAGACATAGACTTTCTTTTCTTTAGTACCCTTAACTCCGGAGAGGCTTGCAATTATCCATACATTACCTGCCATCTTGTACCATCTGGATAACTTGCTCATCTATTCCTATTATCTTCTCAGTGGTTAATACCTCACCTAGCTTTGGCAGAAATGCCTGATACCTCCTTGCCTCTCTCTAGATGCAGCCAGTAAGCAGCATCAAAACGTGGCATCACTTTTTGTAACTTTTACCTATGCTTTCAGTTAAACAATAGCAGGTTCTTAGTATTCTGAATTATCCTGTATTTTGCTTCTGTTTCCTTAGATTTGTACTTCTTGCCAGAATTATTAAAATAAATCTGTTAGGGTGTTGTTTTTGTTCGATTTTCCCATTATTTAAGGTTGAATTTAGAAGCTTGCTTCATCTATAATACCCTATAAGCTTTTAAACAGATGGAATGCATATCTGGTTTTTGAGCCATAGCAAATATTCCTCATGCTCCTTCAAAGATACACCCAGGAGAAAATCTAAAGAAGGTTCGTGTAGCATGGGAGTATTGAGATTTGCTGAATGAATTGCATTGTTGTGAAAAATTGAGATTTTTGCATTGTATTTTGATGATAATCTGTCCCTTTCTTGATTAACTCCAAAATGACTTATTCTCTCAGGGAAGTATGACTTTAGATGTATTACTTTCAGCAAGAAAATGTTCAGCTTTTCAAATGGCTTGAGTAAACTGTAACTAGATCACTGACATCTTAGTCTATGGTTATTACAAGGTTAGTTGGCAAACCAAGTTCCTGTGGGGAAAAAAGTTAATACAAACATTCTAACAAATGTAATTTCTCATTACAGCTATAAATATCCAGAGTCCAAGGTTACAGATTCACAGTTAAAGTAAATCTTTCAATTTGTGCGATAGATCATTGCCAGCTCTGGTAAACCAAATGATGCCTATATTCAGCTTTACAAGAACACGAACTCCACAGATTGGTCTCAAATTTCACTTTACTTTAAATAGTCTTTAGACCTTTTCTTTCTTCTCTCTAAACAAAGGGTTATGATTACTCCAGGATTTATGTTTTCAGTAGTGCTTGGGTTAACAGTTTCTTTGCTTAGAAGTTTACCCCTAAATGCTCTGAACCTAATAGCCAATGCTTTAATTATAATTTTAATCAAGGCCAAGTAAAAGAACTTTGGGCTTATGATTTACTTTTGTAACATACACTATCATATTCAGTATTTACAAGAATCCAATGAAATCTGTACTCTCCTGTTTTGCTGAGAAGGAGACTGAGGATCAAATAAATAGTAAGGAACTTGCAGGAGTCACCCAACTCTTAAGCTGCAAAGTTGGCGTTTGAGCCCCCGAGTCTGACTCCAGACTCGAGTCCCTAAACTCTGTGCTACAGAATTTTTTGCTGTCATCTGCTGGAGGATATCCATTCTTTAATCTATGGCAATACTCATAAATTCTCTCAGGAAAGCCACTGGAATTATGGCTTTTGTTTTTTGTTTTTAAAAAAGTCTATTCCCTGATTATGGTAATTGATCTTTCCTTTGAGGGCAAGTGCCAGGATAGAACTTAATCAATATTAAAGTCATATTTCATTCTAATTTCTGTAGTATCTCCTATCACATTAGATCTTAGGAAATACCAAGTTGATAAGTAAATGATACACTTGGCCCAGATGACTGACCTTCATTTTCTGTTGTCAATTATTTCTCCTCTTAACCGTCAACATTTCTTTTCTCTCCCTGATTGTCTCTCCTAATCTCCTTTATTTTTGTCTTCTTGAGACATTCACTGATCTTTTTCCTTTCTTCTTTTTCCTCATCCTCTATCATTGATCAGTAAAGACCCTCAAATCTCATTGTTTTCACACATTTCTAGTACAGTCATTCCTTGCCCCACTGGGTTTTAGTGGACTTCTGGGGTGTCCACATCATGTTAATGTTGTGGACGCAGGTAGTTGTCCTAGTGGATGCCGGATAGACATATGTGGATTAGGAGTTGCAGGAGGGGTCTGACAATGGGACTTTGTTGGCATTAAATGTTCAAGTCTATGCCTGGAAGCTGAGTTTACCCTCAATTTGCATCTCAAGTCTCGGCTGAGGAAGTGTGTTGAAACTGGGCAGCACGTGCAGGGTGGTTAGTCCAGTGGGCCGTTACAACCTAGCACTTGTCCAGGCAGCTTCCTTGAAAAGAATGTTTATAGAATTAATGTGCCTGTGTGTTACACACATATAAACTGACCTATGTTTTCAAAAGTTACATGGTGAGTGCTGGTTGAAAAGACTTGAGGAAAATTTTCTCAGATAGCTTTAAAATGAGGCATGTGCTGTCATTGGTAGAGCCTTCGTTTAGTATGCAACTGATACTTGAAATATGACTTTCTCTGTTAGTGGCTTTAACAGGTTCCAGTAATGGTTGTGTGATACTCTTCATTTTATTAGGGTTCAACAGTTCATCAAAGGGAAGAGAAATGTAGGGGCTCCTATTTGAAAAATTTATGTGTGTTTATTTACACATAAATATGTACATTTGGGTCAGGTGCAGTGGCTCACATTTGTAATCCCAACACTTTGGGAGCCCAAGGTGGGCAGATCATTTGAGGTCAGGAATTTGAGGCCAGCCTGGTCAACATGGTGAAACCCTGTCTCGACTAAAAATACAAAAAATTTAGCCAGGCCTGGTGGCACACACTTGTAATCCCAGCTATTTGGGAGGCCGAGATAGGAGGATCGCTTGAACTGTGGAGGCGGGGGTTGCAGTGAGCTGAGATCATGCCACTGCACTCCAGCTTGGGCAACAATAAATAAAAATAAATAAAATTTAAAAAATATAGTATGTACATTTGCATATCCTATTCCCATTGAATATTATCTAAACTTGCCTATATTTCTTAACTCAGAAGTTACATGCATCCTCCTTAACAAGTGGGTGAGCTAGATAAATCTCAGGGGATTAAAAAAGATTCAATTACTTATCTTTTGGGGTGAATTGATGAATAAGAAACTGTAATAGCAACCCTCTGGACCTACTAGGCATCTGTAATTGGTAGGCTTTTCCGACATTTTTTCCTTCACAGACTTAGCAACCGAAGCACAAGGTGGATTAAATAAATGACTAAATAAAAGAGAAACAGAAATATCATATCCTGGCTCCAGATCCATGATTGTCAGTAGTGTGTTACAGTGTTTTTACCAGTAACAGTTAGCATTGCCTTGATTATAAGCAAACAAAAGTAGATTCTATTTAGCTTAAGCAAAAAAAAAAAAAAAAAAAAAAAAAAATTATTGGCAGGCTTTGAGTAGTTCACTATATAGACTAAAGGATATAGGAGAATGAGACTTGAGAATTGACAGAAAGCAGAGTAGATTGGGGTTTATGCATAGCAAGTGCTACTGAACAGTCTTATAAGGACACCACGATTTAAAGAAATAATTTTCAGTTCTTTTCAGTCTTCTGTTTATTTTAGTCAAGATTCAGAATTTAGGGAGAAATATCTAATTGGCCTGAATTGGGAAATGTGCCCAATTTTGGCTACGACACATCTGAACTAAACAGTTGCCAACATTAGGGAAGAAGGTTTTGGGATACTATTACCAAAAATTCATGGAATGGTTGGGCTGCTGGAAACAACAAAAGTCAGGTGTATACCCCACCCCACCCCACACCACCCCCCACCATCCTTCTCTAGAATTTGGCTTCTCCACAAAATCTGACAACAACTTTCAAATGAAAGTCCATATTAAGATTGATCTTTACATGAAAATGATTAACTTGATCCACAAAACATACAGTGAAAGCAAACGATAAAGAAAGGAAGCTAATAAAGGAAATTGATTTCTCTGAAGTGCCGTGTGTCTCTTTCGCTTTCCTGCATATAGCAGGACAGAATTAGTGGCAGCATTGGCTCCAGTGGTCTGCCAGGCTAGCAGTAATAGGTTTCAGCCACGCCTTGTTTGATTGTATTTTGTCTGAAGAGAGGGATAAAACAGCTTTGAGTTTGCATGTAAGATTGCCTGGTTCTCAGGATCAGGAACTTCTTAGAGAAAAGCATTCTTAATGGAATAAAAGGAATTTAATTTATTGTTTTTAGTATTGTGCCCTGATAAACACTTTTATGTCCTTTATATTTGCCTTATGCACATAATCATTTAATAAGCAAGCATATGTCAACATTTATTCTTTTACCAAGCATGTTTTGAGTGGTGGAGCATATATAATATCAGCTTTTTAAAAGATGTTTAGCATAGTACCTGATACCTCCATATTATGTGCAGACATGCGGCTTTTATTATAATAATGATTACTACAAATATCTAATAATAATTGAGCAGTTATGTGCCAGGCTATACTCTATGAATTTTACATTTGTTATCTTAAGCCTCACCACTTAACATATAAGAAGTGGTTGATTATTGTTGCCATGATTCCAATGGGAAAATTGGAGCTTAGAAAGGAGATTGGTCATTTTTAGCTGCAGACAACAAAGAGTTGTCTAGCTGAGGGTTTCTCAAGCATAGCACAGTTGATGTCGTTGGGGGCTGCTGTGTACATTGCAGAATGCTTAGCACAATCCCTGCCCTCTACTCAGTAGATGCCTGTAGCACCCTCCTAGTTGTGATAGCCCAAAATGTCTCCCAACTTTGCTAGATGTTTGGTGGTATGCAGGATTTTTCTTGGTCTCTTTGCCAGTTGGGGACCTCTGGCTAGCGATGTAGGAGGCTTCTCTTGGGGCACTCTACCTGCCACAGGGGGCGCCCTGCCCAGTCAGCCCACCTGGGCCAAGTCTGGCTTGCACACTGGTTCCCAAGTTCTTGTCCTATTCCCAAGAAGAATGAGGATGCACTGAACATTGAAGGGTGAGGAGGTCAGAGAAGAATTTCATTGAGCATTGAAACAGCTTTCAGTGGAGAGGGGTCATGCGGGTGGTCCCCCTACCAGAAGGCGGGAAAGTCCCCCATGTATCTGGGTCTGGGACCTTTTATGGACTCAGAATGGGGAGTGCATGCTGAGTGGTGTGTGAGTAAGCAAAAAAGGTTAAAGTGAAGACACCACTCAAAGGTGGGCATGACAATTTAGAAAACCAATTAGGAAAGGGTAGCTATATGTTAAATAGGTGAAGGGTGGGTTCAGTCAGAGGAAAGTGTGCCAAATGGGAAGACAAATTCTCAGTCCAGTCCGAGGATTTAACTTGTAGCTAGGCTTTCAGGCTTTAAACTGTCTTTGGCTTGGAAGTGGGGTTCCACCTGGTACCTACCCCTATCCCATCTTCCTAGGCATTTGGCTGCCTCCTGTGGCCATCAGTGGGATGGGAGTGGAGGACAAAATCACCAGTTTGAGAACCAATTTTCTAGCTCATTTGAGAAGAAAAACAAAAATATATTATAGGATTTCTGCTGCTGCTGCAACCTGGACATCCTTCTTTTAATGATCGTTCAGAAACTGAATTCCTGTATTGCTTCCTACTCCTTCCTTGCCCTTGCTGAATGGGAACTTGGAAAAGTGAGGTCTTTCCTTCTGTCTTGGTGAGTTAGGACCCATAATACTGGAAACATCTCCAATACTGAGCTTGTATTATGGGCTGTGTAAAGCCTGGTCCCTGACTTTAAAAACTTACATTCAACAAATCCAAAGGCTATTCTTTCAGTGTTCCTATAAACCAAGCCCTGTTGCAGGGCTGGGAATTCAAAAGACAGGTGTGGTCCTAGTTCTTTTGAAGCCTATAGTCTCATTAGAATCAAATGTAAGAGCAGTGTAATACAAGTTCTATGGTGGAGAGAGGATCAAAGAGCTATCTGTAAAAGTCCTGTGAATGAGCATCTGACTAGGTTTATGGAAGCCTACCTAGAGGAAGTGACTTCAAACCTTATTTTGAAGAATGAAGGATTTTTCTCTAGGTCAGAAAGAGGGTCTTAGCTACTGTCACATCCCGAGACAACTGAGTAGTACATACTCAGTGACCTGAAATAATAGATTCTCTGTCTCTTTTTGGGTTTGTTTAAACTGCACATTTTTGTTTGTTTTTCTAGGTAATAAATAGCCTCGAAATTTTTGTTTAAAATCTGACATTTTGAACCTTCTCCATTGTTCTTGTTACTGGTGGAGTGTGTCCAGGTTCTTGGCATTTTGAACAAAGAATTAGACAAAACACACAAAGCAAGGAAAGAATGACGCAAAAAAAGTAGGGATTTTTTGAAAACGAAAGTATTCTCATTGGTTGTGGAAAGCAACCAATCAGAAGCTAAAGTGAATTTACAAAGTTGCACTTCTGTGCAAAGGCAGACTTGGCCCACAATCAGTCTGATTGGTTGTGGACAGCAACCAAGCAGATGTACTTTCAATTTCCTATCTGCCACGCAGAAAAGCTGGGGGTTTGCAAAGTTCTGTCCTTTTAGAGAATCCTAATACACGATCCCTTCACTCTATGAAGGATTGCTGAAAACACTGACAAGAGGCAGATGAATAGAAGAAAAGGCATACAAATTTATTTGATCATAATTTTACATGACATGGGAGCCTTCAGAATGATGACCCAAAGATACAGGGGAAATTGTCCAATTTTGTACTTGGGCTCAACAAAGTACAGAGAGCCATATAGAAATATGATTGGACAAAAAATGTGATCTAATCCTGGTAGACTGAGAAAACCCAGCAAGGTGTGTCTGCATTCATCTTTGCCTCTCAGCAGCATTCCTTGCTTCTGGGTATGGGGCAGGACGCTTTCTGGAATGGGGGTCTAATGACCTATAATTAAGCAAGGTAGGTCAGATAGTTTCTTCATGGCCAGTTATTATGCAGGAAGGTGGTAGGGATTAGAATAATATTTTTAGGTTTTGTGGCTGGCCTATGGGGAGAAAATTAGAGGCTAGAGAGAGGAGGGCTGGAGAAGGTCCAAGAGTCTTTTGTTTCTGAGGCCTTCATTTTGGGTATTATCTTTCTGAGCCCTGACAGCAGCGATGTGCACATCCATTCCTATTTGGTGTCCCTGGATAGTTCTCAGAAAAGGAGGTTAAGCACTGCATAGTTCAGGGTCTGTTGAAAGGAAATCCAAGCACCACCAGCTCCTAAGATAATTTTAACAACCAGTACTCTTGAAGCTGCATGAAGACAAACCTACTAATTGCTTTTTCCTTTGCCCAGCTCTGTTGTTAAAATTCTGCTTTCTCACACAGGTTATTTCAATGCTGCTTTTTCTGTCTTTGTCTATCCCGGGCTTTTACTTTTAAATGAAGTAAGTACCACTTGAACGCTTGGACTATTGGCTTCCATTATCTTCTCTGTAGACTAGAGTGTATTATTCATATGCTAAAGCAGAGAACCAGTCAAAACCTTTGTTTTGCACTATTGGTATCTCTGTGAAATAAGAATTTTGTTCTGGGCATGAGCATGACTGTACAAAGGTGGTCCTTGAAAGTAGGTAATTGTTCCAAGTGCTGGAATGAGAGTAGGTAAAGTCTGCCAAGACAGTGGGCTATTAAGGCATTCTTTTTATTTCAGTAAATGTGGATTGAGCATCTACTATGTACTGGGTACTGTTCTTGAAGCAATGACTATACAGTGACTGATATTCCCAATCCTCAAGAAACTAAAATTCTATTGTGTTTCATTTTTGGACTATTTTTAGTCCAAAATAGTCCAGATGAGTGCTAGTGCTACTTTATTACAGATGGTATTGTATTTCTAAACCAGGCTTTCTGCTCTGAAACTTAGATAATTTGCAAACAGGTGTCTGTCAGAAATCTGGTGCATGTTGTTGCAGTAATAGGTATTAAATGATTAGAGTGAATCACTTGTGAAAATGAAGGCTATTTTTTCCTATCTCAGTCAATATAGAAATAAGCAGTTTTTAGAATTAGTGTACTCTTTAAAGGACACTATCTGCCAGGTCTGAGAGGAGTTTTACCAAGGATTATAACTATACCTGGAGTTGATAATAATAAATTTCATGGCCCAAAAAGTTGGGAAAATTAGTGGGGGCCACAGTGGAATCCAACCAGACTGTTGATGTTGGAATTTACTTCATGGTTGGCTTCTCCCACCCACGTGCTCTTTGGAAAACTTGCTCCCTGTTTTGCAACTGACTGCATGTTATTCTTAGATTTAGAGAGGAAAAGAAAAACTGTGAGTGACAAGCCCAGATGTAGTTTACCTTGCTTATTAATACAATCTGATGTGAGTGTCTATGAGATTTTCTTTTTTTCTCTTTAAATCCTTCTTTAAGTAGAATGCAAGATGATAAAGATCAGGAGGTAGGAGGAGCTGGCAGGGATGGGGGAAACAATAGCCCCTTAATAAGACTCTTAGTAATCAAGCATGCATTTTGTGTCTGGAGTTAGGGCCATGGAAGTGACAGACTGACCATTTTAAAGGCTGCCATCATTACAGACTGGCATGTTTCTAATTACGCATGAAATGAAAGGCTTCAGAGAAGAAATGACCCAGAACACTCAACTGTTGAGGTATCTGATTAAGGCAAGTAGGGCTTGTAAGGACCAATCTGCAAGATTATGCTTGTCCAAATTGTTTTCAAGACTCATTTGAAATTTACTCTATTTCCTTTTATCTTTTCTGTCCAACTGCTTTTGTACCAGAATTTGGAATGTTCAAATTTGACTTATAGTCAGGGGTCCAGGAGGAAACAGATTGTATAATCAGATTTAATGGGAGGTATTTTAGTAATGGGATTACTTATAAGGTATAGATAGGGTTAAGGAAACTACATGGGGTGGGGAAGCACCGGGGACTAACAGTGGAGGGAAGCTGGCATCACCTCTAAACCTAGAAGGGATCATGTGTTATCAGAGCCACATAAGAGCTGACCTTATCCAAGGGGTCACAATGGGAGTTGTGGGGGTGGAGGGTTATAGAACCATGACAGTGAGTCAATACCCATCTTCTCTTCTCTCCTGGCCTCCATTCTGTTGCAGATAATTCTCACTGGCCGAACCTAACAGTAAGTCAGAGGATCAGTGAGTCTGGCAGGTACACAGGAAATAACTTCCCAGGATGCAGATCAGGAAGGAAAGAGAATGCATCTGGTGGAAAATGAGGAATAACCAGCACAGCTGTCTTTCATGAGCATGAAACCACTTTGGAGATCACATGTATATGGAGGTGAAACTTGGATTTCACTTCAAAGTACATAACTAAGGAATTCACTAAAAATCTTCTGAGCAATCACTACAAGCAAAGCAAAAATAACCTTTACAAATGCATAGATAATGTCTTTAGTCATGGATAGATCCTTTAAATCAGGTGCTACCAGGGGCTGCAGAATTGGGTGTCTCCAGGGGCAGGCCAGCCGTATCAATGATTAAATTGATCTAGGTGGTAGGTCTGTTTTGAACTGTTCTCTGTAAAGGCACCAATTTCTATGCAGCACTAAGGAATTTAAGCCTAACATTTTCAGGTTGTCTAATTTTTTTTTTTAACCAAAGAATTTGGATTAAGAAAAATAAAATGATCTCACTTTTAAATGTTGGCAGCTAATTCAATTTTGTTTTTTAGAGACTTTGAATTTAGACTAACAAAATCCTCTCACTGAGATTTCGCACTGAGATTTCACTTAGAGAGATTTCGTACTCCCTAAGTTCCTCAGTCTTTTCAGCTTCTCTAATGATCTAAGTGCAAATGGTGTGATCCTGCTTACCATGGGGAGACCAACTGTCTACCCCAGCACTTTCAGACACGTGTGAGTTTCTGTTGTGCTCTTCTGCCATCTCTTGCTCTGGATTCCTGCTTCTGTGTGCATGCCAGCACCTCTGCTCAGCTCTTCCCCTTGGTGACCAGCAGATGTTTCTTACATATCCCTACAAGCCCCAGTGCTCTACTAACCCAAGGTTGGTGTTTCTAACACCAACATTGTTAGAACATTCTTTTCCTGGAGGTATAGAGATAAGAGGGTAATTATAGGACAAAGCAGGAATCCATTTCCAGTGGAAAGTCTGATGCCACGAACTTGGCCACCCTCTTATATGGAGCTCCTCTTGGAGCTTTTTCCTCTGCAGGCCCCAGGCTGCTGCCAGGGTCCTCCATCCCGTGCTTCACATTACAGGGCTTCTTTCACCTCCTCTGTTCTCCATGTCTCCATGATGTGCTCTCCGCTTCCATTTCTTACCCTGCTATAGTATCTAGGGACAACTCCTGAATTCCTGTTCTACAGATTCCAACTCATGTCACATTCTGTTGCAACCTCTTCTGCTCTAGGCTTGGCTCTTAAGTAACTCAAAGACCAACTAAAGCAATCCTACCTAAAAGAGCACTTATTTCACTATCCAGAGTACTGCCATCCCCATAGAGCACCCGGCTTAGTCATTGCTAACTTACATAATGCACCTCTTGTGTCCTCTTCCTGTAATAGAACTGACTGCCTCAGACTAGTTCCTGGAGGCTGGGAGCAAGAGGATACTCTGAATTCAGAAGCAGGGTTTACTTAAAAGAAATCTCATCCTCTGTAAAGTTTGGTAATAGGTGGCACTATGGACAGCTAGCCTAACTCAGCCACAGAAAACCTTTTCTTTTTGAAGGCATGATTTTTTAAAAAATTATGTATCATAGCTAATGAGATAGGGACTAGTTTCAAGGCTAAAAGGTGATTATAATCACCCACACAGCTGTTGAAAATGGTGTCCTACTTTGTATTTTTGTTTATTATAGTCTAGAGGGAAGTAAATTACCACCTCATTGTCAGCCAATAATCATTTTCCTAGAAAAAGTAATTTATCCTCTGAAAGAGAATATTCACCTGCTCACCTTTCTGATTGCTTCATTGTGTATGTGATTGTTAAACTGCCTACCGACCACGAAATAGGTGTTTCTATACTCCAGATCCAAGACAAAAGCAGTCCAAAATAGAGTGTGAGTCAGAAGACTTGAGATCAGATTGCAGTCCGCTTCCCAAGTCCTCCCATGGCAGTCATTATGGGAGACAGCAAATGTCACAGGCATTGATATTCTCAGCATCTATTCCTTTGTGCTCATCTTTTGGGAGAATGAGTCTTCACACACTGTGAGAAGATACTACTTCTTCTATCCTGAGGGTTAAGAAAGGGAGAAAATGGGATATTTCTTTTAGAACTATGAAGGACAAAATCCCAGTGCAAAAAGAAAATGAGAGAACTTCTGCAGAAAAACCCTTGAAGTTAATAAAGCAGATATGATGATAAGAGGAAACTTTTTATAGGTTATAAATACCTTCAGATGTACTTTAAGCCACTTATTTAGTTCTTGGCCAGCAAATTATTGTTACAGTGACCAAAAAGCTGATAGAAAGCACATTTTATTCTAAAAGAGACTGATTATCTGGCCCAAAAATAGGTTATGTTAGCATCTTTCAAAAAAGTCTATTAATCACAGTACTTGCTTTTCAATATATAATAAAATTTCATTCTTATGTATAGACTTTCCACCTTTTATTCCTTATTTTTAAGATTACATGTGTATATGCATACATAAATTTTTTTTATTATTTTTAAAACATTTTCTTGTAACACATCCAGAGTTTGTCAGTTTTTCCCAAAACATAGATTTTTTTTCCACCTATGTGGTATATATATTATTTTCTTAACTCCTATGAAATCAAATAGATTCCTTCCAGGTACCTTATTCCTTCCACAAAATTTGGATTATTGGGTAATATGGTAACATTAATATTTTCTAACATATTAAGTGTGTAATTTACTAAGTATCACCCTAGATTTCAGACAAACATTACAATTCTGCAAAACTGATGAATACAGATTATAAAGTATTCATACTGCTTTAACAGAACAGGCTTATAACTGATTGTGGAGGGTGGGTGTGGCATTAATACCTATGTGACTGACCCTGTGTATTTGTTAAATTTCCAATCAATGTTAATAAACTGTCACACTTGATAGGCAGGATCAGATTTGCCCTTTTTGGGTTACACACACGATTATTACTTTCTCATCTAGTTAGTTTCTTGCTGGCTGAAATTTTTCTTAGAGCATGGACACTGGCATTGTCCTTTATGAGTCTTTTATTTCCTCTCCCTTTCTAGCATTATACCTCAAAGATTTTCAGGAGAGAAGTTGCAGAAACTCTTGCTTAAAATAAAAGTAGGTATTATTTTCAGGTTTCCGATAACCACAGCTTCCCATTCCTCATAGCTACAGGAGAAAGAGAGTTAATGTACTGCCAGATCTATAGTAGAGACTTTGAAAAATAGTGATGCAGGGTTTTTTGCTCCTTAGTTCAGCTAGGTCCGAGTTCTTGTCTCACAACCAGGAGGAATTAGGCTCGTGGACACTGGAGAGTTAGTAGAGTAGAATTCATTAAGTGAAAAGAAAGCTCTCAGCAAAGAGGGGATGTGGGGAGCGGTTCCCCTACCCGAAAGTGGGAAAATTCTCTAATATGGCTGAGGCTGTGGCTTTTATGGGCTCAGTAAAGGGAGTGTGTGCTGATTGGTCTGTGAGTATGCAAAAAAGGTTAAAGCAAAGACGCTACTCAAAGGTGGGCGTGGCAGTGTAGACAACTAATTAGGAAAGGGTAGGTATATGTAAAATAGGTGAAAGGTGAGGATCAATCAGAGGAAAGTGTGCCAAACAGGAAGACAAGTTCTCAATCCAGTCCAAGCATTTAACCTGTAGCTTGGTTTTCAGGCTTTAAACTGTTTTCAGCTTGGAAGTGGGGTTGCACTGGGGACCTGCCTTTATATGCCTAGGCATTTGGCCGCCTCCTGTCGCTATCAGTAGGCTGATGTGGCACCATAAAAATGGGCCACTGAGGTCTCTTGTTGTGGGAGCATAACTGGCTGAAGAACTCAGCTACTGCTATCCTTGATCCACTGCTGTCTCATGGCAAGTCCAAACTTCCTATAGTCAGTGAATGAGCTGTTAGCATAGACTCCTTCCTTTTACATGTGAGACTTTCTCACTGGAACATGGGCTCAAGGACTCCTAGTTGGCCTGCCAGACCTCTCTTGGAAGTACCCTGGAGCCTAAGACTCCTTCTTCCCAAACCTCCTATCTCTTCCTCTGCTTCACAAGCATTAGCATCATGGTCTGGAAGTTCTTCCTTCCTACCCTGCTTTCCTCCCCCAGTAATCTCCTAGGTGTCTAATGCTGACTTTGTGTCTTTTGGTCAAAGAACCTGAGCTAATGCAAAGGGCAAGCTGAGCTCTGCTTCTAAATTAATTTAAAAGTTACCCTTCTTTTCTACAGTTGCAGTTTATTCTTTGAAAACTTTTGAGTAGAGAGAATACTACCTTCACAGTGAAGAATTTGCTTATCTGTATAATACATTTTCTATGTAGTTTACATCAGTGGCTACAGCCCAGGTAGAGAAAATGCTTGATTGCCTGGTGCATTCCTATATGTGATTTTGTGGACAATGAAAAGCAAAGAAGTAACAGTAATAATAAAGCCCCTTCCCACATCCTCCCAAATTAAACTTAGATATGAGGAGGATAAAGTTTCCTTTTTATAGTGATTCTTTAAATGTTCTGGGGAAAAAGCAAAAAAAAATTCTTTATATGTATCCTTGAATTTAAACTTTCTATTTTTTCATTTTGAAATAAGTTATTGAGATGTAATTCACATAATAGAAAATTAATCATTTTAAGTGAACAATTCTGTTAGATTTAGTACACTGATAATGTTGTGCAGCTACCACCTTTATATAGTTCCAAAACATTCCCAAAGTAAAACCTCTTACCTATTAAGCAGTTTCTCCTCATTCTCCCATCCACTCCAGCCCATGATAAGCATTAATCTGTGTTCTATCTCCATGGGTTTATCTATTTTAGGTATTTCATATAAATGGAATCGTACAATATATTAACTTTTTGTGTCTGGTTTCTTTCACTTAGCCACTATGATTTAATCTTCTGTTCATTTCCCAATCAAAAATGGCCTTGGCAATAATGTTTGTTTCACCCTGCACAGAAGTGGTTTTGTTTTTCATCGCTGTCTCATTCTGAAGCACAAGAAAGATTTTCCTTTTTGTCACTCGCTCATAAACTTATCAGAAAACAAGGGGATTTACTCCTTCCCCTAACGTTATATAGCTGTTTTCTCTAGATCCCTATATGTGAGTGACGGAGAACATACACAGAGTGTGCATCAACTATATAAAGCTGCAGTAGCTATCAAAACATAATCCGTTCTTTATTTTTTGAGGGAGTAAATGGAAGTTTCAAATTCTAGGAGACTTACCCAAATATCAACAAGAGGGCCAGACAGTAGGCACCAGAGGTAGACTGAACTGGCGAGTGACAATACCTGTCACATGGGGGTAGTTCTGGGTAGCAAGTGCGGTATCAGCCCCAGCTAGTGTGGTGCCTGGTAGGTAGAAGGCTTGGTGTGTTAGCTGTTGGTGTGGTGATCTGTGATGTGGTGTTTGTAGCCATTGTTGTGGAGTTGACATTATTTACCACCACCGGACAGGTACCTCTGTAGTCTGTGTCTTTTTAAGGATGGAATCTAAGCACTAATCACCTTCCAAGAAAAAGTTAATAACCCTGTCCAAGCTGGAAAAATGGCAATTGATAATTGCAAAATTCTATTGTAAATGAATGTCAAATCAGAATTCTGGTATCCATTTCTTTGGTGATGCCAAGCAAATGAAACCCTGCCACTTGTCCTGCATTCAAACTGAAATTGGAATTTGATCTTGGGAATTACTTTCTTGTCTAGTATTTGACTGATCAAATGTAACTCCTTCCCTTTTAGGCCCCTTTCTTTCTTCCTTTTAAAAACCTTTCTCTATTCATGAAGCACAAATTAGCCTTTGGAAGACTCTCTATCTAGCTCATAAACTCGTTACCTTCTTCCTCAGAGGCATGACTCATTCGCTTTTGTCTCTCGACTTCTTAGATTATTCCCTTTCCTTACATCTCACTTTTCTTTTACTGTGGAAAGGAATATAGTAAATGATTAAGAGTGAAGGCTATGGATTCCACTTTTTAATTCATACCGCCTAAAAGCTGGGTGCCTTTGAACAAGGATTTTAAACTTTCTAATCCTCAGTGTCTGCATCTATAAAATGGGGAGATAATCATGGCTTAATGAGACAGTCCATATAAAATGCTCAGGACAGCTCCTAGAACATAGAAAGTGTCCAGGCAGTGGTATCTAAAAACAATGATCATGATGATATGGCTTATCTGTGTTCCTCATCCCCTTGCCTTGCAGAAATTATCAGCTTCACAAAGCACCACCAGCTGTCAAATCTGCATCTAGCCTGACCTTTCTACTCAATTCTATTTCTGCCGTTTCAACTACTTCTGAATAGTCCCACTGCAGTCCTCTGCTTTCATCTTAAATGTGACTTCTCCAAAAGCCACATTCTTTTTGACCTTTGTCCATGTTATTTTATTGTATCATCTAGCTTCAGATTCATGCAGTGATCTTTAAATACTTCTGTATAGCTCTTTTCCCCACATTTCTGCAGTTACCAAGTCCTATATAGTCTTCCTTCACAACTTCTTTGTCATGTATTTACTTCTATTTTTATGGCCACGGCTGCAGATGAACTCTCAGCCACTATCCTTCTGGACTTAATGCAGTTTTTTAAGTGATGATGATAGTGGTAACAGTGGTAGTGATGCTGACAGCAGCACAGTTAATGTTCGTGGAGACCTTACTTTGTGCCAGGAACTATTCTAAACATATATAATATGTATCAACTCACTTAATTCTCACAGCAGACCTTTAATGTAGGTACTAGTATTTCCTCCATTGGAGATGAAAAAACTGAGGCTCAGAGATAATAAGTAACCTTCAGAAGACCATGGTGCATATACTCAGTTCAGGATGTGAACCCAGGCAGGTACCTGTGTCCTTAACCATGGCTCTCCACTGCCGCTTCATCCTTTCCCCTTCTGTGCCAAAGCATTCTTCCTGCTTTCAGTCCTCTTGATTTTGGGCATGTTCAGTCCTTTTGATTTTGGGCATGTTGCTCCCAGATTAACATAACATTTGTAGGTACTGTTTTTTGATTTAAAGAATGGAAAGTAAGGAGAGGCAGGGCATGCTGCCTAAGCTTTAAGTGGGCATTTAGCTTACCTGAAATTGCATAGAGAGTGGGTTGATCTGTTTCTCAATAGAAAGTTAAGAACTGTAATTTAGAGAATGTCTCAGAAACTCCTTGGATTAGCCCTCAAGGCTCTCCTCAGTCTCTCTTCAATGAATTTTCTGAAGTTTTTCACCTGCTATTCCCATTCCTACACCTCTGACCCAGTCAAACCAGTACATTCAGTGTTTTACTCTATCTTACACATCCTTCCCCCATACCCTGACCCTCACCCCTGAGGCTTTGCTTACACCATAAGCCTATCCTGAGAGACTCTTCTTTTCCCCTCCTACTCATTTTCTTTCCCGTCCATTCTCCAGAGTTTGCTCTTGGTCCAGCTTTCTTTAGACATCTTCCTGGATCAATCCAAGCTGGGAACAAAAGAACTCTCTTGCAGTTATTACTGAACGCAGAGCAGGGTGGCAAATGCAGAGGCCCACAGGAGCCAGACAGAGAACTTACTGGAGTGAAGAGAATCCAAGCCTGGCATAGGTGGCATTATTATTTAGTACCATGCAATCGTTGCCATGTGGGGATAAGAGTTCATGGTTGCCAGAGGCCTCATTTTTTCCATGAGGTAATGGAAATCCAGATATTTAGATGTAAGATCTTGAATTTTTAAAGTTGACAATTTATTTAAATAAAAAAAACGTAGGAAGAAATAAAATATGATGGAGAGCAGCCACCAGTTTTGACTTCTGCTATGGAGTGTGTTGTCCACATTCTTCAATGGAAGGACTCCACAGTGTGTGAGGAAGGATCTTTTATTTGGTCAGCTTTTCCTAAGCCACTTAGAAAAAATTGGTCCTCACTTATTTCCTTTGTAGAAGTGTATATATGTAAAAATTACATGCAAATTTATATATAATTATATACATAAGTTATATGTAAAATTATATATTATATATGTAACATTATAAATAATTTTACAAAAATATATATATTTTTTCAATTAGTGCACAAAGTTTGAGGATAGTACAAGAGGACTTCAAAAAGTTTGTGGAAAATAGAATTGAAAGATAAATTTTTTCTCAAAAAAAATCTTTATTTCCTCAACATAAACTCCATGAAGTTTAAGATGCTTTTGTAAGCAATAATACCAGCCATTTAGTCCATCCCTAAAGAATTGGGGGTCAATGCAATCTTGATTACATTATTAACTGAAGAAAAATGAGTGCCCTTTACAGACTTTTTAAAATTAGGAAATGAAAAAAGTCAGAAGGGGCCAAATCGGGACTGTAAAGTGGATATCTAATGATTTTCCATCAAAACTCTCACAAAATTGTCCTCATTTAATGAGAAGAATGAACAGGAGCATTGTCATGGTGGAGAGGTGCTTTCTGATGAAGCTTCCCTAGCTGTTTCTCCGCTAAAGCTTCAGCCACCTTTCCCGAAAGACTCTCATAATAAGATGTTATCATTCTTTGGCCCTCCAGAAAGTCAACAAGCAAAATGTCTTGAGCATACCAAAAAACTGTTTCCATGACTTTTACTTGTGACCAGTCCACCTTTGGTTTTACTGGGCCCCACCCATTTCCACCTCTTGGTAGCCACTGCTATAATTATGCTTTATCTTCAGGATCATGCGGGTAAAACCAGGTTCCATCTCCTGTTATAATTCTTCTGAGGAATGCTTCAGGACATTAATCTCACTTGGTTAAAATTTCAGTAGAAAGCTCTTGTCTGCAGCTGATCTGTGTGCAACAGTTTTGGCACCCACTGAGTGGAAAGTATGTTCAGCTTTAGTTTTTCAGTCAGAATGGTGCAAGATGAACCAGTTGAGATGTCTACGATGTTGCCTGTTTCTGCTGTTAATCATCAGTCCTTCTTCCTCTTCAGTTAAAGCATGAACAAGGTGAATTTTTTCCTTGGAAATTGATGTTGATGGTCTGCCACTGTAGGCTTCATATTCGACATGGTGTCATTTATTCTTATAATGAATTATCCATTTGTAAATTGCTGGTTTATTTTGGGCATTGCCCCCATAAGCTTCTTGTAAAGCATCAGCGACTTTACCATTCTTCCATCCAAGCTTCGCCATAAATTTGATGCATGTTCTTGCCTCAACATTAGCAGAATTCATGTTATTCATGTTGCTCTGATACGGGATCTTTTCAAACTGATGTCTTAATCTTCTTAGTGCCTCAAACTAGATCCTACTCAGACATGTTACAACAAGTTAGTATGAATTTATTTTGATGGAAGAAAAGTTTGAAATCTATGCATAGGATTTTGGAACATATATTTTGATGAACTTATTGAAGCCTCTGCATAATGTGATAAATATTAAGTAATCTCTGTATTGAGTTGATCATAAATGATATCTTGTTTCAGCACCACCTTTTTGTCCCAAAGAGTAATCAGAATTAAAAAAAGAAAAAAAGAAGAAAGAAACATTAAGGAAAGGCACCAGCCAAGAGTTAATTAGCATTTGGCTCAAGACACATTTTAATACATATAATAATGCATTATCAGGCAGCCCCTCAATATCCAGATTTTTATGAATACAGTCATCCATCGCTTGATGAAGGGGATATATTGTGCTAAGTGTGTCCTTAGGTGATTTCATCATTGTATGAACATCATAGTTACTTACACAAATCTAGATGGGTGTAACCTACTGCACATGTAGGCTATACATACCTGCACAGCATGTTATTGTACTGAATATTATATGCAGCTGTAACACAATGGTAAGTATTTGTGTATCTAAACGTAGAAAAGGTACAGTTAAAATACAGTATAAGAAGTAAAAAATGGTAGACCTGTACAGGGCACTTACCATGGATGGAGCTTAGACTGGAAGTTGCTCAGGATGAGTCAGTACATAAGTGATGAGTGCATGTGAAGGGCTAAGATATTACTGTATGCCTCTGTAGACTTTATAAACATGATACACTTAGGCTATGCTAAATTTGTTTAAAAACATTGATGAAGAAGGAGGATTGCTTGAGGCTGGGAGCTTAAGACCAGCCTGGGCTTGCAGGGCAAGACCTTGTCTCTAAAAAAGAAAATAAATAAACAAAAATAAATTTTAAACATATTTTTCTTTCTTCAATAATCTCAGCTTATTATAGCTTGTTCTTTTTTGTTTTTGTTTGTTTGTTTGTTTGTTTTTTGTTTTGTTTTGTCAGACGGTCTCACTCTGTCGCCCAGGCTGGAGTGCAGTGGTGTGATCTCAGCTCACTGCAACCTCTTCCTCCTGGGTTCAAGCAATTCTCGTCCTTCAGCCTCATGAGAAGCTGGGACCACAGGCATGTCCCACCACACCTGGCTAATTTTTATATTTGTAGTACACACATACACACAAGGTTTCACCATGTTGGCCAGGCTGGTCTCAAACTCCTGGCCTCAAGTGATCCTCCCGATTCAGCCTCCCAAATTGCTGGGATTACAGGCATGAGCCACTGTGCCCAGCTTATTGTAGCTTTTTTACTTTATAAACTTAAATTTTTTTTTTAGCTTTCTGACACTCTTGTAATAACATTTAGCTTAAAACACATTGTACAGCTATGTACAAATATTTTCTATCTTTATATCTTTAGTGTATTTTTTTATTTTTAAATATTAGATTTTGTTTTTTTTCTTTTTAAAGTTTTTTGTTATAGACTAAGACACAAACACACACATTAGCCTAGGCGTGCGCCAGGTCAGGATCATCAATATCACTGTCTTCCACCTCCACATCTTGTCCCACTGGAAGGTCTTTAGGGACAGTAACAGGCATGGAACTGTCATCTTCTGTGATAACAACGCCTTCTTCTGGAGCAACTCCTGAAGGACTTGCCTGAGGCCGTTTTACATTTTTATTTCTCTTTTATAAATAGAAGAAGTAGACTCTAAAATAATCGTTAAAAGTACCTTGTAATAAATACTAGAGGGTACGGGTTTTTTTTTTTTTTTTTTTTTTTTTTTTTTTTAGCTCCATTACAATCTTAAGGGACCACTGTCATCTATGTAATCTGTCATTATTGAAATGTTATACAGTACATGACTATTGTTAGAGTTCTCTAGGGAAAATTGGACTAAAAATTTTTCATCTTTTTAATATTAAAAATCCAAATTTGAAATCAAGCTTTAAAAATTGTTATCCATATACTGATACCCATATATTGTTACTCAGATAAACAAATTATTTTCATTTGACAAATTTAAAACAAGTGAATAAAATTTGAGGTTGATAGCTTGCAATTACATTGATTTTCATTTTCTTTCTTTGGTATTATTCAAAGTGACAATGCTTAGATAAATGTCACTTCATCAACAACAGTTTTGCAACAGAGAGATTGCAGCAGAGAGATATATGGAAGGAATGTGTGAAAAGCGTTTTCAGAGGAGCAGATGAAAGGCTTTGCAAACTATTGGGGTGGTCAGCCGTCACACTTGCCTCTAAGTCCCCATGAACTTGTGTAGTGCTTGACTTCAGTAAGAGGGAAAAATGTGGAGGTGGACAGTGGTTTATATATGATGCAGGAAAGATACAAGGAGATGACAGTTAGTCAAACACAAAATGTTCTGACAGGTGTATAGTAGACTCAAGAATAAATAATAAAATGACAGTGATTAAAATGTGTTTACTTAAGTGAACAATGGCTTGAAATATGGCTACACGGTAAAGACCTCATTATCGACCATACTTGGCACATAAATATAACACTTATGTTGAGGGGTAATTAATTTGCTCTTACAGGTGAAGTGATGGGTCACTTGTGGCCCAGCCTCACTTCTTTGCACTGGACAAGTTAAATCCTGAAACAGACATTCTCTGATAGCATTTAAAAATCTTCCAAGCCAGACACTCATTTTAGAAGCTGTTAGGTAGTTGTAATTTGGAGTGTATAAGCAGAAAGCCTACGTGTGAGGACAGATGACAGAGTGAGGAACTGTAGACAGAATGTGCCCTTGGGTGTTACTGAAGCAAGATGCCTTACTGCACATTTTCTATCTTCTATTTCTGAAAGTTAGTGTTCAAAGGCACCGTTACCTAAAACTTGCCATAAATATCATGCAGGGTAGTAAGCCTCACACTTCAGCATGCATCAGAATTACCTGGAGGGCTTATGAAATCACAGGCAGGTAGGCCCTTGCTCCAGAGTTTCTAACATAACAAGTCTGGGATAAAGCCTGAGAATACACATTTCTAAGACACTCCCAAGTGGTGCAGAGGGACCATATTTTGTGAACCACTTATATGGAAAACCAATCAGGGAATGCAAATGCATTGCTAAATTGAGTGCCTTTAATAAGGAAGATGCCATTCCAGTACATTAGCAACTAGGGTAATTCTCAGGAACTTACAGCCAGACGACACCAGGATGACTAAAAGTAGGCAGGGTGGTGCTGGAGGGACAGACAGGCTGTGTGTTCTAAGAATGTGGGCTCTAGGAATGGATGTCTGAGTAGCAACCTGCCTTCTCCACTGTGCTAACTTTACGAGCCCTCTGTACCACAGCCTCCTTGTCTGTTAGATACAGATGACAGTAGTCCCTAGCCCTGGAGTTGTTGAGGCAATTCCATGAGATGCTGCATGGAAACTTGGAACACAAGAGCTGGCATGTGCAGAGAGCTGTGTGATTACTTGAAGACATCAGTAACACACAAAGAGGAAAGTAAGTAGCAATGTATGAATGCATATATATGTGAGAGATTTGAAAATATTTTCTGTCTTCTCAGATCTGGATATCAGGTTTAGGTCTTGTGTGGTGGTTTCGTTTTGTTTGGAGATTGGGTCTCTATCACCCAGGCTGGAGTGTAGTGGCATGATCGCTGCTCATTGCAACCTCCACCTCCTGGGCTTATGATCCTGTCACCTCAGTCTCCTGAGTAGCTGGGTCTACAGGCATGTGACCACCAGGCCCTGCTAATTGTTGTATTTTTTCTGTAGAGATGGGGTTTTTCCATGTTGCCCAGACAGGTCTCGTACTCCTGGACTCAAGCAGTCTGCCTGCCTCAGCTTCCCAAAGTGCTGGGATTATGGGCATGAGCCACCATGCCTGGCTAGGGTTTGTTAACTCAAGAGACGTGCCTTGTGCAGAAGGCTATCTGAAGTACATTTGAGGTGAGTTATTCATCATATCAATACCATTTGTGTGCTTATTTAGGGGGTTAATTTTATCTCAGATGTGGTTAGAAATTGTCTTAGTCCATTTGTGTGCTGTAAAAGAATACCTGAGACTAGGTAATTTATAAGAAAGGGGTTTATTCGGCTCATTGTTCTGCAAGCTGTACAAGAAGCATAGCAACAATATCTGCTTCTGGTAGGGCCTCAGGAAGCTTCTGCTCATGGCAGGAGGGGAAGGAGAACTGGTATGTGCAGATCACATGGCAAGACAGAGAAGGGTGGGAGGTGTCAGGCTCCTTTTAACCACCAGTTCTGAAGGAACTAAGAGGGAGGGCTCACTCCTTTGAGAATAGCACCAAACCATCTCTGTGGGATCCGCCCCTGGGACCCAAACACCTGTCATCGAGCCTTAACTCCAACATTAGGGATCAGATTTCAACATGAGACTCAGCAAGGCCAAACAAACCATAAGCAAACTATAGCCAAAATATTTCAGATGTGATTGTGGAAGATAAGTATGGTGTGTTTGAGGGTATAGTCGCTTCAAAGGCCTGTGGTGACAATAATGGTGTGAGAGGGACAGAGAGAGAAGTCAAGAGAGTGGAGAAACAGACAGACTGAGACATAGGGTTGGAGAAGAAGGGGTAGAGCAGAGGCAGAAAGGTGAGGGGGGAGAGAATTGGGAATTCAGGATGATGATTATTGTTTCCAAATGCTTTTGACTTGTGTTAAATCCAGCCATTCTTAGAATTCGAGTAATCCCACCTGTACATGTCCACTTAGACCGCAACCACCAAGGAGCCTGTTAGATGCTAGGCACTGTCCTCTCACATTTATTTTGATCAGTTCGGGAAGTTTTAAGTGTCCATTCCTTAGGAAGTATAATAGAAACAGAGGTGAACAAAGCATGGTCCCTGCCTGCAGGGAGAATGCAGATTAGTGTGGGAGACATTAAAGAATAAGTTGGCTGGGCACGGTGGCTCACACCTGTAATCCCAGCACTTTGGGAGGCCAAGGTGGGTGGATCACTTGAGGTCGGGAGTTCCAGACCAGCCTAGCTGACATTGTGAAACCCTGTCTCTAACTAAAAATACAAAAAAATTAGCTAGGTGTGGTGGCAGGCACCTGTAATCCCAGCTACTCAGGAGGCTGAGGCAGGAGAATCGCTTGAACCTGGGAAGTAGAGGTTGCAGTGAGCTGAGATAGCGCTGTTGCACTCCAAAAAAAAAAAAGAATAAATAGAATTTCCTTAGGCAAAGGCAGAGAAAGAGAAATATTACCAAGTGGGGACTTTCAAGAGCAGACCAGATTAGAATCCCAGCTTTAACCCTAACAGGCTATGGAATTGTGGACCACCAGTTGCTTGTCCACTCTGAGCCCTCATTGTGTTTACGCTATAGTGGACATAGTTCTGTTTAAAGGTCAGTTGATGCATGTAAAGTGGTCAGCACCTACCACATATCGTCTGGAACGCACACACAGTAGGCCCTTCACAAATGAGAGTGTAGGTTGGTTTCTTTGTTAGGTACTGCTCTTTTGCAGGTAGAGTACTGAGATTAGACTAGTGATTTTGACCCATGTGTGCTATGATTATAGTAGTGTATACAACAGAAGAAATTGTTTAGAGAAGAGGCAAGAAGTGGAGTGTGAGGTCATGCCAGCATGAAGAAAGATTGCTGTTTACCAGAAGATGCTCAAACCTTGTCCTCTGGGTATATATGAGAGCAGTCAGGGTAGTCAGCGGTTTCTATTGAAACAATGACAAGAGTACAGGAAGAGGAACAAGTGGATGGTGCAATAACCATGGATGTTTTTATAGATATTGTGAGGTGAAGCTGCACTTCGATAGTCATTGCCTTGTCATTATTGTTGAATTGTTTCATGTTGTTCTAAGTCCTTGAATCCCTCAAATGTGCTGCCGGAAAGGTAATTCCTCAAAAAATGTGCAGCTCACAGATGGTGGTTGCGGCTCATAGGATCTCTGGCTTAAGACCCTCGCTGTACAGTGGTAGTCAGTGGGTGGGAGGAGGGGTGACAAGAAGGCAGGGAAGGAGAGAGTCTTCCAGAGGCAGAAGAGACCAGTGAGTAGCGTCTATGGAACCACACTGCCGGGGCTCAAATCTTGAAATCTTGGTTCTGCCACATGGTTGCTCTGCAGCTCTGGCCAAGTTACTTACTTGCCTTATGCTTCAATTTCCTCTAATGTAACCCATGGATCAGTTACCCTGGGTATGGCACTCAGAAGCACCTGCTACATAGTCAGCTCTAAAGAGTTCGTTATTTCTATTATTTCACCTAGGAAAGATATTCCCAACTTTTGACATCGATTCCCCAGGGTAGGGTTAATCTCTTAGAGTAATACTCTAAAATCTTATATGGACCAGGCACAGTGGCTCACATATGTCATTCCAGCATTTGGGGAGGCTGAGGCAGGAGGATCCATTGAGTTCAGGAGTTCAAGACCAGTCTAGGCAATGTAGTAAGACACCATCTCTACCAGAAAAAAAAATTCACTGGGTATGGCGGTGCATGCCTTTATTCCCAGCTACTCAGGTAGATGAGGCAGGAGGATCCTTTGAGCCTGGGAGATCAAGGCTGCAGTAGGCCATGATCGTGCAACTGCACTCTAGACTGGATGACAAAGTGAGATCCTGTTTCAGTTACAAAAATTGTATTATATAAATATTTAACTCAGAATTATAGTATACATACTCTAAGGATAACTAACTTATATAAAATGATTTATAAGATTGTTCAAAGTTGCTATTTCCTTTTTCTTAATTATTTTATTCAGCACCTTTATGTCTAGTTTGTAGTAATAAGTACTATAAAACTAAGTTTTCACAAAGGCTGCTTTTGATTTCCTGCACCTGATGTATATTTGTACACTTAACAGTTGTATACACAAAGCCATGTATACTGCATTTTGTGGGTGATTTAAGGCATTTTTAAAAGTTATTGAGTACTTGAGAGCTTAATCCACAGTGGATGCTTCTCCACCATAGCCCATTAGCTGGTGGTCATAACATTTACTGCTGCCTTGTATTTTTTAATCTGCTGGAATAGACATTATTATTTCCATTGCATCTTAAGTTGTTGAATCAAGTAGAATTCAGAGTGGGACACCAGGAATGGGAGAGGTTATGGTTATATAGCAAATGCTATATTGTATGCATTTTTTTCCTCTTAATTGTTTAACAAAAGTCTGTTGTGTTAGCAACGTATCTCTTCATTTTTCCTTGCCATAATATATTTTTTCTGCTTAGAAGGCCATGCCTATTACTGTGCAGTTAGAACAAAATGAACATATTTTAAAACTGTATAGAGCGAAAGAAAGGGAAGGCATTGAACGTAAATTTAGACTTCTCACAATAGGTTTTTATATAAATGATTTCTGAGATTTTTTTTTTTTTTTTTTTACTAATGTGAAAATACCTCCTAGCTCTGTTCATCTCTCACATAGTGTTTCTGATAAAGTTTTGTAGTGTATCTGTTGAAGAGATACTATGATTCAAAGTGCTGGGTTTTTGTTGTTGTTGTTGTTGTTTTAAGATTTTGTAATGATTTTCTGTAGTGATTCACAATGGGGTTGGCCCTTGGCAGTTTTTATGTGAGTGAAAGCCTGCCTTATCCTTGCACGTTTTGTTTATGTCCATGACTGACCAGTTTCGTGGTAATAAAGCGACAAAGCAAGAATGACTAATAAACTATCAGGGGTTAACTACTGTGCTTGCTTTTCCTTTCCTGGAGTGTGTGTGAGAGAAAGAAAAACATACGACTCTCTCCTCGCATGGGGCTAAAGATACCAAACCTTTAAAGTGTATAACTGGATTATCTCAAAGGCAAAGAACATCATTAATAATTAGGCTGCCACTTAATTCTACTTTATATCATCATCTCTGTTGTGAAACTTAAGATATTATGGAAGTTATTATTAGATTAGTAATAGTCTCTATTAAAAATTATCTCCAATTTTTTTTTTTTTTTTTAAGACGGAGTCTTGGTCTGTCACCAGGCTGGAGTGCAGTGGTGTGATCTCAGCTCACCACAACCTTTGCCTCCCGGGTTCAAGTGATTCCCCTGCCTCAGCCTCCCAAGTAGCTGGGATTATAGGCACGCAGCACCACACTCGTCTAATTTTTTGTATTTTAGTAGCGACGGGGTTTCACCATGATGGCCAAGATGGTCTTGATCTCCTGACCTCGTGATCCACCCACCTCGGCCTCCCAAAGTGCTGGGATTACAGGCATGGGCCACCTGCGCCTGTCCTATCTCCAAAAATTTAAGCTGATTTTTGACATAAACATTTTCCAGAAGTGATTTAGCACTGTAAAGATGGTCATGTTTTTGCTTTTTTGCAATTAATATGTCTTTTTTGACAGTGAGAACTTGACCCAACAGTATTTAAAGGTTGATGATGGGTTAAAAATTTTGCTGTTGTTTAGAGAGACAGGATGAATAAGGATGAAACAAATAACAAAATAGCCTCTGTTGAAAAATGCTATTTTTATAGTAGATGTACCTCCTAACTCTCTAAATGGTCACATGGACTTGGTTAAGCTTGACATCTGTGAAAGACAAAATGATTTTTTTTTTTCAGTAGCTCATGTCCATAGAAGTCCTGGAATAATCATTTAAATGATAGTGATCATATGTAGCTTTAGGGCATGGTTTTTTCACCTTGGCGTTGTTGACATTTTGGGTGGGATAATTCTTTGTTGCAGGAAGTTTTCCAGTGCATTGAAGTATATTTAGCAGAATCCCTGTTCTGTACCCACTAGATGCCAGTAGCACTCTCACCTCCAATTATGAGAACCAAAAATATCAGTAGACATTGCCAAATATTTCTGGGTGGGGGTTGGGGGAGCAAAATTGACCCTTGGTTAATAACCCCTAGCGATTTGGAAATACCTAATTAAAGTTTCCAGTGATTTTAAAAAATATTGTTATTATCGTAATCATAAGTGGCAAATTATTAAGGCCATTATAAAATGAGATCTCACCCAGTGGTCACAGATGAAATAAACCAGCTTATTTTGACCTCATTACAGCTTTAGGAAGTCACTGGCAAGTAAGCGCAAAAGAAACTCCCATTCCCTACATATTTTTCTATCGGTAAACATTTCTGTCGCTCTGTTTTCAATGCCAATTCATTTTAGTAATGTAACTCAGATGGTTTAGAGTTACAGTAGATAATGGCTAATCTGCCTACTAAGTAGAGTTTGTTTTTTCCTAGTGAATGAAAATGCAAAAGTATTAATACAGATGCTTGTGTGCTGCTGAATTTGATTTGACAAGCTAGTCGTGACATTACCAAGAGGTCTGTGGAAGGTAAAGGTGTTGAAGCATGAAGTGGAAGCAGTGTTTGGGGAAAAAGATTGCTAATGATAGAGGTCTGATTTCTCGTTCTCTATGTAATTCCAAATGCATGCTGTGCTTGTCATTTAGAAATTCAGACTAGACCAGATGCTGCATTTGATATGTTGTATACAGTTCTTTTTAGTTAATGAAAGCCCTATTGGAGTCACAGTATCCAAAAAACAATTCCTAAGTGGGGGTAAAAAAACCTCTGATTAGATTATTGGGTTCTATCAGGGAATAATATGGACTCAAGAATGGAGCTTTATCAGTGGCATAGTTGTTTACTTGACAAGAATCAACAGTGATTTTCAGAGTATCAGGTTCACATGTAGGTAAAATGGACATTTAAAAAAATTATCGGTGTTACTTGTATTACCAATTCATACAAGTTTTCTGGTTTAATGAATAAGAAGATGAATTGTCTCAGATTAGACCCAGATTGTGATTACGGATCGTATTCAGGACTTTATTTAACTCTGTATGCCTGAAGAAAAACACTTCGCTCATGGCTTATTTTGAAATGGCACGTGGAAAGACACGTGTAATTTATGAGATGTGGCACTCTTGTTGCATTTTTAGTATTTTGTAGTTTTATACTGCTGCTAATGCAAGTTCTTATGAGCCATGTTTGGTGTATGTGGGCACCACTCCGCAATTCTATGTCCGCAAGAGATGTCTATTCCAAACACTGTACTTTTTTTCTACTCCAGGATGCCAATTAAAATTAAGTAGGTGTACATGTGAGGCACAATCCATTGGCTGGTCTTGATTTAAACCCTGGTCAAGGTGGTAAGTTAGAAAATGTTACTCTAGGCTAGCCACTGTCCAATGGAACCATATTTGTGCTAGTATAGTAGCTATTAAGCCATATGTGGCTACTGAACACTTGAAATGTGGCTAAGGAATGGAATTTTTAATTTATTTAATTTTAATGTAAATACCTACTTGTAGTTACCACCTACCATATTGGACAGCACAGCACTAGGCCTTTGAGACACATTTTCTGAGACACATGTTTGGATTTGGGATTGTTTACTGTGGGTGTTCTGAACACGCCATACCCAGAGTTACAGAGTTACAGAGCCATTATCATCACACTATTAAGCCTCTAGTCTATCCATGTAGAGGATAGGAGAAAAAAAACAAAAAAGGAAAGAAAGAGTAATGATTGTATATACCAGTTGATACTAGAAAGTTAAAGTAGGAAAGCCTGATTTACAGAAGCTTAATATCAAACATAGTCATCTCTACTATCGAAAGAGAGATTGGCAGTCAATGCAGATATATACTTTTAAATATGTTCTCTTTCCTGTTCTTTGAAATATTATCTGAGCAATAGAACAGCTTTATATGTGCTTTTTTTTGTTGTTTTATGTCTAATGATCTTTTCTTTTCTTTTCTTTTCTTTTTTTTTTTGAGATGGAGTTTTGCTCTTGTTGCCCAGGCTGGAGTGCAATGGCACGGTCTCGGCTCATTGCAATCTCCACTTCCCAGGTTCAAGCAATTCTCCTGCCTTAGCCCCCCATGTAGCTGGGATTACAGGTGCCCACCACCATGCCCAGCTAACTTTTGTATTTTTAGTAGAGATAGGGTTTCAACATGCTGGCGAGGCTGGTCTCAAACTCCTGACCTCAGGTGATCTGCCCACCTCAGCCTCCCAAAGTGCTGGGATTACAGGTGTGAGCCACCGTGCCCAGCCTGTTTTGTTTGTATGTTCCCTCCTAAGCAATATACTTCTGCTAAATTGGGGAGGCATCTTTGGGGCTAATCGCGGGAATACAATATATGGGTAATATAAAATCATTTATATGTGACATGAAGCACCAAGCTCTTATTCATGAACTTTTTGGTTATGTTAAAAATCATGGAGTTTCAAAGGCTACAAGGTCTTGGTCATATCAGTAAGTACTAGGAACACTCTGTGTGGCTTTTTTGTTACGCGGTTGCCATGATGTTCGCATAGTGGAACCAGGCAGCCACTCAAGAAGATGTACTATTACTGGGATTTATAAATGCTTGTAAAGCCTCTAGTCATGTTGAGACCAAGATATCAGACAGCTATTCACTGGTAGAATAACCTATGATGGATAAAATGGTCTAAGAAATATTCATCTTTGCCTTACCGGGTCAAAATGCTCAGGGGTGTTAGAAACTGGTAATGATAATAATCGATATTTGGCTTGCATTTTTAATATAGGTCTGAAAAGATGGAAAATACTCATGCAGTGAGACAACTAAACTTGGACGTGTACGGAGACATGTAGATATTCACAGCAGTACTCATTTTAATCCATTGCTTTTAAAATCTGTACCCTCTTTTTCCCATAAGGTTGTACAACCTTCAGAAGTTACTGTGAGTCTCAGTATCCTCGCTGTAAAATGAAAATAACGACACTGACTGTGTTAGACCAATTATGTTGCTATAAAGGAATATCTGAAACTAGGTAATTTATAATGAAAAGAGGTTTGTTTGGTTCATGGTTCTGCAGGGTGTACAAGCATGGCACCAACATCTGTTCAGCTTCTGCAGAGGCCAGAGGAAACTTAGTATCATGGCAGAAGGCAAAAGGGGAGCTGGGAGATCCCATGGCAAGAGGCAGTGAGAGTGACAAGGGACAAGCTTCTTTAAACAGCCAGCCTCTTGTGTGAACTAACAGTGAGAACCCACTCATTACCATGGGGAGGGCTCCAAGCTATTCATTACAGATCTACCCCCATGACCTAAAACCTCCTACCAGGCCCCACCTCCAACTTTGGGGATCACATTTTAATATGAAATTTGAAAGGGACAAACATCCAAACTATATCAGCACTTACCTTTTAGGATTGCTGTGAGGCTTAAGTGAGATAATAAATGTAAAGTTTCTAGAATAGTGAATGGATCACATAACCTCCTGTCTAAATTTTAGCTATTATTATTGATGCTGTTGTTTTTGAATACCTTAAAGGTTATATGTTAAACAAAATTGTAAATTGAAACACAGAAGCCCTAGAGATACTACTGGTCAAAGAATATTTAGGTAGGTGTTTTGTTTTTTCTTCAACCTAGGTATTCTTTTGCAACGCACATCAGTCTCCCTCAATTTCATTTATTTTGTAAATTAAGAGTTTCCTATACCAGGTGTTCTGAAAACTAGGTATCTCCTTTTTTCAAAAATGGATCTCTAAAACTTAACAGATGGTTTATTGTGACAATAAATAGGAGTATCTATTAAGATGTTGTCTGATTATACAAAACTGTGCCCTAATGGCTTAACAATACTTAAGGTAATTTTCATTTTGGTAATGACCTGCTCTGAATACCGAAATAAATGGCATACCAAACTTGTTCCTGTTGAACCAACAGTACTCAATGTTCCAGTTATGGAAAGAAAACTATCTCTAACTTCTTAAACAGAAGTGTTAGTGTTACTAAAATATAGTTCCCAGGAAAAATCATGTAACGTATTTTCATATTTAATTAATGTTTCAGATTATCTACATTAAGTATCTAAGTATTAGGATTAACTAGATAATTATGTCAGTCATCACTGACTGAAAGCAATATTTTGGGGGAGGTTTGGTTAATTTGACCTATTTCATCTAGGAAGTTGGATTCTGATTGTGGGAATTATCTGGGAAGAATGCTTCTCTTTTTGGATGGAAGGATGTATTTAAATTTAGAATGAAATCTATTTCATATGGCCTCAGGGTGCCTTGCATTAATGCAGAAATTGATATTATGATAAAATCTTGAACAATTAGGGCTAAGTATCTAAAACCCAATTAACCTTTAGCGGTTCTCCTCATAGTAGTAATGTGCTCTCATTTTCACTGGTCTGGGATAAAATTGATTCTTCATCATTGTGCAACCAAAGACAAAAGTCAGAGTCTACAAAACCAGTTTTAGACAGGGCACATGAGCAATTCTTCAAGGACTGGGGATGTGTACCACCTACTTGATTGTAGTGCTTGCAACGGGCTATATTCTCCTCCTTGTTAGTGCTTTATTTTTTTTGAATCCACGTTTGATCTTTTTTCACCTTACTTTATGATAATGAAATGAACCTCCTAGGCTTGGCCTTTGGGCCCAGGTACATGTAGGAGTAATCACTGTGAACTCTGCATCCCTGGCATGGCCAGTGTGTCTGAAGGTCAGGCATTGCTAACAAGATTCAAAGACATTTTTCATTTTTTAGAAGACAAAAAAGCAAAATGTCACACCCATCTTGAAATTACCATAGTAGCAAAATAATTTTATCATATTAGTTTGACATGTTAAATCTGTGTAGGTTGTTCTGTACTTTTGAAAGATACTTCCTTTCCTTAAATTATTGCTAAATGATAATAGGACTTGGCACATTATCTTTGAAATACCAAGGAATTGGTATTTCAACCTCCAAATGATTAATTTAAATGTCTCTAGATCTACTCTGAGAAGAAAAATGAAAGTGCCACATGTACCCTGATGGTCTTGGTTTGTAAGCTCTATCTGCAAGGCAGAGTGCCTCCTGAAAAACCAGGAACATACCTGAAGAAAATTTAGGCAAACGTTACAATTGTTGGCTTTTCTGTCACTCTTCATAATCAGCCTGTTTGTGTGGAAACTATGGGCGTTTTTAAGAATAGTCTCGGGAGGCTGAGGCGGGCGGATCACGAGGTCAGGAGATCGAGATCATCCTGTGAATGGTGAAACCCCGTCTCTACTAAAAATACAAAAAATTAGCCGGGCATAGTGGCAGGCGTCTGTAGTCCCAGCTACTCGGGAGGCTGAGGCGGGAAAATGGCGTGAACCCAGGAGGTGGAGCTCGCAGTGAGCCGTGATCGCGCCACTGCACTCCAGCCTGGGAGACAGGGTGAGACTCTGTCTCAAAAAACAAACAAACAAACAAACAAAATAATAGTCTCTCACATTGCTTCATGTGTTTCAGAACATTACAAAATGAGCTTTCGTCTAACATATTTAAACCATTCATTAATTGTCCTAATCATTAGTCCATGAATTTATGCAACACATATGTACTGTTCAGTTTTCCTTTGTGCCCCCTCCCTAAACCCTGTGTCCTCAATCAGATGCATTTCAGGATTAAAAAGAAAGGCTCTCACTAGGATATTTTCTTAAGAATTCTTGGCTGGGCCGGGCGCGGTGGCTCACGCCTGTAATCCCAGCACTTTGGGAGGCCGAGGCGGGTGGATCACGAGGTCAGGAGATCGAGACCATCCTGGCTAACAAGGTGAAACCCCGTCTCTACTAAAAATACAAAAAATTAGCCGGGCGCGGTGGCGGGCGCCTGTAGTCCCAGCTACTCGGGAGGCTGAGGCAGGAGAATGGCGTGAACCCGGGAAGCGGAGCTTGCAGTGAGCCGAGATTGCGCCACTGCAGTCCGCAGTCCGGCCTGGGCGACAGAGCGAGACTCCGTCTCAAAAAAAAAAAAAAAAAAAAAAAAAAAAGAATTCTTGGCTGGGCATGGTGGATCAGGCCTGTAATCCCAGCACTTTGGGAGGCTGAGGCGGGAGGATCACAAGGTCAAGAGATTGAGACCATCCTGGCCAATATGGTGAAACCCCGTCTCTACTAAAACAAAAATTAGCTGGGCGTGTTGGTGCGTGCCTGTAGTCCCAGCTATTCAGGAGGCTGAGGCATCGCCGAGATCGCACCACTGCACTCCGGCCTGGGACAGAGCAAAACTCCATTAAAAAAAAAAAAAAAAGCTTAATGGCTTTCTCTGTTGCATGTAAACAGAACTGTTTTCATATAAATGGCTCCTCCAAGGATGAACTCTATGCCTCTCCTGAACACAGCTTTCTTTAGGGGCTTATATTTCAGTCACCTGTGTATTTTTTCAACTTTCCTAGCATACTGTGAGTTTCATGATGAAAGATATTATTTTAGTAAAGTAAGAAAGGATAAACATTACATATGGAGAGAGAGATAAATGGATGGATGAACAAATCAGCCAAACAATGACAAACTAACTGTATTTCCCACTGAATTATAACCAGTGTTCTCTGGAATTCGTAGCTTTATACACACTGTCCACTTCTCTATGCCACCATTTCCAATGGGGGTATTAAAAATATCTATGTCGTGTATGGTATTATTTTAATAAATGTTTATTTCATTTTCAAAGATGGCAGAGAATAACATTATAGAGCATTTGTCCCTGGAAAAGGTAATACGTTTTAAAGGATTTTTTTAAAAATTAGCTACCAAAATCTAAAGATAAAATGTGTCATTTAAACCAGGAAAGGACAGCTTCTTTGTGTCAACTTTTTCATACATCCTGAGCTAAATTGTGAGTTTGTTTTGCATTGAAATTTTTCTTTTGCAGAGAAGTGTCATCATTTTCACAACCACAACAGATTTTAGAGCAAAATAGAAGACTCTTTTGCTGAAGGCAGCTGTGTTTTGAGAATGTGTGTGTGTATGTATGTTTGTGTTTATGAAAAATCTGTGGCAACCACATTTTACCACTGATTTTTATAATTTCTGGTGGCATTTTCTGGACTTTTCCAGAAAGTTCACACCTTGTAAACAGTATTCCAGTCTTCTAACATGAACCTTTGGTATTCACTTAACCAACTTATTAATATCTGATATTATATGTTTAAGATAATTAAAAGCTTTATTTAAATGGTAAGTCAGCAGCTCTTTGAATAGACACTATGTGTCAAGCATGGGGGCTTGTGGTGTCAAGCATGGGCTTTTGTGGGATCAAGACAGACCTAGTTACTCTACTTAAAATCTCAATAATTTAGTGGGAAAGATGGACATTAAACAAATAATTTTAAACACTATGTAACTGCAAATATGCCAAGTCCTACAAGGGGACACACAGAATATGAATGAAATAGAAGAACAGGAGCTGTCTTCTTCTGCTTCTGCATGGAAACCACTAACCACGTGTAGCTATTTAAATTTAATTTAAATTTGAATTAATTAAAAAGGAATAAAATTAAATGTTCACTTCCTCAGGCACACTACCATATTTCAGGTGCTCAGTGGTCACATGTGGCTCATGACTACCATATTGGGCAACACACATCTGGAACATTTTTATCGTTGTAGAGAGCTCTGTTTGACAGCATTGCATCTATAGGATCTGGGAAGGTCTTTCTACAGAACAGTTGATTAAGCCTAGATATGATATCTGAGCAGGCACTGACCCAGTGAAAATTTGTGATTGAGGGGAGAATAGTCCAGGCAGAAGACAGCTCCAGAATATGAAAGTAACTACAACTAACCAGTTGTCTTCACAGAATGGTATTGCTACTCCTCTATGTATGTGTACTTTAAAATGGTATAGTAGTATTTATACTTTCAATATATATTTTTTGAGACAGAGTCTCACTCACCGTGTCACCCAGGCTGGAGTGCAGTGGCGTGATCTCTGCTCACTGCAACCTCTGCCTCTTGGGTTCAAGAGATTCTTGTGCCTCAGCCTCCTGAATAGCTGGGGTTACTGGTGTACACCACCACATCTGGCTAATTTTTTTTTTTTTTTTTAAAGTAGAGATGGGGTTTTTCCTTGTTGCCCAGGGTAGTCTCGAACTCCTGAACTCAGGTGATCCTCCCACCTCAGCCTTCCAAAGTGCTAGGATTACAGGTGTGAGCCACCACACCCAGGCTATACTTTCAATATTGATGTAATGATACAAAACCAAGTTCTACTGGGTTTCTACTTAAGGATGTTACATTAAGATGTTCCTATACAGAATCATGAATCTGGCACTCACAATTATTGAAAAGCATTTAAAAATTGCTACCGTGAAAGTGTTTTTTTTGTTTTTTGTTTTTGTTTTTTTTTTTTCAAAAGGAGCAAAAGGAATGATTCTTGAAGAGCATAAAGTATTTTACCATTTTTCTCTCCCTCTTCTCATTATCATACACCACTGCTACCCTTAGAGTCTCTCCTTTCAGGCTCCAAATATTGCAGAAACCTTCCCTGACTCAACTCTTTATCATGTGCATTAACTTGGCCTGTTTCTTATTCTTAATTTATTTTGTAATATCCTGTTAACTGACTGTAGAGCAGCAAAGAAAACTGCAAGGGCTGGTTCAGTGATTAGCAGTCTCTTCTACTTAATAGACTTTTTAAAAAACACACAGCCACACAACTATTATCACGTCTCAACGTTGAGAAAATATTCTAAATGTTGGTGGAAAAATTGAGTATGCAATTTGATCTTGACTTCGGGCTGCACAGGTTTTAAAATCAAATTATTACTTGAATATGCATATTCTCTAGCTCCACGCTTGAAGTCCTTCTACATAAATGTCAATGCTTTGCCTAAGAGGCCGTGTTGTAGGTAATCTAGTATGTGTGTGTGCTTCTTTCTTCATTTTCTTAGCATATAAAAAATCTGGGGTGGAAGATCCTACTAGTCATGCCTTTAGTCTCCAAAGTTTGTTGTTATAATTCACATTAACGTGTTTTTTTTCCAAGTGATATGCTTCCCTAAATGTAAAGCTTTTAGTCCTGTTTAATGATGCAGAGTAGAATTGAGTAAAAACTTACAGAATTGCATTAGCAGCGGAGGAAATTAATTCTGGATCACCCTAAGTCATCAAATATTGTTTAAAAAAATAGAGACTTCTTACTTTAGGTTGCAAAAAGTAACTAAAACTAGACTATTTTGCCTGGCACACATTCTCAGTGGGTCTTTTAAAATGATCAGGAAAGAATTGTTTATAATTAAACTATTAATTCTCCTTTAGTTAGGTTCCTAAAAGACTTGAGATTGATAGAAATATTTCTTGGCTTAATTCTTCTGTTTTAAGCATCTGACAAGGTCAAATGTCATATATGTGTTATATGTAAGAAAAATAATTCAGAGAAATGAGGATATTCCAGTGTCATGTAAATTTCAAGAGGAACCAAAACCATTACTTTTTTAAAAAGATACATGTAGTAATTGCAATAACCAGATTCACCACATACTAGAGATTCCGCCTTCTGTGTAGCTTGTTTTAATTGACTTTTCTCTACTTCCTGAACCACCAGAACCAAGTGCCTAGGCTAAAACCTCCTTATTGGCTTTTCTGCTACCAGTCTTTCTGCCTTTAATCTTTTCTTCCATGGCTACTAGAGCTGTTTGAACCAGAAGTTTGAAATAGGAATAGGAGCGATTTAAGAATGGCATTCTGGTTAGATAGACGTTGTAAGCCGAGGGGCTTCTAATGAAGTTGCACCTTGCATTCCTCAATTGTATGTTTTTTAGGGGTGCTTTTGCCAGTAGTGACTGGACATTTTGGGGACAATTGCTGGTCTCCCTACTACCACCAAGATGAGTCTGCTTTCTCCACTGAGCTAGGGAGACGGCTTATACACTCAACCTGATCATGTCCATTTCCTGCTTTAAAAACCTTTCTTGGCTTCCCATTGTTTTTAACAGAAAGTTCTGATGTCCTAAGATGGCCTCTGAGCTCCTATGATGGTGGCTCTGCTTATTCTCTGCCTAGTCTCACACTATCGTGCCTTGCTCTCTGTACTGCAACCACACTGACCTGCTCTCATCTCAAATGTGGCAACCTTCGCATTTGATGCTGTTTCATTTATCTAGAACTTTACCAAGCCATTTTCAAATTCTTTATATCTTAGCTTCAACGTCACTTTCTCAGGTCATCCTTCTCTGACCCTATCCTTACCCAGCCTCCCCACCCAAGGACTGGGCTGTATCAGCCCTATCATCTCTCCCATGACATTTATCACAATTACAATCAGATCATGGCACACACAAATACAGAATTAATGTGTGCCTTCTCTGCTAAACTAGAGGCTGTTGAAGGCAAGGTAGGGTCTCAGTGTTAACATCAGTATGTCCATCACCCAATATTGTCTGGCACATAAAAACATTTAATATTTGTTGAATAAATAAATAAATTTCATATGATTTTAATCCAATTATTTTGACATTTTTATTTGGTAGGCTCTAGAACAGAAATGAGTCCTTCATTTGATTATGAACACACCACCAGTGGATTAAATTCATCTCTATTAACTTAAATCTTTGTAACCAGCCTAAGTCATTTGATTTCCACTCTGAATATACTGAACTCAATATCAAAAGAAACTTTAATTTCAGAGGAAGTACACTGATCATATCAGCCTCCAAATACATTTTAAAAAAAAAGTCTGTGAGAAAGTAGGAGCCATAGATAAGGAAGAAATAAAAGACATCCTAAAGCAAATTGAGAATGGAAGATAAAGGAGGCAGCTTTTTAAAAAGAGGTTAATGCATACTGAAGTAGATGTCACTAATTTTATATATTTTTGCCATCAGGAAGTAAAGAGCTTTCGATTGTTTGTTCATTGAAGTAGATCGGCCCGAACTTGTACTCATGACTCTTTTTGTCTTGGACCAATAATTTAAAATCCAAGTGTGGGCATGTGTTGGAGATTCAGGAAGAAAAAGAAACCAGGAAGATAAGCGGAAAATACAATGAGATAGAGATAAGCAGACAGACTCATGACATTAACTCTGTTTTTAAACATAATGTTCTAAATAGCCAAATTATGGATGTGCCACAATCAGATTAACCTTCCAATGATGTCCTATAGAATGTTAATAAGAATTTCCAAAGGAAAGAAAAGAGGGTGGTGGTGAAGGGGTGGTGCTCTATGCTCAGGTAAATTTGGAAGGTTGGCTTAAAGATGAATACGTCTCTTCATTTTCTGACTTCTCACAGAAGGAGGTAGGAATATTCCACATTTCTCAGACTTTTTAGGCTAGGAAACAACATTGTCAGGGCCCAAGAACTGACATCTCTTCCAACACTCTTGTTCAGAGACCATTTGGGTAAAAGTACATGATGCATTTAAGCCATTCTGGAGATACCGCCACAATGCAGTGATGTATGTAATGAAAATGCCTCTCTCTGCAGCTTGTTTATAAGCTCAGGCTTTATGGTATGAAAGAATAGGAAGTGTCACTAGCAGGACCGTGCCAATTTTTACATAATTGTGAAGATTCTGTTGGGAAAATAAATTAGAATTGTAATGAGGTATGTACAGAAAGCTCCATTTGATTTATCTGTTAGATAAACATTTTGAGCTAAAAAAAAAAAAAAAACCCCACAAAAATCTGCTAAAATGAGGTTAACTTCTCAAATAATCAATCATTGCTCTCTCTCTTTACTTCCCCAATGTCCTGCTACCTTTGCAAATGACCATAAAATCAATTTATGAATGCTCAGCTATCTGGGGGTATTTTTTAAATGTGCTTTGGAAATAGATTTGCAGTTTTATTATATTTTCTAAGTTACATCATAGAGCAGAATGATAACTCTAATGTTAGAAGTTATTGCTTTTCATTCCAGTAAGATTGAAAAATAAAAAGAAGAGCCTTGTAGTAACCTGTAAATATTTTTAGTTAAAAACCGACTACTTGAGAGCCAGGTTCAGTGGCATGAGCTTGTATTCTCAGCTACTTGGGAGGCAGAGGCAGGAGGATCACTTGAACCCAGGAGTTCAAGTTTGCCGTGAGTTATGATGTCGCCTGTGAATAGCCACTGCACTCCAGCCCAGACCCCATCTCTTAAAAAAAAAAGCTAGAAGAAAATATTTAATAATTAAAATGGTTGTAGCATAAAAAAGATGAATATTTAAGGTGGTGGATATCCCAATTACATTTACACTGATTTATTGCAAATATGGTGAAGCATTGTGCTAGACACAGGAGAATAAAGATATATTTGTTATGCTCCCTCCACATAGGGAATTTACAGTCTAATAGAGGACAAATGGATCATTTCAAATAGAGTCCAGTAAAATAAACAGATTGGAACAACACAGCGGTCAGAAAAACCAGAGTCTTCTGTCTCAGGTGTTCATGTTTGATCTGAGACCCAAGGATGAGCATGTGGATGGTTTGCCTTGTGCAAACGGCTTAGGTTCTGAAACCATATGACACGTCCAAGCAATTTCAACTGGTTTGGTGTAGCTGGGCAACTAGGATGTAAATTATTAGAGAAGCGAATTAAAAGGCAGTGAGAGGCACAAAAGCAATGTGAACTTTTTTCTAGAGATGTGTGGGAATACTTAGTACATTTTAAAACAGGAAACTATGTTATCAAATGAGTATTTTAAGAAGAGCACTTAGAAGCTGTGTTGTGAATGGATAGGAGGGAAGAGACCAGTTTGAAGGCTGTGGGAATAGAGTGAGTGATTTTTAAAAAATTGCATTAGAGCAGAGATGGAAACAGAGGGACAAACTTCAGATATAATTAAAGGAGGAAGCTCTTGGGGCTTAGTGATGCATCAGACAGATGAAAGGGTGAAAGAGAAGAGGGGTATAAGTCCACCTCTCGGTGACTAGGTACATAGTGCAGCCAGAATGCAGATTCAGGAAGAGGTACAGATTTTTGCGGGAACAAGAGAAGGAATTCTGTTGTGGGGTTTTTGAATTCAAGGTGGATATCTAGATGAATATTTAAACTCTTGAGGAGGCGCGACCTTGAAATGTTGACACGGGCATCTTTAGTGAATTGACACTAGTGAAAGCCCTGGGAGGAGATAATTTTATTGGGCGAGAGGTTCTGGAGTATGAATAGAAAAACACTCCGAACAGTTAATTTCTAAGATAGCTGAAAGTGTATTGAAAAGGAAACCTGTTTTTATGTCAGCTCTTACACTTGATTTCTTTGCTTGACCTCAAGTTCTAACTGAATTGGGCTTCATAAAACATAAAGTGTATTTATGAATCTTGGCCAAAAATATTGTTAATTCAAGTGTATATCTATAAACTTAACACAGGTGACGTAAGTTTTTCTAGCAGCTCTTCCTTTTACATATTATGAGTAAAATGGCACCAGGTGTGAGGAATTGAGATTCAAAGCTCTCGGACATAGGCAGCGAATCATGTACTCCTATAGCGGATACTTTTGTCTATTAGGATAATACAGATATGTTACAAATATCTTTTTTTATGTACCTTAAAATTATTGCCAACATAGTTAATCATGACTGTTTTTCTCTTTGGCTTAAAAGATTTTCTGTAAAATACTGTTGAACTTGTCTTTGTATTGGTTTAATGAGGGTTCCTTGTGTGCCATTGGCCAGTGGCTAGGCTGTATATTCACAGAGTGGGACTCTGTAAGACACAGTAGAGGGTGCCTTCTGCAGAACTGAATGCTTAACAGAGGCACTGAAGGTCACACAATGCTGAGAGATATTGGAGTCCTGTCGCAGCCAGTGTAGAAGGTCTTGCTTAACAGCCTAGAAGCTCAGTTGGGGCTATAGAAGGAGACCTACCTTAGGAGAATCACAATCTAAAATGAAGAATAAAACCAAATAGGCCCACTCTAACAGAGTATAAAAGCAAGCGTGAAAGGATCAAGAGAATCTGCCAATAATTTAACTGCCACAAAAATACTCAATATGTTAAGGGAAGAAAAGATAATCCAGACACCTTGGGATATATCATTCATAATTATTATACAAGTGAAGAAGACAACTAATGAAGAAAACAAGCAGTCACTGGAAACAGATGGAAGATGACCAAGATATTAGAGTTACCATAGCTATAATAATATTGTTAAAGAACTTAAAGGAAAACATGGATGCTGTTCAAGAACAGATGAAGAATCTTACCTAAAAACTGCTATAAAAATCAAATAGAAATTCTAGGATCAAAAAGTGCCATGGCTGGGTGTGGTGGCTCATGCCTCTAATTCCAGCACTGTGTGAGGCTGAGGTGGGAGGATTGTTTGATCCTAGAATTCAAGACCAGCCTGGGCAACATGGTGAGAGACCCCCTCTACAAAAAATAAAAAAATTAGCAAGGCGTGTTGGTGCACACCTGTGATTTGAGCTACTCAGGAGGCTGAGGTGGGAGGATTGCTTGAGCCTGGGAGGCTGACACTGCAGTGAGTTCTGAACATGCCACTGCCCTCCAGCCTGGGTGACAGAGTGAGCGGTCTCAGGAAAAAAAAACAAAGAGAAAAGAAAAGTGCCATGATTGAAATATACTGAATGGAGTTAACAGCCAACTAGTCTCTGCATGCTAAAAGGTCAGTGAACTTTGAGCCATATCAATAGAAATTATCTAAACAGGAAAAAAAAGACTAAGAAAAAGAACTATTTTGAGATGTATTACACACTTAAATATAAATGCAAAAACTGTAGAAGTTCTATAACAAATTAGAGAAAAAATATCTTACAGTCTCAGGCAGAGATTTCTTAAAGAGCACACAAAAAGCACTAGCTATAAAAGAAAAAATAAGTTAATAAATTGAACTTCATTAAAATAAAAACCTTCTGATTATCAAAAGACCCAGTTGAGAAAATAAAAAGGCAAGCTACAGACTGGAGGAAAATACTTGAAATATATATATCTGACAAAAGACATGTATGCAGAACATATGTGTGTGTATATATGTATATATATTTCTAAAATGCTTCATAATAACCCAATTTAAGGCAACATAAAAGGTGAAATATTTCAACAGAGTGCCCAAAGAAATAAATATATTTATATATATGTTTTTTCAAATGCCAATAAGTCCATTAAAAGGTGTTCAATATCATTATTTATCATGAAAGTGCACATTCAAAACAGGAATGAGATACCACTGTAGATCCACTTGAAGAGCTAAAATTAAAACATCCAGTGAATAAGATGATGGAATAACAGAAATGCATAAACATAGCTAGTGGGAGTATGAAATGGTACAATCACTTTGGAAAACAGTTCCTCAGTTTCTTTTTTTTTTTTTTTTTAAAAAGATATGTTTTATGATTTTACAGTTCCATTTCCTGGTATTTACCCCTACAAAAGGAAAGTATGTATCCACAGAAGTTTTGCTACACAAATGTTCATAGTCACTTTACTTGTAAAGATTCTAAACTGGAAATAATCCGATAGTCCATCAAAAGCATAGATAAAATGTTGGATTTTCATTTCATGGAATAAAAGATACTTCACCTATAAGAAGAAAAATTTCTAATACCTGTAAGTGCATGGTGGACTTCTCTAAATAGTTGAAAGAAGTTCAACACCAAAGTGTACATACTTTATATTGATTTAAAGAACAGGCAGAACTTATTTTTGGTGATAGAAATCAGAACAGCAGTTTCCATGAAAGTGGTGGAGCTTGACTGCAGGTGAGCACTGGAGAACTTCCTAGAGTGGTAGAAATATTCGATAACTTGATTAGAGCTTTGTATGTGTGTATACATTTGTTAAAATTCATCCACTGTAAAACCTCTATAGGTCATACCATGTAACTTTTGCTTTGTTGTTTTTAAAAATTGGATATTTTTTAAAAACAAGCAGTTAATGAATTAAAATAGCTAATTATGACTTTGCATAATAAATCAAGGCAAATTTGTTCATAAAGGCATCAAGTGTTTCAAATACATCAAATGTATTTTGAGTAAGAACATAATCTGAGAGGGTTTAGTTTGAGATTTTCCCACTTCCTCGTTTTTGAGTAAGAGTTTTCTTAGACTTTCCAACATCTTTAGAAAGGAGCAAAATTAGCAAAAACTCCCGTTTAATAAAAACAGTGCATTCTCTAGAAAATTCACTAAAATGTAATAATCTTTGAATTCTTTTCAGAAAATAATCTAGAGGTACTTTGAGGAGTGTTAGCTATTTGGTCCCAGGGCCTTGGCTCCTGATTGAGAAATAGACCCTGGGATAATTGAAGCCATTCATTTGGGTTTGAATGTCCAGGCAGCATTATTACCTGACTTAATTGAAAGGAACTAATGATAAAACATTAAAAACACTGATCCTCTGAGAATTAAAATCAAAGGGCCAGCCCATTATCTATGAGTATTTAGTATTCTTAGGGGAAGGTTGAGCTCATTTTATAGATTAGTTGAGTATTGATGAGTCTCATTGATAATGGCCTAACACAAAAACCTCTCCTTTTCTTCTTCTTCACTCTCCTCAGAGAACAAATATAATGGGGCAAAGTAGAATCTCAAGTTGAATCTATCAGATGGATATTTTCACTTAGCATAGGTATAGCCTCAACCTATATAAGTTGACAAAATGATTTAATGGGAAGGACATGGGATTAGGAATCAGAGCCTCAGCTAGTCCCTTAGCCTTTCTGACTTTGGTAGGGTTGCTGTCTATAGGATTGTCTTAGTCCATTTTCTGCTGTTGTAAAACAATACCACAGTCTGGGTAATTTATAAAGAAAAGAGATTTATACAGCTCATGATTCTGGAAGCTGCAAAGTCCAAGACCATGATGTCAGCATCTGGTGAGGTTAATCTCATGGCAGGGGAGCGGACGGCAGAAGGGCAAGAGAATGTGAGAGAAAGCTTGCTTTTATAACATAGCCATTCCCAACATCACTAACATACTCCCATGATAAGTGGTAACAGCATTAATCCATTCATGAGGGTAGAGCACCATAACCTAATCACTGTTAGAGGTCCCACCTCCTGTAATTAAATTTCAGTATGAATTTTGGAGGGGATATTCAAAACATAGCAAGGGTCAAATGAGATGGCATGTGAAAAGGGGTTAGCAGGCTGGGCACTGTGCCTCATGCCTATAATCCCAGCACTTTGGGAGGCCAAGGCAGGCGGATCCCTTGAGGTCAGGAGTTTGAGAGCAGCCTGGCCAACATGGTGAAACCCTATCTCTACTACTCATGAGGCTGAGGCAGGAGAATCGCTTGAACCCAGGAGGCAGAGGTTGCATTGAGCTGAGATTGCACCACTGCACTCCAGCCTGGGTGACAGAGTGAGACTCCATCTCAAAAAGGCGGAGGGACTGAACATAGCGCCTTTTTCCTTTTACCAAAATTCAGTTCTATGCAAGAAAGTGATTTGTAGGATTTCTCGAGGACTCATTTTCTGAAAACAAAAATAAATCATGCAAAGCAATACCCATTACTGACAAATATGTACTTGCCATATTATTATAGTCAGGCATATATTTTATTTTGAACACCAGTTGTTTGGTCATTCAATGAAGGCAAAATGATTTCTAAATACTAAGTATGCTTCAAAGAGGCATTAGCATCTATGAATGTTACATGCTGCATGGATCAAGCTGTTTGTTAATCAGGTATATTTTGTTGTTACGTATTTTCATGAGAGGAAGAAAAATGTTCCATAATGAAATCAATTGAGAGCTAACTAAAGTTACTGAACATTCAGAGTCAAATCATTTAAAAACACTAGACCAGGAGTTGACTTTCTGAGAAACCATGTCTTAATAATAAATCTTAAGACGTAACACTGATGTTAAATCATTGAAAATTTTCATAGAAATTTTAGATATTTTGATCTGAAAGAGATGGCTTCCTAAGTTCTAAGAACAGAAGTGGTCTATGACTGTGATACATCCTTCTTTGGAAATAACTAATGAGTTATGAGAACTGAATTATGAAGGAAGAAATATGACTTAACAGAAAAGAAAGTTGTTTTAATGAGTCATTAGGCTATTTAGGTAAGTATGACTCAGTTACTATTTTAATGTAAATATGTGTGGTGTTAAGATCTATTTTAAAACGTGAATTGTGATAGAATTTAAAACTCAGTGAGTATATAATGAACTACTGAAAAACAACTTTCCTTTTTCAAAGGTTTAAGCATGTATTTTTTCAGTAAATCAAGTGATTAAAGGGAACATGTAACCTTACATTCAAAGTATATCTGGTTAACTTGCCTTCCCTCTCCTCCATATGCATTTTTACAAAGAAATAATAAATTTATGTTGAATTTTGATTTTCCAGAAAGATCCCAATTTTAGTGGTCTTAGTATTATATATAATATAGTATTAAATACATATATAATATATACTGTATATATAGGTCTTAGTATTATATATATAATGTTCTGTTTATATGTAATAATATATGAGAGAGAACAGAACCAATAGAATATATATATATATATTCAGATAGATACATACATACAAACATATATATGAAATTGTTTCATGTACTTAAGGAGGCCGAGAAGTCTCATGATCTATTCTCTGAAAGCTGGATAACCAAGAAAGCCTATGGTATGATTTAATCTAATTAGGCCCAAGGTCCAAGAACCAGGAGTGCCAGTGTCCAAAAGCAGGAGAAGGTGAATGTTTCAGCTCAAGCAGAGAGAGTGAATTTTCCCTTCCTCTACCTTTTTGTTCTTTCAGCCCTTCAGTTGATTAAATGATGCCCATCCATATTAGGAAAGGATATCTGTTGTACTCAGTTCACCAATTCAAATGCTATTCTCTTCTGGAAACACCCTCACTGATACACACAGAAATAATGTTTATCAGTTATCTGGGCATCTCTTAGCTCAGTCAAATTGGCACATAGAATGAACCAGCATGTACACATATAGCCTTCTGTGTTGCTCAATGGAATGCCTGTGACATTAATTTCCTGGGTAGAACAGAATAAAGAATATATGTAACAGCAATATATTCATTCAAGCCTTCAGTGATCATTTGTTTTACCTACTGCATACCAGGTACAGTGGTGCATGCTGAGATTTTGCCAGTCTCACATGTATACAGTATAATGTATTGTCTAAGTTGTAGGTGCTTACAGAGTATGATAGAAAAAGCCCATTATTTTGCCCATGGCAAGGAGGGGGTCAAAGGAGGTTTGAATAAAATAACTGCCTTCATAAGTTATAAAGGAGGAGTTAGAATTTTCCAGCAGAAAAAGTGGTGAAGAGCATTTCACTTGAAAGCAGCATGGAGTACACACACACAGAGGTGTAGAAAAGCATGGAATGACTGGAGAACAATTATTTTGTTATTCCTAGACCAAAGGCATTATTAGAAAGGCTGTATCAGAGTTCCAAGAGGGACCAGATGGTACATTCAAATCAGCATATATTAAAGAGTATATTTACAATGGGACTGTTTACAAAGTTGTGGGCTGGGTGCAGGGAAACCACAGATGATGTTATAGTGACTGCATGAGTTACTGGGATGAGTAACGGCAGAGCTGTGACCACCCCTTGACCTAGGGACAAGGGGAGGTAGCAGTTGTGGGAACCTCAAAGGACAGAAGTGTGGAGAAGAGCCTGCCTTTAGAGGATGGTGACCGTCCTTTGAGGAAGCTAGACTGAGGTGACCTTCCAGGAAGGACCAAGAGGAATAAATATCCTGAACTGTTCTTCCCTCCTTCTCATCTCCTGCCTGGAGTCTATCACACAAACTCACTGAAGCCAGGGGGGCCAGGGGGGCCAGGGAAGCTTGTTGGAGTTCACGGAGGCCAGACTCCTGGGGTACAGAGCACAGTGGAGCAGAGTGGGGAGTGATGGGGACAGGAGATACACAGCGCAGAGGCTTTACAGTGACACCATTAAAATTCAGTGGGCTCAAGTTCTAGCTACCACTTATTTTCTAGCTGTATAACCTTGGAAAAATGATGTAACCACTCCACATCTCCAGGTTTACTCACCTGTAAAACAGGGATAGCGGCAGTATACAAGTCAGAGTTGTGGGAATAAATGAGATCCATATAAAGCAATTAATACAGTGTCTGGCATACAGTGCTTAGTTATGTGCTCAATACATTGTAGCCATTACTTGAAATAAAAGAATGATAAGGTGATTAGATTTGTTTTGAAAAGTTAAGCAGTTTTCCGTGTTGCTACAGAGATTCACAAAGATCAAGCAAAATTATAGGTAATTTTTCCTTAAAACTTCATAGGCACACACACACGTCACTTGGAGCTGGGGAGTGATTCAGTGGGGACACAAACTGGGTAGAGCAATGGTAAGGACTGATGTGGGGTTGCCGACCTGGATAGGAGCACCACGAATTTAGAGAAGAAAAGGAGCTTGTTTTCTGCACCTCTTTTTATTTTTATTTTTTGATACCCAACTCTTTGTTGCATACTGCCTTTTTCTTCCCTGGAAACTTTTACCTGTCTCTCATTCAGCTCCTATAATGAACATCCACATTTGAACTTAACAGCGTCTTTCCTTTTCAATTGCTAGATTTACCCAACATGAAGAAATTAAAGGACATTTCCAAAAGGCTGGGGATACCTTCTGAAGTTCTCTGCTGCTTATGGTCATTGTTATGGTGATTTAACTTCTGATTTCTCTGACACGGGCCTTTTTGCCCCTCTTTTTGTTTGGGATTTGTCTGCCGTTTATTGAAGACTCATTTGACTTTTTGTATACTGTACCCTGTTTATCCCTCACTATAACTCTATAAGGAAGGCAATCTGATCCACGTTTTATTGATGAAGAAAATGAGTCAAGGGAAAGTTAATAAAATTGGAGTTACTATTGAATAGGTGAGGTGTTCAGCTCTGTTCACGTAGGTGATAAAAATACAGGACATGTATCTCATGTACATGATAAAAATGTATCTCATGTTTCTCATGTTGATGATTTAATTTGCTGAATGCTTAAGTGGCAGACACTGTGATGGGATAAAGAGGTAACTAACACACTGTCCTTATCCACAATAAGCACACAGCTCATACCTAGTGGTGTCATGCTTGCTAGAAACAAAAAGTGTGGTGAGATAAATTAATTTGTTCTGAAAATGAAATTAAAACAACACATTTTGTTAACCCTCTCCAAAAAAAAATCCGAACAGAAAAGCCTTCATGTTTGATAAGCTTTTAGCTTCTAAGTATTGTATCTCAATATCAACCAGCAGATATATAGGATTACTAAGTTTAAAGATCTAAAATGTATAATGTGAGGACTGGAGTTAATAAAATTGTATTGTATTAGGGATTTTTTTAAGGAAGTAGACTTTAGCTGCTCTTGTCATACACAAGAAATAACCATGTGAGATGATATGTTAATTTGGTTCACTTAGTAACCATTTCACTATCTATATATATTCTATAACATCATGCTATAAACTTCAAATGCACACAATAAAATTATTTTTTTTTAAATCTCAGTATTAAACACTGAGATTTAAGATTGGTGACACCCATGGCAGAAGATGTGTGCACAGTTTGGTTGAGTGACGATGTGATGCTGCACATCTTGAGTTGACTTGTGTCACTTGATTTAAGAAAGGAAGGAGAAAACTTTTTTTGTAAATGAGAGCTGAAGTGGAACAGACTTCTGGATTTGACTTTCTCATGAATGGATTCCCGTGAGATATGAGATAGTACAGCTCACTTCCCTCAAAAAGATTTATCCTCCTTTACTATTGCCCTTTGGTGTTTGTACGAGTCAGGAGAGATATGGTAAGAACTTTTATTTCAAATGGTCTAAGTTCTGTGTTCACTGTCATTGAGGGGTAAAATCTGTCTCTCTCTCTGGCCAGTGGGGTTCTGTGTCTGAAATATTGTATTGCTTTTGTTGTCTTTTGTTTGTTTGATTCTTGAATCTCTACCCCTTTACCTACATAACTGACTCAGTAGTTGCCCAAAGAAACTTGTCACCTGTTGCCATTGCATCTTCTATGAAGAATCCATCCTTTGTTTACTTGCTTGGTCAAAGGAGGGGAGTCTTGCATCCTAGCTAGTCACTCATTTACACACTCACTGCTGCAAGAAATCCATTCAACCTCCTCTACAGTTGGTGGGGGTGTCTTTTACTTATAAAACACAGGATTTTTTTGTGTACGTGCCTTTGAAAAAGAATAGTGCCCTTTTCCATTTTTTTGCCTGACAAACACCTCTCCTCTCTTGAGATGCTGTTCCAATACAGCACCATCTCTGATCTGAGATTTTGTCTCGTTCAACCTATAAAGCGAATTTCTAGTTTCATCTCTTCTTTATAGCATTGTATTATAATCTATCTGTTTACTTCTCCCCACTGGACTTTCAAAGGCATGACTTGCTCATTTTTGCACCTCCAATACATAGCCCAGTACTTGGTATTTGGTGGATATCCAGTAACTGTTTATTGGATGAACGGATGAATATATCACTGAGTAGTAGGAAACAGGGAGCCATCACCAGGATGTATTACACCAGTATTCGAAATAGATAAGCTAAGCAGTGGGAGGTATATGAATTTGTGGGGAGAAAAGTAGGAATCACATGGGTCGGACGGAAGGCTTTTTCAATAATTCAGACTTAGATTTGGGTTGTGGTTGACAAAACAGGGATAAAGAGGTCAAAATGAATCGTGTTGGAGGGATATAACTTGAGCAGACATTTGTTTTGAAGGTGAAGTTGAGGCAGCTATCAGTCAGACATTCCAAGCCTGGGTCAGTGGAGACATGGTGGCTCGATTGATAAGACAGGCTGTTTGAGAAGGGAAGCTTGTGAGAAGATGTTGTGAATTTGGCTTTGGCCATATTGATTTTGAATTAAAGAACAGGTTTATTATGACTTGGTGAAGGGAAGAGAAAAGAATTTGCATGCCTATTAAATATTGCTGCTATTTATTAGTTACCTATTTCATAGGATAGCTATTGTTGCCCTCATTTTGTGGGTGCTCAGAGTGAATCTCAGTGAAGTTATATGCCTTACCCAAGGTCACAGAAAGACAGAATTAAAACCCAGGGCTCTCAGAGTCAAAGACTTGCATTTTTCCATTCTACCATAACATTCTTCTAGGCTGAATGGATCACTTCACTATTTAGTATCTGAACTCTGTGCATTATTGGCCCCAGTGCCTTCTCTCATGTTTTCTCTTTCTTAGCATTATTTTCCTTTTTCCTTGAACCTCCTTAAGTTGCCTTTGTCTTTTATAGTGCCAGCAAATTTGTACCTTCTGGAGGCTTTTCAAGATTGTTTCAGAGTGAGACTCCATCTCAAAAAAAAAAATTTTCTTGCCCCACCCATACTCAGCCTTTGACTCTTTTAGTGTTTAATAGTTTGATTAATTGTTAAGTTGTGGTCATAAATATTAAGATTATGGAGTTTAATATAAGTCCTAAAAAGCTTAGTATTTGAATATAATAGAAATGGTAGATGCACCTAATGGGGAACTTTCAAACCTGCACATTTGTATTCTTTTTCCAAAGCAGGGATCTGTCCTTTCCTTACAGAATGAAAAAAAAAAAAAGAAAAAAAAAAAAAAAGTCTTGAATGTCCTAGTGTTCTAGTGTTTGCATAATTGCTTTTCATCCCTGCTCTCTGCTAATTGCTTTTAAGGATCTCTGCTACATCCTGCATTTCCCATCATTGTTGGATTTTATTGACTTCTCTTAGAAAGCCAGCCTGATATATAAAATTCTATTATCTTGGGACCTTTGCCTGTGATGCTGTTATGCTTTTAGGGAAGACAGTGGTTGGTTCCATGAAAATGGACCTGTCTGGAATACACTGGAATTTCATAATCTATCCAGAAAAAGATAAAGCCCAGATGATAAATACCAGAACCTTTTGCTCCTGTCTCTTTGGCGAAAACAAGTGGTGTTTGGCTTGCTCTGGTGAAGGGGTCATGGGCTGTCACAGAATTCGAAAAAGATATTTTGATATTCAGGCCGGGCACAGTGGCTCACGCCTGTAATCCCAGCACTTTGGGCGGCCAAGGCGGGTGGATCACGAGGTCAAGAGATTGAGACCATCCTGGCCAACATGGTGAAACCCTGTCTCTACTGAAAATACAAAAATTAGCTGGACATGGTGGCACACACCTGTAATCTCAGCTACTTGGGAGGCTGAGGCAGGAGAATCGCTTGAACCCAGGAGGCGGAGGTTGCATTGAGCCAAGATCACACCACTGTACTCCAGCTTGGCGATAGAGCGAGGCTCCATCTCAAAAAAAAAAAAAAAAAAAAAAGATATTTTCATATTCAAGTAATAATATATTTTGGAAATCTAATTTTCTCAGTTTTGTATCCAAATATCATGAAGTCAAGCCAGTCTACTCTGTTCTGTGATGTGGAAAATCTCTGCTGTGTAATTCTCAACCATGACTCTTGGGGAAGGTTTCTTTGTACTGTGGTATAATGCATGTGATTTGGCTCACACTTCTGGAATACCTGCTGTATTCTCAGTGCTGGGCAAGTGCTGATGGGATACCACATCTGACTTAATGAGCTTTTGTTTTATGTCCTGTTGCTTGAACAAGTAGACTACAAGCCCTCAACACCTCCTATAGACAAAGAAAAACAATCTACCATTTATTGAGCATTTACAACACACATTATTTAATATAAATCTTCCATCAATTCTATGAGTTAGTTACCATTATTACTCCATTTTATAGATGAAGACAGTCAGAAAGGAGAAGAATAATTTCCCCAAAGACCTACAACTAGTGAAGACCTGAGCCAGATTATAACCCAGTTCACCTGGCTCCAAAACCAAGACTTTTGATTGATGTGCCATAAATGCAGGGGCTGGCAGAGAAATGGATAAGCACTAGAAAGTATAGACCTACCATGTTGTATCTGTGTTATCAGCCCCTTCTTTACTTAGCAATGTTTATTAGCCTTTCACTATGCTCTTTCTGAAATAAAGCTGATTTTGTTTATGTCAGAACACTATGACCTTAGCTTTTTGACCTAGGCTCACAGTAATATTTGCTCAATGATCATAATTCATTGTGATTTACGTCTTAAGAATATAAGGAACACCTGAGATCTTTGTGCCAAATTCAGAAGGAATAGAGTGGTTTTGTTTTCTTCTTTGCTTTTTTCTTCCTCATCTTCCTTCATTCTGACTGTAGTCCATCCTTGGTTTCAATTCATGGCAAGTTCACAGAACCTAGCAATAGGTTAAGGAAAGGAAACTTCTCAGCCAAATACATCTCTAGTATCAAAATCTCCAAATAGTGGCTGGAAAGGATTGTTCTCTAAAATGAGTTCTGTCTTTAGAATATTTTAATCTATTTTATGTCACAAATATGTATTAAGTGCTTGTTATGTTGAGGGTGCTAGGTGCAGTGAAGAATACCAAGCTAAGTGAAGTGAACTTTGCCTTGAAGAATGATAAGGTGCATTGCCTTCTTTCTCAAAACTTATGTGGTTCTCCAGACAGCTGGAGGATATAATAAAACACAAATTGCTAAGGCCTATCTCCTGAGTTTTGATTCCAGAGGTTTGGGTTGGAGGTCTATAGTTCGAACTTCTAACATGTTCCCAGGTGATGCTGATGCTGCTGTACATAATACAATTATGAGAGTCTTTTATCTACTGGGAGAAGGTCAGTTCTCACCTCTGAGCCAGTATGATGGAGAAGGATGGAATGCTAAAACCATTCTTGAACAACAAGGTAGTCTTATGCAAAGACTATGATGGCCATGTGATTAAGCGTTGTGAAAATTACCAGTAGAACATAGATCAATGCTTTTAAAATATGCTTTGCAATATGTTAAATATGTGTATCAATATGAAAGTATATACTACAGAGAATAATATGCCTAAGTACAACATCCACAGAATATTTTCATGTTGGATTAAGCTTCCTGGCTTTGAGTTAGGGTTGATGTCAATTGATCCTTAAGTAGTGTGTAAAACTTTGTCAAGAAATCATCATTTAATGTGTTGGGACCCATTGAAAGTGATATTGGGCCGGGCGTGGTGGCTCATGCCTGTAATTCCAGCACTTTGGGAGGCTGAGGCAGGTGGATCACCTGAAGTTGGGAGTTTGAGACCAGTCTGACCAACATAGCGAAACCCTGTCTCTACTAAAAATACAAAAAATTAGCCAGGTGTGGTGATGGGTGCCTGTAATCCCAGCTACTCAAGAATGGGTGCCTGTAATCCCAGCTACTCAAGAGGCCGAGGCAGGAGAATCGCTTGAGCTTGAACCTGGAAGGCAGAGGTTGCAGTGAGCCAAGATTATGCCACTGCATACCAGCCTGCGCGACACAGAAAAACTCCATCTCAGAAACAAACAAACAAACAAAAAACAAGTGATCTCCAGTGTTTGCCTGGGGAAGACCTGATTATTTGAAACAATCCGGAGTTTCTTAATCACTTGAGAATGCCTACATAATATTTTAGACAGATCAAAACATATCATGGACCAGAAGATCTCAAGGAAAGAAACGTAATTTGAACTAGAACCTGACTGTATTGTATGGCTCTCCTCAACAATGTGGTTTTTCACCTTATTGTTTTAAGAGCTTCATTGGTTGAATTTGTGCTGATTTCACTAGTTGTTTGGTATTGATCTATGACATGTAAAGCACCTGGCCCAGTTCTAGCCACACATTTGGCATCAAATAGATGTTCTCTGCCTGAAAGATGTGAGCAGAAGACCTAAGAGAAGTATTTGAGGTAGAATTATTATTCCAAGTTTCTGATTCATACAATTTACTCTTTCTTCCGTTTTTTTTTTTTTTTTTTTTTTTTTTTGTCTCTGTCTTCCTGCTATATAATAGCCCATTTTGTTTAATTTTCCGTAGGAAAGAATAGAAGATTTTTGTCAGTCTCAAATCAAGTATCTGGTATTCGGTTTTCTTTTGGTAGCTTCTCCCGAAAGCCTGTTAAAGCTTCTCAATAACTTGTATTGAAATAGATGTTTTATATTTCACGGTGTTCTCATTAAGCTGATGGAGTACTTTCACTCACAGCTTAGAATGGAGTGGCAGGACAATTACCTACACTAGTCTTACATTTTACTGTGGTTATCATATAAGAAAAGAAATCCTTCAAATAATTTGTCCTTTTTGAAAAATTGGCTGTCCATTTTAAGTTCTCCTACATTGTCTGAAGAACATAAAAAATTATGCGATCATGCTCTTCCTCATTGTTGGTTTTGTTGTGCTCAGGAGCCTTGAACTTGGGCAAGTAAAAAAACCACAGTTGAACTCAATCTGTTCTACAATGGAGGATGTGCTTAGTATGGCATGGGAAACTGTTTCAGAAGGCTCTGCTCGGTTACTTTTGCAGCGTTGTTATAGGCTGATACAGCAAATCCCAAGACTTGGTAAATATCCTTCCTGAACAAACACAATTTTAAATACCACTCATAAATGTAACATAAAATTATTTCATGATTATGTATTTTAGTTTCTAATAATTGTCAAGTTCTTTCTCTGGTACAGTGTGAACTACAGTGTTCTTTCATGGCACAGTGCCAGTTATTATTTTTGGATCTCTGAACTCATTGATACAAGCCCTTTACAATTTCCCTTACGCTTCTTGAGTTTGGGTGTTGATTTGATAATGACCCAGTGATTAAACAAAATCATCATAAGGAGACAAAGATAAGGAACAATTTTCACTAAATGGAAGTATTTATGTCATTACCTACTCTCTAAATAAGGTTACAAATACTAGACAAAGGAGGTACACCTGTGAATTACAACATAAAGAGCTTCTGAATTGAAGAGTTACTTCGTTGACATTTGTCATCTATTTGTCAAGATAAATTTAAAAAAAAATTTGTGACAAAAACTGGAAGAATAACCTATTGCTGTTTTGGAAGTAATTTGTTCTATTTGTAGATAGCTGCTGCTGATTGTTTCTTTGCATGTCCATTGAGTTTTAAAATCTATTTCACTTTGACTTCAAATTTAGTTTTTTTAATAGCAATTTTTCATTTCATTTAGGAACATTAAAAATTGTATGCAGCCTTTTGAAATTTTTTAATCATGCAATGTCATTTTCTTGCTTTGCTTTTTTTTTTCTCAAATAAAGCCATCTGTTTAGTAAACATGGAAAATGGATTGATATGCAACCCAAAAAGTTCATAATGACAACTAAATAACAGATGACAGATTAGATAAGAAGAAGTCATTAAGTTGGCCTATAAAAGGACAGCCATCTGTACCACTAAAACAATCTTCCAATTGATGGCAGTAATAATTTTCTGAGTCCATGACAGCTAAGAATTGCTAGAATAAAATGGAAAGCTTGTAAATCGAGAAGTGGAACTTAATTTTGGGTAATTAGCCTAACTATTTTGTTCCAGTGTTACATGACGAGTGGAGGTTACAACAAAATCCTTTGAGAACAAAAAACATTTATTCTGTGTATGCATGTGTGTTTTATCTGACACACAAAATGACTAATTTACCCTTCTTTTGTTTGACTGAATTATTTAAAAATGTAGAGAGTCTAAATCATTGAGGATTAAAAAGATTTATGTTTTAGGATTCTTTAAAGTTCTAGTTTACAGATAACTGATTGATAACTAAAACATAAATTTACTGGAAATGTTTAAGGATAAGTAGTCACAGACTCCCGGAGTGAAAAGGTCCATAGGACTAACTGCCCTGGCTTAGCCAGTCCTGTCCTCAAAGTCAAGTCCAATTTTATGATCCCTAACAAAATACTAAAGAATAACAAGAATAAAGTATACTACTGATTCCCTAAGATAATGGTTTATATTTAGTAGAGTTAAGCAGAATCAGCCATCAGATATTACCAATTGGACCGGCGTACTTTGAGAGAAGCCATATTTGGTGACATTTAAAAATAAGATTGAATTAGTTGGCTTTGATATAGAATTGTTTTTTATATTCACTCTCAGCAGTGAGCTAATCCTCTCAATAACACTAAAATATTTGAACCTTTGCTTTTTAACACGGACTTATTATTAGAATTAAATTTGGGAAAGGTGACTTAACTGGCATTGAATTCTTGTTCTGATAACTACTCTGTATCTGTTTCTTCAGACTGGGTTGGCTTGGGGCTTTTTCGAGAATCATCTTATATCAGAACCTAAGGAGATACTAAACTGAGTCTGTTTTTAGCAGGGTATAGGAATGTATGCCTTCAAATCCTATGCCTTGGATTTTCATTTTTACAAATCTGATGGGCCACATATATGGGTTGGAAAAGTTTAAAATAAGGATAGGAATAATAAAGTAAGTCACTAATCAGTCTGCCTTTCACAGGTAATGACTAATACTATTAATGTGCATACTTTTTTACTATGAGTTTATGTATGCTTTAAAAATAAAATAATTGTATTTTAAACAATTTTGGTGCCATTTTTCATTTAATATGTTACAAGCATGTCATATGTCATAAAAATTAATTATAGCATAGGAGTCTATTGTATCACATACCATTTTTTATATTGCCACTTTTTTATCGTGAGACATTTGGATTCTCCAGCCCATCATCGTGATAGAAAAATCCTACTACATAAGTCTCTGGCCATCTCTTCTTGTTTCCTTAGAGTTCTAAGAAGTAGAATAGATAGGATAAATATATAAAATTTGTTAAGGTTTTGGGGTCATATTACCAAATTTCTCTCTAAAAAAGCTATCAGCTGAACAGGACTGTATGAATGTCAACTTCTTTACACACTTCTTATAAATTTTTAAAAATTACTGCAATTTTGAAAGTGTGTCTGTCTCATTTTAACTTGATTTTTGCTTGAGATTGACTTTTTTACAGATTTGTTTTTCAGCCACTCAAATACTTCTGGGAATTGGCTATTCTGTATCATTTCTAAAGAGTTGGCTTTATTTAATGTTATTAATTTGTAACTTTTTCTAACAAAAGCTCTATGTTTGCATAGATGTTTAAAAAAATAAAAAATCTCACTTTTTTGTTTGATTAAGGCTACTATGCCAAGCAGTATTCATGCTTAATTTGTTGTCTAAATTGATTAGACAAAGAAGAGTAATTCAGGTTTAGACTCACCAGCAGAAGGAGATGTAGGGAACACCTGGTACTGAGGTTCAGGTTCTGTGTGCCCTGAGGGAAGGTAAGAAATTCCCTTTGGCAGTTTTCACTCTTAAGCCTTTTTAGTAGACCCTCTACTGGGCAGAGCACTTGATATGTAGTATACTTTGTATAGTGCATAATAATCACCTAAGCAGTTAAACTTTTACCAACCAGGCCTGGGCATCTTACAGAAAAAGAGAAGCAGCACCCCACTTTTTTTAATGTTTTAGGGCCGATGGAAGAGGTAGTTAGAGAAGCAGTGGAGGATTCAGCTTCATGGTAAATGGGTCTGAATTTTTGGCTTTCAGAAGGAATTAGGTTAAGTCTGAAGAAGGGGTCATAGTTGAAGTTGGTAAAATAATATTAAGATCACCTTGAAATTTTTTTAGGAAAAATGATTTCAAATTTATCTTGTTAAACTGTTGAAATAAATGTTAAGAACTGATCTCCAAACAAATCAATTGATCAACTGAAAGTGAATGCCATCCAGTGAGCCACCTGTTTTGCTTTAAGGAATTGATCTCCAAGGGAGGTATAAATGTAGGACTGAATCCCCCACACTGAGAATGCGAGGCCACTCTGACCAGAGGGAGCTCCTAGGTAAGAGCTCCCCTATTTCCTGGCACCTGACAAAACTGGGTAAGTAGGACTCTGATAAGAAATGCTTTTAGGTCAGGTATGGTGCATTGAGCCTGTAAACCCAGTGACCTGTGAGGCTGAGGTTGGGAGGATCACTTGAAGCTAGGAGTTTGAGATCAGCCTAGGCAACATAGCAAGACCCTTCCTCTAAAAGTATGAATAAAAATTTTAAAAAATTACCTGACTGTGGTGGTGGACAACTGCAATCTCAGCTACTCAGTAGCCTGAGGCCGGAGGATCACATGAACCTAGGAGTTGAAGGCTGCGGTAAGCTGTCATTGCACCACTGTACTTTAGCCTGAATGACAGAGTAAGACTCCATCTCTTAAAAAAAAATTTTAAAAAAGAAATGCTTTTAGAAAAAGCATAGCTTTTTGTATTAAATATGAGTTAATATACACATGCTGCTTGAAGCAAGATATGAAAGAATTTGACATCTGGGTATAGTGAGTACCTGTGATATTTCTTTCAATTTTAACATGTGTTGAGTTGTACAATTCTTAGTTTCGTATTGTTTTGTATGAATCTTTTACCTTTAAAGGAACCTGTTTTAGGCTCACCACTGACAGACTGAGTGCTTAAAATCTCCTAGCATATTTTTGTCTGCATCATCCAAGCTTATTGTTGCCTCATAATTAAGTTGCTTCTCTTGGCTCTTATGCAGCCTCTAGTAAAATAACTCACTTATTTTCTCTGCACTTAGTATTTATTGAGGGCCTTCTATGAGCAAGGCATGCTCCTCAGTGCTGGAAATACAAAAATGAGAGCCATGGTTTCTTATCTTAAGTAGCAATTAATTACTCCAGTGGATAAGACAGTCACCGGAAGAGCTAATTACGATACAGGGCAAGAAGTGAAATGATGGAGATTGCACAGGATGTTAGCAAGCTATAAGGAGGAACAAACTTATCAAAGAAGGCTTCTTCAGGGTAAGAGCTAGCTAATTAAATCTTTAGAGGGCACAGGGGTTAGCCAGGTCTAGGACTGAGAAGGAAGGGCATGGTTTCTGCATGGGTCTATAAGTGATTTTGTTGTGTTAGGAAATAAGATATGAGCAGAGAATGACAAAGATGACTGACTGGTTTCCTTGCGAGCTGAGTACTAGACTATTAGATTCTCTAGATTTTCACAAGGCCCCAGGGCAAGTAGTAATAGGAGGATTCTATAGGAATGTTTATCTTGCTTTCCTCACCACATCATGGTGGTGTTTGCAGCATTTTACAGGTATTATCAGTTAGCTCATCCTTTGCTTTTATCTGTAGTGATAGCAAATTTTTATGATGCAACTTAGAAGTATTACAGGTAATAACTCCTTCACCATAGTCTCCATTTCCCTGACCCTGCTCTTGACTACCTCTGTTGCATATATCATTAGACAAAATTATAAGTCAAAGGAAGAAAATGTGCCTTTCTCATTTTCTGCATATAAAGTTACACCAGACCTCTCTTTCCACTATGCCCATCAACTGTAGAACTCAAGGTATTGGGCTGCTGTGAGATGAGGTGGCTTGCGTCTGAGTGTAATTCAATGTATTGCTTCCTTCATTGAGAAAGTACTATTACAAAAAATAAATATCAGTCAAACTAAACAATGTGCCTAGTGATACAGTTAATTAACATTAAGGGGTAGGCCCCTTGTATTAGTTTGCTGTCGCTATATAACAAATTACTCCAAATTTAGTGGTGCTAAGATAACACACCTTTATTATCTCATAGTTCATGTGAGTCAGAAGTTCAGACATGGGTTAATGGCTTTTTTTTGCTTCAGTGTCCTACCAGGCTGCAATATAGCTTTTGGCTGGGGCTGTGGTCTCATCAGCTGCTTGACTGGGAAGGGATCTACTTCCAAGCTCCCTCAGGTTGTTGACAGACTTCGTTTCTTTGTGGCTGTAGGATTCATGACAGTTTGCTTCTTCAAAGCCAACAAGGGAGAGAGACTCTCGAGTGAGTTTGCTAGCAAGATGGAGTTTTACATAACATAATCATAGCAGTAACATTCTATCATCTTTGCATTTCTTTTGGTTGGAAGCAAATCACTGACACTGTTCACACTCAAGAGAGGAGATTACACACAAGAGCATGAATACAGGGGGCTGGATCATGGAGTTTACCTGTTCATCACGCTTATCTTAGACCAAAAAAGAAAAAAATAGGTTTTGGAGTGGCAATATTCCATAGCCATACTTTAAGTAGCACTGTTGGTGGAATACAGGGAGGAAGGAGGGAGAAGAAATGGGAGGAAGTCACCTCTTACTTGTTTTTAGCTTCCTGGACCAGGAACAAAGGTGACATCATCTTTGGGAAAGCACAAATGCTTAAACATGTGTCTTATTTGTTCTACATAATGGTTTTAAAAATTGTGACGTTACGTACAATTTTGGAGATAATATGTAGAAATTGCTATTTGTGGTTCCATTTAATATGTATATATAAAATCATGGGAGTTTGGAGCTCTACCCTTCTACATGGCAAATATTGGTTAGAGATTAGTAGCTGAAACCCACTTTTAGTTGGGATATGGGCTTGCCAGTTCAGTGCCATCTCCACTACTCAGAAGCCAAGTACACATGTACACTATTACCAAGTTTTCCCTGCTTGCTTACTATACCTGCCCTGGCTTCTTCAGGCATCTGAGTTGGGAGTCTCCAGGACCCTCAGTTCCCCAGTTGCAACTGACATTATTATTTTAACTGTGGTGCTTGATCCTTTCACTCCTGATGTAGGTATGGGAGTGTGTACTGTAATAATCTGTTAATTTTATTTCTGCAGAACCTAGTCATTACTTACAGCATTTCTGGTGAGTGGCTCCTACACCAATACCAATTGTCTTCTATTGTTTTATCAAACTAATGATCTCCACTGCCTTAATTTTAGCTGTTCCAGCCAGATAGACAAGAGAATGAATCAGGAAATTCTAACTGCTTGAGAAAACAGATGTCAACATAACTAGGTTTTACCCTCATGGAGTTGACAGTCTGGAAGGGGCTATGTGATGTTAGTTATAAATATGATAATCATATATGATTTACGGTAAGTTACCTTATGAATTCAGCAATGGAACTGGCTTTCCAACATTTTTAAAATTGTGATTTCTTTAGAAAATTTTGTCCAAGTTGTGTAAAATTTAAAAGGAAATATTGATCTTTGAATTGCTTTTTCTCAGGAAGCTATGTTTGCTGAAGTCCTTATATATACGTTTATTAATAAACAGTTTATCTTTGGAGGCTTGTATATTTTTGGAGTTTAGTACCTTCTGAAAAACTTAGACTTACAATGAATCTTTTGGAATATGTTTGCTTATCAATTATATATTTAAAAAATAGAGAGTAAACTCCTTAATTGTAGGGATTGGTCTGATTATTACCTTTTAGGCAAAATAGCAAGCATTCCAGAAAACATCTGGAAATCCAAATTGTTTATATTCGTCCACGTGGTAAGCATTAAGACATAATAGTTTTAATTTCTTTTATGTAATGCACTATGTGTCTGTCCTTCTCACAAAATCCGTAAACAGCTTGAAATCATGGAATCTTCTCAGTACCTAGAACAGAGGTTGACACTTGGTGGCTTGTGAGCTGAATTCAGCAGTAGATGTATTGTTGAGTAAGCTTCCAGCACTTCAAAATTCAGACTGTGCATACAAATTTAATTTTGTCTTTTCTCTTTTAAAAAATAGAAAATGAATAATTTTTTATTAGTTACTTTAATAAAACCCAGTACTACTTTGATTTTATGCAACCTGATGTTCTATTTGGAGAATAATCTTACTGCAAAGTACAAAGCTTATATGTGAATCTGTTGGATGTCAAGTAGTGCCATACTACACATGTTTATTTCTCTTATACCTACAATCAGCTGGGGTCACCTAGGCAAATGTGCTGAGGTTGGCTAAGTTCAATCACATGTCAGGGTTAGCTGGCTGGGCAATGATCTAGGCTGTTCTTGGCTGAATGACTTAGCTCCGCTCTAAATATTTTGTATCCGCCAGCAGGCTATCCCTGGCATGTTCTAATGCTGATGGCAAATAGGAAGAGCACAAAGAGAAATACACAAAGCCTTTTCAAGTCTCTTTCCAAGTCCATTTGCTGATATCACATTGGCCAAGTCAAGTTACATGGCTAAGCCAAGCATCCAAAGGTGAGTCAGGATGCAGAGTGGGAAGACATTGCAAATTACATGGGGCCATTTTTGCTCTCTGCCACAAGAGCTGTGGTCTAGGTGCCTGTGACTTATTGCCAAGTCCCAGGTATACTTACACATGTGTGTGTCTTACCTTGTATTTCTTAGAATTATAAATCTAAGCTCTTTCAAAAAAGGAAAGTTAATAAATAAATGGCAATCTCTATTCCTTTAGTGGTTTTTATTTTGTTCTACATGTTAATTTTCTTTGTGAAAAAAAAACCCAAAAATAAAATCCTTAGTTTTAATATAAACTCTATGATCTTGGTTAAAAAAAATTTGACACTGCTATTTGTGAAAAGATTTCAACATTATTGAACATATATACAAGCTGTTTATTATTTTGCTTACAGGTGGAAATACTGGGTTTAAAAATTGATAAAGCAGCAATAATTAACAACCTAATCTAAAAACTCTCCTTTGCTAAGTAATTGCTTTTTTCATTCATTTATTCATCCATTGATTTGTTAAACAAACATTTGTCAATTCTTAGGTGTGGTTAGATAATTACAAATAGACACAATTTTTTTTTCAGTATACTTTTTGCCCTTACAGGATTATTCATGTTACTAATTTACCATGAATTTCTTTTTAAAATGAAAGGGTAGGCCAGGTGTGGTGGCTCACACCTGTAATCCCAGAACTTTGGGAGGCTAAGGAGGGTGGATCAACTGAGGTGAGGAGTTTGAGACCAGCCTGGCCAACATGGTGAAACCTCGTCTTTAGTAAAAATGCAAAAATTAGCCGGGCATGGTGGTGGGCGCCTGTAATCCCAGCTACTTGGGAGGCTGAGGCAGGAGAATCGCTTGAACCCAGGAGGGGGAGGTTGCAGTGAGCCAAGATCGTGCTATTGCACTCCAGCCTGGGCAACAAGAGCGAGACTTTGTCTCAAAAAAAAATGAAAAGATAGGCATGCTTGGGGTTTGGGGCAAATAACACAAAAGTGTGTACAAAACAAAACAAAACAAAAAACAAACCCCCCCCCCCCCCAAACCAGTGGTGATCTGAAGACAGGATTGAATGTTTTCAATTTTGCTTCCAAGTGGAGAATCATCTCGGGGCTGTAGAATGAATTTTCCTTCTTAAGACACATTTTCCTGTACCTACAGGCGTTTGCATCTACAATAACTATTGATGTGAGAGTGTTACAGTTTTGTTTTAGTAAATTGCATGAGTAATCGTCCCCCCAGCACTTGCTAAGTTGATGCTTCCTTTTTTAATGGCTGTAATGTATTTGTAAACATGTCTCTTAACTTACTTGAAAACATGTTGGTTCCATCTCATTTATTTGCAGACAACTTACTGTCTGTTGAAACTTCAGCTTCTTTTATTCTAATGACTCCTTTGAAATATTATTTTAATGAACCTATGAAACACATCATTGTATTCTTTATATTGTGGTTGGACTGCTAATGAGACTCATCCATTAAGTAAATGGCTTTGTAGACAATGCAAATGTAATAACTAAAGTTAGTCTATTCTTCTTTACTACTTTTCTGCTGATAGGCATACCACATACCGAGAAGGTAATGTTTCACGACCAAAACAGTTCAGTTGGTAGGCAGATTGGGAATCTTTGCATTGGAAAAAAAAAATTCAAGAATATCATAAAAGTATATTTGCAACTCCATCTATTTTTTATCAAATCATAAGATAATATATTTCCCATGTAAGCATTATATTTCTAGATGATACGCCTGATAGAAGAAATTAAGTGTCCATATGATCTACAGGAAAAAATCTTTAAGGTAATAAATTTTAAAAATCTATTTTAAAACATAAAATTTCTAAGAAAGCAACATCCATAAAATGGATTGCTACAGAAACCTAAATTCAGGTCCTTTTCATATTGACTTCATTATGGACTTGAATTTTTCTGCCTTAATAAAAGGATGTAGGTCTCAAAACTCATCTTGCACATCTTGTTTTAATGCAATTTAGTTGCAACTGTTGCAGAGCTTTGTTCCTTAGTTCAGCTAAAACTGGGTTCTTGTCACACCACCAGGAAAAGTTAGGCATGGAGACAGTTTGAAGGATGAGGGGAATGGAATTTATTTGGCGAAAAGGAAAAAAGAAAACAAACTCTCAGCAAAGCGTGGGGGATTCCTGCTAACAGGTCCTCATCTCATAGATCGATTCCAGGCCACACAGATGAGCTGAAGAGCACAGGCTCCTCCCCTGGGTAAGGTGCAAATTCCCTGTGGCTCCACCCACTTCCCTCAGTGCACATATCTGGCTCCAGTCTGCTTTGGGCATGTCCAGTTGACAAGAGCTGTCATTATTAGCATTATTTATTTTCACATTTATAATTGAATGGTTTTATAGGCTTGTGACTTCAGATCAGTGAAAACAGAAAGATATCCTTACCATGTTGTTATTTTTCCACTACTCTTATAGGTAGCAAAAGCTGGCTAAGCTGGTAGAATTTCTAGGTTTCCAATGCTGTAAAGAGCACTAGCCTCTCTAATAATAAAAATATTAATTGATGGACATTGCGTGAGGACTCTCTAAGGAGTCACTGTGTATTTGGGCGCAGACATGGGCAAATGTTGGCAGGGAACACACTCTGCTTCCCTAGCCAGGACTTTCTCTATTACGTTAAACCAGTTGCCCTTGGGATTGATGGTGGAAATGAAATCTTAAAAGGAAGAATAGATAAGACCAAGCTTTGCAGAGCAACAAAGGTGAAAAACTATCCTTAGTTGTGGAAGTGATTTTCCTATCAATAAATTACCAATGCATCTTCAAGTAAGAAATGTTAGCTTAAATACAAATTAATAGAATGCATCTGTGTGTATATACAAATATGTTAGTAACTGTGAAACCAGGTGTTTCTTATAATTGATAGCATGTCATAGTTTTCAAAAAGACATTTTCTTTCTTAAAGTGCATAAAATAATGGTAGGTCTTACTACTGATGTCATTCAAGATTCAATAAACTGTTGTAATTTAGGAATTTAGCACTGTGTTCCTATTAAAAGGTCCATAATGGAAGGTAAAGATGGTGTTTCTATCTTGAGACGATAGTCTACTTTCATGATTTTGACAATGGAAACAATGCCATCTTTTAGTCACAAACTGGATTTGGTAGATCATTCTAGGTTCTCGTTCTAGTCTACAATTGGTTTTCTGAAATCTAATAATTTATCCATTCTCTGTGAGCTTGAAAAGCAAGGAGAGTATCCACATAGGTCCAAGCCATCATGAATACTTAGTTCTCCTCCTAGTTGAACAGTGTGATTGTAGGTATTTAACAATAGCAGGAATTGGTAAAGAAGCTTATTCCTGGCTATGAGATTCCTTGACAGTAAGCTGTAGACCAGGAAGGTCAGTAGTTCTCATGCTGTCTCTAATTGATGAGTTAGTGTTACCTGGTGTGCTGTGTTGGAACTCACTGTGAGGCCCTGCCCAGCTTCAACAGGGACCTGTAGTAAGATCCAGGGGAATACTTGTCATGGACACGTACTGGATGTCCCTAATAGGAGGACAACATATATCATCTCTGTTGTACACACTTAGTAATTTGTTCATTACCAGTATGACACAAATGATTTAAAATTTGTGAAGTATGGGGAAAAGGGATTAGGATGTTCCTAATCTTAAATAAAGCATATGATTTTCATAAAGTTTACTTTAAAGCAATTTATAGTGTTTATACAAAGGGAAATTTGCTAATGACATTGCCTTAAGTAACATCTGGGATTTGTTTTGAAATAGTTTTGTGAGTGATAGTGGAGGTATAAATGATTCATTATATCATTCTATGTCTTTGAAATTTTTTATGATAAAAAGAAAAAATCTTAAAATGTAGACTTTTATGATATCTTGGCTAATAAAATTCTTTGAAGTGGGTGATGGACTGATTTGATACCAGTTTCCAAAGAGTGTTAGAATACAGTTTTCGTGTGGCTTATTTTTCAATTAGAAAAAAAAATCTTGAAAGATACTTATAAATCTAGCTTTATTAACTTTCCTGACAAACCCTAAAAGTCAACACGTTATCTTCTAACAAGTTTGGAGGCGTCTCTAAAATACAGCCTGTAGCTATTTATGTAGTTTCTCCTCACTGTTCCTCCTCCAGTGTTTGCCTTTTATGGCCTCAAGAGAGAGCATAATCTGAAATAATTTCTAGGATGCAAACACATTGCTGAAGATATGGGCTCATGGAATGTGTTCTCTGTAGTACTGACACGAGTGACTTTTCTCAATCTGTTTCCAACATGAGGCAAGAATCTTCAGTTGAAATATGGAGAAAATAGATACAAAATACAAGTATTTCTATGCATTAGCTGCCTAATGTTCACTCTTCTAGATTGCTATTCATATTCTCTTTGTTGGACGCATCTCAGTCTGCTCCCTGAGTTGTCCCTAGTTGTCATCAAACAAAAACAGCAATATTGAAAACAGTAAAAATGTAAATGCAAGACAGAGAATGGAGAAGTATTAGCTGTTTCCAATCAAATGCTACCCATCAGTAAAATATAGAAAATACACTTCACTGAAGACCTTTTTGAAATAATGATTAATTACTTTTTAAAGGAATTATTCTAGAGATATGCTAAGCTACTCAGCAGTAATTTAAAGTTGGCAACCTGTTAACAGATCCCCGTCTGTTCCACTGAGGTCGGCCAGCTTCTGTTGGATAACTGTAGTCATAGAGTTTGAAAGCAAAGTGCAAAATGCCATCCTTAAAATTGGAGCTGTTGCATTAAATTATGTCACATTTGATGACAGGTCACAAGAGAAAGTGATACATGATTTTTACAACATGAGCCACCAAAAGCATGCTTCATGGAATTCTAGTAGTCCACCACTGTTGGGAAAGAAGTTAGTTTCTGTCAAAAATTAAGACAGTCCAGGGCTTTTAAAGGAGAAGTAAAGACAGAAAGGGATGGTTTAATCTCTTGTTGTGGACAGATGTATCCACAGTGCATCAGAATGTGGGTGGAGGAAAGAGGTATTCTACTATAGATAGTGATATTAGTCTTACCAATTTAAAATTGCAGCCTAGACTATCATCTTAAAAATGAAACATTATTAATTAGGTTTCAAAGGGCATGATGGCAAAGCGTAGTGGAAAATTTGGGGTGGTATTAGTAGCATATCTGGGGAAAGTGGTGTTAGGAATATTTAATACACCACCTTTCCTCATCTTTAATACACCACCTTTCTTCATCATACCTACATAGACTTGGTACAGGTAAAAATCTAATCAAACAACGGAGTGAATAGATATGAGCTATACTTAAATAGCTGGACCTCTTCCTTTTGATTGCCTGCTGCCTCCCTATAGTTCTATCTTAGAGACTGCTAGGGAGTGTTTTAATCAGGCTTTTGATTAGATAAGTCCATTGCTTCATTCCTCTGCCCTGTCTCTTCCCCCATTCCCTACACTTGCAGAATTGCAGGCAGCTTTCAGAATCTCAGTAGATTCTACAAAGTAGAAATCTCCTCCAAAATATTAGTATTGGTCTACTAGGCACCCTCACACAGGGCAATTTATGTTGACTTATTCTGTAGTTTTTTTAGTATATTGATTTACATTTTGAAAGAATGTATAGAAGGTATAATTCATTATTAAAAACCAGGATATGCAAAAAGAAGATCCCTGGGGTGTAACTATCAGTTGTTATTGTAAACAAATCGCTATAGACTCTAATTTTTTATTTAGAGGACATCAGTCCTGTCTTCATGTGAGAAGACAATATGGCTGAGTTTACTAATATAATTTCTGTGCCAAAATTAGCTGTGGATTAGAGTGATGACAAATTCCTTGGGAAGGTTGGATGAGAGATCCTCTATGATAGAACTTGCTTAAAAAGCCAGTAAATGTGAGCAGATTTCCAATTTTTGCTCCAATACTTTTACCTTCTGCATTTGTAATCACTCTTTATAATTCTCAACTTTCAGTATCTCCAGACAATATTTTTCCTTCCATTGAGTCTTAGTTAAACATCTTACTTCTCTTTCAAAGCCAAAATCTTGTTGGGCTCAAAGTTTTTTCTCTTTCTGTGTTCCATGTTGCTTTTAAGTCTTCATGCTTTACTTGAGGGAATGGGCCAACTCATAGTTTTACAGAATTATGTAAATCATCTTGCTGTTGATCAGAAGAGAAGAATATTCAATCTATTAAAAGCTTCACAATAATGTGAATGTATTTAAAGACACAAACTGTATATTTAAACATTAAAATGGTAAATTTTATGTTAAATAGGTTTTATCACAGTAATCTTTTTAAAATCAGAATTTGGTGTCCAAACACAAAACATTCATAAACCTAGGATGAGAATCTCAGACCCTGTGTTATATCTGCCACACTATGGAACCTAGCAGTCTATTCAGTGACTTTTAAATCCTATTGAGTGATCAGCTGCCTGATATGCTATGCAAAGAGCTCTCTCTGCTCCTTAAACATTGCTCATGCAATTGTGTATTCAATAACTACTTACTGATAGATGCAGGATGCAGATAAAAGGAGGGTCCTGGAGAATCTCTGACCCACCCTCACATTATTGGGAGAACAGGGTGAAGCCAGGGGAAGTTCACCTCCTGTGCAGTGGGGAGGAGCCTGGCATCTTCAGGTCCTGTGTATGGCTTGGAATTCAATGTGTGAGGTGATGGCCTGTTAGCAGGATCCCCTCTTGCTTTGCTGAGAGTTTTTTTTCTTTTTTCTTTTTCACCCAATAAATTCCAATTCCCTTACCCTTCAATGTGTCCACGTTTCTAATCCTCGCTGGTCATGTGACAAGAACCTCGTTTTGGCTGAACTAAGGAACAAAATTCTGCAAGATTACTAAGACCCATGCCACGTACAGGGTTCTGACCCAGGCGGTGCGAATATTTCCCTGGTAGCCTTACACACAGCCTTTGGTTACCTCGCACTAAAATACCCATGAAGACACAAAAAGAAAAAAGAAATTCACTGTAACATCTGTTAAGTTGGAAGTCAATCTAAGTGTAGAATTTGGGAAAGACTGTTGCTAATTATAAAGCAGAGAGACTACATAGAGGCATCTTCTCAGAGATAAGCATATAGCATTTCCTACCTTCAGTCTATTAAAAAAAAAATCAAGAGGGAGAGCAGGAAAAAGCAACCAATGGTGTGTTACCTTCAAGGCATGGATCCCAACAGAGCTTAGAACGCAGTAAAAAGATTTTCTACAAGTAATTATGATTTGTGATAGAAACACATTTTTCTCATTCAATCCTGCCTTTGTCTCCACGTGGGCCTGGTTCTCCAGGCTTCTGTAGAGTTTGTGTATCTATGGGTTTTAAATGCAGTGCTTATTTGAACAGATTTTAATTTCTCAGTTTTTATTTACTCAATTTTTAAACTGTACTGGTTATTTAACCCTTTAAAATTATAAATTCAACATATTATTACAAAATAATACATGCAACGATGAGGCTTAATATAGGTATACCTTACAAACTAAAGTGCTGTGTGGATATATCCAGCTCAAAACAACACACCCCCACGGTGGAATGAGAACGCAGTCATCCTTCTGTGTACTCAAGGATATACTCATCGTATAACAAAATCCGTGAATACTCAAGTCCCGCATTTGGCTCTGTGGATCTGCAGATACCAAAAGTCAGCCATCCAAATATGGAGGTATCATATTCCCCAATGCTATACTATTAATCCATGTTTCATTTAAAAAAAATTCTCATATAGGCCGGGTGCAGTGGCTCACACCTGTAATCCAGCACTTTGGGAGGCTGAGATGGGCGCATCACAAGGTCAGGAGTTAGAGACCAGCCTGGCCTACATAGTGAAACCCCATCTCTACTAAAAATACAAAAATTAGCCAGGCATGGTCCCAGATATTTGGTAGGCTGAGGCAAGAGAATCACTTGAACCTGGGAGGCAAAGGTTGTGGTGAGCCAAGATGACGCCACTGCACTGCAGCCTGGGCAACAGAGTGAGACTCTGTCTCAAAAAAAGAAAAAAGTCCTCCTCATATAAGTGGACACTCACAGTTAAAACCTGTGTTGTTCAAGGGTCAACTGTATATTCTCAATAATTAATTATCCTGCAGCCCATCGTCTTGCATATTCTGACATGTTGCTTAAAATGTTCTCAAGTGATTACATTTGTGTATATTTAATCTTTCTAACCATATAGTTACTTGTCTGAAGTTCAAGTCCTCCCTTGATTTGTATCTGTTCAGAGCAGCTAGTCAAGTCTTTTGCATCTGAAGGGCATGGATGGTGGAAGGGCTGCAGTGGATTACCATTGTCTGCCATGGGCTCCCAAGAACAGTGATCAGAGGCAATGTACCACTTACTTCTAATTCGGTTGTAGGAGATAATACATGTATGTTGATTATGGGAAGAGTCACCAAAGAAAGCCATATGTTTTTCTTCTCGCTTCCTATTTATATAAAAATGTGACCTTACCTTCAACTTCATTTGCAGATGTCTGTTCTTGAAATTTATTTCCTAAAGTTTTTAGTAATGATTTTCAATTACTTAAGGCTGCTGCATTAAAATACAGCAATCATATCACTGTTTCTGTAATAAGTCCTTTATTGCCTTAATTGCTAATGGTGGAACAACTGAGTTCAGAGAAGAAAACTTAAAAAAAATTAAACACCCCTCCATAAAATTTTGAGGCAGAAGAACCTGTGCCAGAGCATAATTTGACATGTTTGCATTTAAAATCAAACCAGAGGTGTCAAAACCCATCTGTTTAGTTAGGTCTTCCAGTGAGTGATTGGCAACTTTCAGAATCTCCTCTTTTGGAAATAAAGATTCTAAGCCTTTAAAAAAAAATCTCAAAGTCTGCAATGGTTCAGGAGAACATTAAAAATGAGCGTGCATAGCAACAAGGTGAGAACATGGCCCACCGTGTTGTCTGTGGATGATTTACACATGGTGCCCAGGAACACCAGAGCTTGAGTTGGTTTCTGTGCACACATCTGTTCCGAAGCACGATGTAGTTAATTTCAGTCACTAGTGTTTTGATTCACAGCTGTTACAAAATAGGGATTCCACTTTTGTCATGTTGGCTACAAATATTTCCTTCTGGCAGATGGGATTCTTCTTTCTGAGGCAGGAAATAAAATTCTAGAGGGTAAATGAGAATAAGTAAGGAGCTTGGGTAAACTGATCGGCTCGCGTCCCTCTGACACGTACTTGAGGTGTTGAGAGCCAACTGTCAACAGAACGCCTATGTGTGCTGAGCAAAGTGTGAGCATAGAATTCCAAGAAGTTACTGCTGCCTGGTAAGTTAATTTTCTTATCTTCCATGGGTGTGTTAGGTGAGAATTAGAAATAAGAGTATTACTTTTAGACGTGGTCTTTGTTTCAGATATGGATTCAGATATGGACTAGAAATATAGTGTGCTGGCTCAAAATGAATCTCTCTTTAATACTGAAGAGGTTTAGGAAAGTTAGTTTACTTTTGGATCCTGAGATCCAAATCAAGAAAGAAAAAAAAGGAAAGAAAAATTGACATCCAAAGAAAATATTTGAAGATCAAAGAGCAAAAATCACTCATTTTATATATAAACACACATATGCATATGTGCATACATACTTACATATTGCATATATTATAGCAATAGATATCATAAAATTATATGTGTATATTCATAAATACATAACAGAAATAGCAAATGTAAAGTTTTACAAACTATATGCCAGATGGTATCTTCTGTGGGTCCCCTCCTTTACACTAAGTCTGTAAAGGAGGCCTTGTTATGTCTATTTCAGGGTTAAGGAAACTGAGGTCATGCAGCTATTAAGTAGTGCGCTGAGGTTTGAGGCAGGCCCATCTGATTCTTTCCATTCCCCAGCCTCTTTTCTCTTTAATTCTGAGGGAAGGCTTAATTTGCAGTTGGTGTTTTGCGTATCAGTTGGTAATTTATGTGCTCTAATAAATAAATAGGCAGTTTATTCCCCATCACAGTACCACCATTATGTGCCATGGTCTTCTGTATTCACTGGTGCTGTTCAGATATGTCATACCATGCAGAAAACCACATGTGCTCTATCTTTCTCAGGCAACATCTAAGTGGTCTAGTAACTGCAAGTCTTTATGTGGTAACCATGCTTTTTGAACTCTTTTTTGGAAGGCAGCATGTGATAAAGGATTTCTATCAATTCTAGGTATAAGAAACAATCTGACATATATACTATGGATGTAAATAAAATACTGGGACCAGACATAGACATGGTGGCGCATGCCTATAATCACAGAACTTTGAGAAGCCAAGGCCTGGTGGAGATCATGCCGCTGCACTCGAGTCTGGGCGCCACAGTGAGACCCTGTCTCAAATAAATAAGTAAATAAATAAATAGGATCTCTAAATAATTAGATGATTTACAGGAATAGAGTTTTTGTGGTATAGATGATTGTGAAAAATCAGGTATATATGCTTTATCATACACTGTTATAGCATTGGACAGGTCTTCGGGCTAGTAGCGATTAATGGGAAAGCTATAGTCTTAAAGTGGAATGTGGTGGAATTTGAGCAATTTCTTCTGATTAATCTTAGTGATGCAGAATATATGTATGCTTCCCTTTATGGAAGATTCTCTAGAAAACGCATTCCATCCTGTCCCCTGCTGCATCTCAGGTATGACACTTCTCTCAAGGTCTCTACATAAATGGGAAAAAAAATTCGAAAAGAAACATTATTTGAAAAATTACCTTACAAATGGAAACTTGGGTGTTCGATTTTTCGAACTGGTAAAAATGCCCAGGCTTGATAGTAATGTGTGACTGTGTATTCCAGGATACACTTCGGTGCCCATACAAAGTACTTCCTGAGTTTGATTGTACCCAGTGACCAGGAATGCAAACTGTTTTCTTTATGGGATTTTCAGACATTCCAGTCCCCCAAGAGTCTTTCTCTGCCATCTCTGGGCTTTATGGAAACCCCAGGTACACCTGTATGTCATGTGGTTTCCCAGAAGCCTTTAGTGTGTCTGTCTTATTTCAGTACTCTCTCCCAGGATCATAACTCAGTTTATCAAAGCAACTCAGTGCAGTGGGGTGTACGAGACAGCACGGCTAACTTGTCCACCATGAAAGCCTCTGAGGGATATGAGTGGTCTGTGGTATTTTTGCCATAGGTTTATGGTTTTGTCACTTAAGTTATGCTTATTTGTATGTGTCATGACAAAACATAACATGTATTTCAAAATTAGTAATTAGCAGCAAAGGAAGAATGATTGCATCATTAAGCATCCCTTTAATTAGAAATGGTGTGTACCAAGAATTATTCAGGCATTACTTCATTTAAATTTTAGAGATGAGGAGACAGTCAGAACACATGCTTACATAGCTAGAAAGTAGTAAAGCCACGAAACCGAGTTTTTCAGATTCCAGAAGCAGGCTTTTAACCATTATTTAACTGTTTTAACTCCCTGATAGAACTTCATGTCTTCCTAGTGGGCGGAAAAAAAAAATAGAGAAGGCACACCTTGCGATTTTTCCTACCTTTCGATAAAAAAGTATGCATTCCCTAATGTAGAGCAGCATAATTTATCACATTAAGGAAAGAATTGTTGTCTCAATTGTGAACTTAGCCCAAGAATAAATGTTGCCAAGCTTACCTCCGTCTTGTAGAAAAGCAAAACCATAATTCATCAGTAATGAATTTTGGTCTGTGTTGTAGTTTGTGTGTGGTCGTGGCAAGTACGTAACCAGTATATATAAATGAAATTTCTGTCCACTGATTTTATTTTCTCTCTGTCTACATCTTCAAGCATAACAGATACACTCATCAAACTGACAAAGAACTTTTTTTTTTTTTTTTGCTTACTTTGACATAATGCAACTGCAGTGAGTTTTTTTAAATAGTCTTAGTCTGCATTCTAGTCACATGCCTTCCTCTGCCCTATTTGCTTCTCTCTTTAAGTTTTCTGAATTGCTAACTTACTGTATGTTATTATCTAATTCAATGCTGTCTAACGGAACTTTCTGCAGTGCTGGAAATGTTCTCCACTGTTCTGTCTACTATGCCAGTAGCCACATGTGGTCATGGACAATGAGGACCTGAATTTCCAATTTTTATTAACTAAAGTTTTGTTAATTTAAATAGCCATGTGTGGCTGGTGGCTACCATATTGGATAGCACAGATCTATTTAGATTTTGGCAGCTGAGGTGATTCTTGAGCACAAAATGTGATAAATGAGATCTTGAAATTTATAAGGGAACTTTAAACTATTTTCAAGTTCCAAAATTTGGGCTATGTTCAAGTGTTCTAGAATAAAGCCATTCTTTAACAGCTGACTTTTAACCACTCTTTTCATAGGCATTCAAGAGACTGATTACTTTTAATCTCCTTTGTAACTAAAGAAGAGCCAAAATGGCGCTCACCTGTCTGAGACTTCCTTTTGGTCAGGGTTTTTGTGCAGGTCTTGAATGTTTCATTTACTTCTGAATCAGCAAAATGTGAGTGCTTTGTATTTGCCATATTAGAGAGAAGTGGCAAAGCAGTGAGCCAAGAAGCAGCCCCAACTTGGTTCGGCTTTTCAGATTACATAGGAGTGCACAGCTTGCTGCTGATGTAAAGCATGTGGAGAGAGCCCATGGAGAATTAGTTTTCTTTCATGATTGAATGCTAATACTTGGTAGTATGTGGAAAAACAGCTTCTTGCTTGTACAGGCCAACAGCTGTTGTTATCTGAAAAATAATCATTATGATAGAAAGCACACTTTTTCATGTTTTCTGTCAGATCTGTCAGAATATGTTCTGTGTTAACATATGCATGTTTCATCTGAGAAAAAAATGTAATTGGTAATTTAATGTATTTTTAAAAATTTTTCTTAGTGGTAACTTGGAGCATACCATTTTTTTTAAGTTCTTTACCAGCACTGTCTAATAGAAAGTAGGTCACCAAAGTAATTCTTACATTTAAGTAAAGAGAAACAGGCATAATTAATTTAATATAGTTTATCCAACCCAATATATCTAATAAATTTTAAAATGTGGTCAATATAAAAACAAGAGGTTTTTGTGTTACTTTTTTGTGTGTGTGTGTGCTGAGTCTTTGAAATCCAGGACATATCTAACACAGCACCCGATTTGGGCTAACCCTGTATCAAGTACCCAATGATGATGTGTGGTGATTGGTTACCCTCCTGAACCGCATACACTGTAGATGCTCATTCCTGGCATAGTGTTTGAATCTGTATGTTTGAATCATAGTGTTTGAATTTATGTGGGTTGTTTGCCCATGTAAATGATGAACTATCAAATGCCAAGCAGAGATCTTCAGTTTATCAGCTATGTTACCTGTTGTCAACTGAATTTAGTCTAAAACCTTGGTCAAGGGGGAAGACAAGGTACAATAATATGGGGATGTTTATAAGAATATACTTACTGCTTAAAATTTTTCTAGATATTTTTGGTGCAATTCAAGTTTTTTTTAAGTTGTGGCAACTTCTGAAGATATTTTAAATTTTAAGTTTATAGGAATTTTGACATTCTTCCCTCTATTTAAACACAAGAGCCATAAAATTGACTATTTTCCTGTGAACTACTTTATTTTTTCCTTTACAAATCAGAGATTATCTTGTGTGAATGTCCTTGTTATAGTGTTATAAAACAACCCTATCCCAATTAACTTCAACTAGTAATTTGGTCTTTTTAATAAAAGTTTACTTCACTATTACATAATTTTGTCCATTTAAAGCAAATTTTGAAAAAGGAAGTTTTGTTGGGTACATTGTATGGGACTATTTTCAGTTGTTGTTAGGAAAATAATTTAAAAAGATTCTGTTTCTTATATACTATAGCCATACAATTTCTTGAATGCAGGTAGAAAAAAAATACACACAGGCTGTACATTAATCACAGATAGTTCGTTTAATCAATATATAGTTTTTTTGTTTGTTGGTTTTGTTCTTGAGATGGAGTCTCTCTCTGTCGCCCAGGCGTCGCCCAGTCTGGAGGGCAGTGGCGTGGTCTCAGCTCACTGCAACCTCTGCTTCCTGGGTTTAAGCAATTTTCCTTTCTCAGCCTCCCATGTAGCTGGGATTACAGGCACACACAACCCCACCTGGCTAATATTTTGTATTTTTGTTAGAGATGGCATTTCACTGTGTTGGCCATGCTGGTCTCGAGCTCCTGACCTCGATGATCCACCTGCCTTGGCCTCCCAAAGTGCAGGGATTACAGGTGTGAGTCACTGTGCTGGCCAATACATCAGTTTTTAAAAGTGAGACACTCAACCCAAGTACTGCAATTCAGGTGGAACTTACTGACTGTTTTGGATTGTTTAAACATCCTCATATAAAGTAAAGTCTAGAGACTCTTGTATTATTAGTTGAGTCCTGAATTTGCTCCTTTAAAATTGGTCTGAGCCTCATTTCCTTGAGTATAAGTAATACAACCTTGTGCCAACTGGGGACTCAGTAACTGTTGGTCAGGCAGATGGATGCTAGAAGTGACTCCAAGTCCAAATCTTTGTACACACTCAGGATTGGCTCAGCATATAACTATACAATTATTTTCAGAGAAACAATATAATAGAAAATATTACATGGTTACTGAAACACCAGGGGTTCAGTCTAGGTCCTTCCATTTGTTTCATAGAAAGCCAGTCACTGAGACAACAAGTATTGCCAAGGAAGAAGGCTTTAATCACATGCTGTAACTGAGGAGATGGGAAGTCAGTGTCAAACCCATCTCTCTCACTGACTAAAATGAGGGGTTTATGTAGGCAGAGAAGAAATGTAACCATGTGTAGGAAAACAGGAATTAGGGAGGGGTAAGGGAGAGAAGTTGATCAACAGGAAGCAGGTGGTCTGTTAGGCAATCATGATGGGTGAGGGATCTGACATCTCATTGTCCAAATACAGTAATCTGGTGAGTTTCAGCTCCTTGATCCTATCTGGGAGGCCTGACGGTTGGTTTCTTGAGAAAGGAACTCAGAAAAGACAAACATAACTTTCTCATGTTTTAAGACTGGGAGAATCAATTTCTATGTTTATTAAAATAAATCATACACATTAGCTCTATGGGACAATTTGGTTGGTTTCAATATGTAGGAATACAGATATTTTAAAAGTATGTAATCTAGGAAAGTAAGTATATATATGACATGCAATATTATGTTTTTTTCTTAATTATATTTTTTCTTTTTAAATTTGCTATAATTTGTAGAAAGGTCACAACAAATAAAGAAGTTTTTAAAAGTTCAATTGGTTTGTAATTCAAAAAAAAAAACAGTTCAAATATGCCTTTTAGGGCACAGTATCTTAACTGTTTCAGCAATACTGTTTTTCACATGTGGAGTTTTTAGTGTAAACTAACTGTATCTACTTCTTGGGCTCCATTAGAAGCAAGGGATCTATGATTTCTTTGGGAAATAGCCTAATGGTTTCATATCTCAAATGATACCTTTGTTTCCCCCTTGACTCATGGGAGAGCAAGAGCACAATTAAATTGATTTTAAATCACATTTAGCATTATGTATCGATTAGATACAAGTGCTCTGAAGCAAATGTCACATTGTTCAGCATTGGATAACAGAAGCAATATGCGCTTTCATTTCTGTTAAGTAATTCAGCCAATGTTATAAGTCATGAGAGTGAGATACACGTGGCTGGTAAATGGCTCCCAAACCTTGTTATTGAAATGCAGCCTTCATTTCAGTTTATTAGCTTGTTCCTTGTTCTCATTTATACTTTATTACCTTGGAATACAGTCATAGTATACTGGAAATGGAGTTTTCTTTAAATAAATTGTTCCTAAAGTTTTTAAAGTCTTTCGTTAAGTGGTGTCTAGGAGCAGACACAATGTCGGCCAATGCAGGTTTTGAGATAAGGGAGGGCAAAAATCTTCCTCTGAGTTGGCTGTGATAGCATCTCTATGTCCCTAACTTGATTTCTGTCATCTTTGTTTCTGGAGAACAAATTCTTGGTTGTGATAGGGATGGAGTGGTGGGGGAAATCAAGGAAGGGATGGCTCAGAAGAGTAGAAGCTGGTTATATAAAGCCTCATATTGTTGAAAACGATTCTCCCCAAAATAGTTGCCTTTTCACATCTAGGGACAGAATAATAGCATTAAGAGGGAAAATCAGTCTTTTGGAGGTTCCCACAGGTTCCACCTGTGTATATGAGATTCAGAAGTAGTGTGATGGTTAACACCCATTCCTAGATCCCACAGCCCTCTGGGGAAAAGAATGATCCAGCTAGTTTGTCTATTTCTGTTGCTGCATGTCCATTTGACACCTAGCTCGTTCTTCATTCATAATCAGTTTCTTTCTGTGATGATACTGTCTGCTCGAATTTTCCTCCATCGTAGATACTCTAGTGTCTGAGCAGATACTCTATAGCCAAGCATACCTCCTTGATCAGGCCAGAGGCTCAGTCATCTTGGGTAGGTTGGAAAGGCAGCAGTGCCACAGATGCTGCAGCCAGGCTACCTGGGTTCAACTTCTGGCTTTATCATTTAGGAGTTTTGAGATAGTAGAAAATTTTCTTAACCTCTCTCATACCATTTTCTGATATCTCAAATGAGGTTAATAGTAGGACATTGCTTCTGGGGTAGCTGTGAATACCAAATAAATTAATATATGTAAAGAGCTAAGGACAGTACCTAGTATAGAATAGATATTTAATTAGCATTAATGAAAGAATCTAGTGGCACTTGTTCTAGTTTGCAGCTCCCTTGTTGGATACACCCCTCATTTTTGTGTACATGGTACACAGAAATGGTGAGGAAGGACAAGTGCATTCAGGACAATTGTACCTTAATAATGTGGGAGAATCATGAGGTACAGATCTTAGGGCATGCTTCCTGGAGTGTCAGTAGAGTATATTTCTTTTCTTTTCTCTCTTTTTTTTTTTTTCCGAGACAGAGTTTTGCTCTTGTTGCCCAGGCTGGAGTGCAACGGCGCAATCTCGGCTCACCACAACTTCCACCTCCTGGGTTCAAGTGATTCTCCTACCTCAGCCTCCCAAGTAGCTGGGATTACAGGCATGCGCCACCACGCCCAGCTAATTTTGTATTTTTAGCAGATACGAGGTTTCTCCATGTTGGTCAGGCTGGTCTTGAATTCCTGACCTCAGGTGATCCACCCACCTCAGCCTCCCAAAGTGCTGGGATTACAGGCGCAAGCCACCATACCCGGACCGAGTATATTTCTATGTTAAAGAATTGGAGTGACAAAGAAGCTACCAAGTCTTCCCAACCTAGGGCAGGCATGAGGGCAGAGTTAGAGATTGCCTAAAATTGTGTTCTTTGTCATCTAAAACATGAATAAGCCAAAGTTCCTGACCCCAAGGTGACTAAGGTCTGATGGGAAAGAGATATGAAAAGGGCAGTTATAATGTATAGAGGAAACATGAAACTTGGCACTTAGGGACATGTGGGGAGAGGGGAACCTATATCCACCCATGGAAAGAATGGAAAAAAAAATCAGGAAAGGGCACTGAGAGGTGCAAGAAACTAGGAGGCTAGCTAAGCTGATGGATGAGTAAAGAAAGGCATTCCAGGCAGAATGGATGAACATCATGTACACAGGCCTGGAGGTAAGGGTACTTCATGAAATCCAGAGTGTCTAGAGCATAGTGTAGGTGAGGAGAAAAGTGGCAGTAGGTGAGTTGGACTTAAGATTGCACAAGACCTTCAACTCCACGCTAAGATATGCAGGGGATTCTGGTGACAGGAGGAAGCCTTGGAAGAATCTTGAAAAGGGAGAGGTTGTGGTCACATTTGTCCCTTAGAAATGGAGGTCTGGCTGCCTTTCAAAGAACTGAGGGATGTGAACAAGACTGTGGTTGGGAGCTTCTGCTTTAAAATATGCACACTCCTGTCTCTGTTTTCCAAGGCACTCATGACTTTGATGTTCCTTTAGCTTAAAGCCATATATAGTCTGCTCCTGGCATTAGGTGACAAGATGTAATTGTAACACGTGTAAATCAGATTTTGCAATCCCGTTCTGTAGACAACCAAACTGAGATTGATGCATTTCCAGTCTTTCACTTCTGTAAAGAACACAGCAGGGAACCACCTTGTACATACATCTTTTAGGCATTTGTCCAATTATTTCCTTAGGATAAATTTCTAGAAACGGGTTTGGTGTTTTAGAGCTTTTGATATATATGGTTCCAGAACAATCTGGATGCCTGAAATCATGGCAGATAAACAGGTGCTGAGTTTCGTGGCCATGCTGAAAGTGCAGACGTAGAAGTGAAATGCACAGTGAACAGTCATGCCTGGATGGGCACACATGCCGAATTTTTGTTTGGATTTCTTTATACCGGTGGTTGTCTCCACCGGTGGCAGTAAGACTCTGCTGGATGAGGACCTAAGACTGATGGGGTGTTTGTCTATAATGACAAGTGCTTGACTGTAGCAGCAAATGATGAGCAGCCCTAGGGAGACATCACCACCCACTTGAGAGAGATCCATGAAGGGTTTATGACCCGTTTGAATCCTGATCGAGCATTGCTGTCTTGACCCTCCAGGAACCAATTGTCTGGAATACTTGCTCTGTCAGTCTGAGTGATGTGCTTAGAATCCCGGGAGCCCAGTTGTTTGTAAAACACAGAGTGAATTATCAAGAAGACTTAGAGACTGGAAATATTTTATTGCCAGATTCCACAGCCATTTGCTAAATGTATTGGTGAGATCATGAAAGCCAACATCCAATATGTTGGATTACCACAATCGGCTATAAGTTATTATTTGAACATATGGGGCAATTAATTTTTAATTTGATGATACCAAATAAAATGGTTTTGTCTTTCCTGTTTGTCTTTTTTCTACATCAGGAGCATTTACTTACCATATAGATGCAAGTCTTTTTCAAAGTTCTGTAGAAATATAAACACACATATAAATTGTTCACTAGTAGCCACAAAGTGTGTGTCTAGTCTTCTGAGAAGTTTCTTAAACTGTCTGGAGGGGCAGAGGGTCTCACAGGAGGTGACATGTAGCTAGAATAGAGGTAAGAGCAAGCTACCAGAGCTGACTGGCTTTGTTCTGATTGCTTCTTTCTGCTTTGAGATCTTTTTGAGAAAAGGCAGGAATGCAGATGGAATAGGTAGAGTCTTACGGTGCTTGGCTTTCTGCTGCTAGTTACTCACCTAACTTCTTTTCCAAATCTTAACCCATTTCCCATGCTATAGATTGTTCCACAGTTAAAAAGAAAGAGGGGTCTGCTTGCCTCAAGCAGCTGGGTTAGGTTCATGACTACAGGTTAAGATACAGCACTGTTATGATTAGTAGTTGCATTGTTCATTGAACAATATTCTCTATTTGCTTTTCTGTCCACTGGTAAAGAATGTCTTGTTAGAATCCTCTAGTAGTGGTTCAGATTGCCAGGGGTCTCTAGTGAGGAACACGGTATTTTCTGTACACAGGGAGGCTGCTTTCAGCTGTTTTTTAAAGCTAATGGCTAATGGCTAGAACACTCAGCTAGAGAACAGTGATCACAAAAGCTTCGATAAATGTTAAAATGGTTAGCTAAATTAGAAAAAAAAAAGTAGAAAATCTCTTGTATAAATAGGTGAGGGGAAACATCAATATTGCTCATTGAACAGTCTATTCTTCTAATTTGAAAAGAACAACTATTTGTCATGGTTCTCATCCTTGAGATGGCAGTTAACTAATTAAATCCATATGAAATTCAAAAGGCTTTGCTAAGGGACAGTAATTTTCCTGGGTTGTTGTTAAAGTTGCTGGGATGAAAGAATTACTTTGAGCAGATAATGGATGGATTCTTCTATTGTGTATTGAGGTCCTGAATCGACTAATCATGCTATGGTTATCCATCAGTGTGTTACCTTATAATTTGAAATTAAAGGCACCATTTTCATTTATTGCTTACTCTAGAGGTAATGCTGCTTCCAATTTGTGAAGACTGTGACCTGGGTGGGAAAACTGCTCCTGGTAAAGACCACAGCATTAATCAAGACACATTTTTGGCTTGGAACAGCTCATTGTATACAGGTGGGGCACAATCTTATTATTGGTGGTCTTTTATGTAATCTATGTCAAGTGTATGGAATCTGAAGTTTTCATTTCTGTACTCAGTAGGATGATTGATATGGTTTGGCTGTGTCCCCCCCAAATCTATCCTGTAATTCCCATAATCCCCAGGTGTAGTGAGAGGGACCTGGTGGGAGGTAATTGAATCATGGGGGCAGGTTTTTCCTATGCTGTTCTCCTGTTAGTTAGTAAGTCTCACAAGATCCAATGGTTTTATAAAGGGCAGTTCCCGAGCACACGCTCTCTTGCTTGCTGTCATGTCAGACATGCCTTTACTCTTCCTTCGCCTTCCTCCATGATTGTAAGGCCTCTCCAGCCATGTGGAAGTGTGAGTCCATTAAACCTCTTTTTCTTATAAAGTACCCATTCTCAGGTGTTTCTTCATAGCAGTATGAAAATGAACTAATACAATGATTTTGTTTTGATCTTAATTGATCCATGTGTTAGTTGCTCAGTCTGCCACTCTCATCTAGATCCCTGTCTCTGCTCATTCCTGCCTTACTCTGTGTTCAGTGCCTGCCCTTTCCAACTTTTCCAATAGACTACATTGCCTGTGCTCCCTTACAGTTGGATTGGATCTGGGATTGACAAGCATGGTGGCTAGGCTGAAAATCAGAGGACTGGAGCAGAAGGAAGTTGGGGTTCTCTTTCTTGCTTCTTCCCTGATTGAGTGAGCATTACATTTGACATTGATAGTCCTTCCTCCATGTTTTAGCTCTCACAGGGCTCTGGGATCACTGTGGCCTCCCCTTGCCCTTTGAGGGATGCCATGACCTCCTGCTCTTGCTCTTGTCTGAGTGCCTCCACCTCCCTTCTTGTTTCCTTCGCCTGCCAGCCCCTCCATTAATAAGCCTTTTATTAGAGTCTCTTCATTTGAACCATCTGAATTGAATTAGGTTCCCACTGGGACCCTAATATAGGTCATTTAGTCAGGACAGCAGAGACCATCTCCAGTCACTGAGGACAAACTCTATGTTTTACTTACCCATTCTGCTTTTAATACCTGTTACCTTAAAACATCTGGTAGTGGTTGTCTTTTATGAGAGTCTTCTTTGTTCTGGAATGATAAATAGGAGGGTTGGCTGGTTTGGAGTTATCACATTCATTCATAATATTAAATATTTAGCACACACCATATGCAAGACATGGTCTACAATGGAGTTGGCAACTATAGCTCTGGGCCACATCTGGTCCTCTGGCTGTTTTTGTAAATAATGTTTTGTTAGAACATAGCCATGCCCGTTTATTTATATATTTATTGGCTATGGCTGTTTTTGCTCTACGGTGTCAGAGCTAAGTAGCTGCACAGCAGAGATTGTATGGCTTGCAAAGCCTAAAATAGCTAATCTCTGACACTTTACTGAAAAGGGTGACAGACCCTTGGACTAGATGCTGGGAATATATTGGTAAATAAGGTGGGCATCCTCTGTCATCCAGTCCTGGGGACACAGCAGTGAACAAAACAACTTCAAACCCCTTCCCTGGTGGAGCACATTTTGTTGTGGGGGATAAAGAAGCTGATGAAGAAGATGGAATATGAAACATAGACTGTGTTATAGAGGGGTAAGCTCTAGGGAGAAAATAAATCAGGGAAGAAGCCTAGGAAATGTTGTGGTTGGCAGGTGCTGTCACTGGTGCAGGAAGCCTGGGGACGACCTCCATGAGGAGGAGACCTGGATCCTCATTTTCCTGGCATTCACTTCCTGTTTCCCACCTCTTATCTCTCTCTTCTCATTTATATAATTAACATTGCCAGATACTGCCAAATTGAAATCTGTAAACTAAGAGTGTTATTTTTCGATTACTGTGATCATGGAAAGCTGAGGGAAAACATAACCTTGTGAAATTCTTCTTCCAGAAAGCATTTTTACATTTCTCTTCTTCAGCAATGGGGAGATGTGGGTCACAGCACAGGAAAGGTTTTACTCCAGCTTCATCCTTTAGTCAGCAGTCACTACTACTAGTAGCTCTGGACTCAGGCAGAAAATACTGTTAAGGGGACATCGTCCATTTTTTAAATATCGTACACAGTAATTACCATTCACTCTGGGAAAGGGTGAGGGGGCAGAAGCAAACATGGTTTAGGACAGGGGTCCCCAGCCCCTGCGTCATGGACCAGTCCATGGCCTGTTAGGAACCTGGCCACACAGCAACAAGTGAGCAGTGGGCAATTGAGCAAAGCTTCATCTGTCTTTACAGCCGCTCCCCCATCACTCCCATTACTGCCTGAGCTCTGCCTCCTGTGAGATTAGCGGCAGGATTAGATTCTCATAGGAATGTGAACCCTATTGTGAATTGCACATGGGAGGGATCTAGGTTGCCCGCTCCTTATGAGAACCTAATGCCTGATGATCTGTCACTGTCTCCCATCACCCCCAGATGGGACCAGCTAGTCACAAGAATACAAGCTCAGGACTCCCATTGATTCTACATTATGGTGAGTTGTAGAATTATTTCATTATATATTACAATGTAATAATAATATAAATAAAATGCACAATAAATGTAATGCACTTGAATCATCCTGAAACCATCACCACCCCCCTGCCAGCCCCACTCCACCCCCATCTGTGGAAAAATTGTCTTCCATGAAACCAGTTTCTGGTACCAGAAAGGTTGGGGACTGACTGCTGGTTTAGGATGTTGATGAATTTATTGCCAGCTCATGGTCAAGTTCTTATCTCTTCTGTGTTATATGACAGGAAGTGCCCTCGCTTGATAGTATTTGCATCATGTTCCCCTTTGAATGCGGAAATTAAGTAGATCCCTGCCATCACGTCGGTCATGATTACACACATTTGGAAACATTTCAAGAACAATTGTGTAGTCCAAAATGTAAGTGCATTCAATAAAAGCATAACATAACATGATTATCCTATAAAGCGAATCTCCTTCCTGGTCCTCTCCACTACAGTAAATGCCCTGCTGGCAGGGCAGAGGACACTGACTGAATTTTATTCTGAAGTGTCCATTGTAGTTTGACTCTGTATTGTAAATCCTCTTTTGCCTTGGTTTATGATGTTTGAAATGTCTTGTACTGTAGAAATTTAGCTTTATATCTACATCATTGTTTTATTCACTAAAACCTGTTAGATTAAAAATGTAATGAATGTATTTTTAGCAACAGAATAAATTTAGAGAAGAGTTTAAAAACCCAACTCTGAAGGCATTTCTAGATGCTAGATTATTGCTCTGTAGCTTTCATTAATTACATTTCTAAAAAACAAATTGAAAACAAAACACTATCATTGAAAAAAATGTATGTAAGCCATTTTATGTCTTAGGTTATGCTGACAGATGTGTAAAGAAACTTTTAAACATTTCAAACTCTAATACTCATACTGCATATTATTTAATTTATCAAAAGTTTTTAGTGACAGTCTAAACTCAATATGAGGCTTAAGGGGCTTAATAATGGTAATTTAATTTGGAATCTTTTGGCATTTTAAAAACCCTCTGGCCAGTTAACAGAACGCAATAAAACATAATTATAAAAATATGTAGCATGGCTTCATATTTCTACATTTCCAGGGTATGTTTTTCTTCTTTAATCATCTATTAAAAACATATATGAATAATATGAAAAAAATTGTTTTCTCTTTCACTCTGTTTTTTTGCTGTGAAGTGTTGACCTGCTCTTTGGAAAATATTAAGAATGAAAATTCCAGGGATATATTAGCACAGTAGAAACAGTCACCTTTGTGTGACCTTCAGAAACCTTCAGAAATATCTAGAATGCTCATTATCATTGAATTACTTTAGTCATTATTTGTAGTCTAAGAAAAATAGAAAAGCCTTTTTACCCTTAAAAAGATTTGAATCTGTTGAAGGTACTGGCACAGTAACCATATTTGTTCAAATAAAGAAAACAGTACACCAAGGTATATCATCAGCCAAGTAATATGAGAAGAGGGTTAAAAGTGATTACCTTAAAGGAAGCAAAGAGCTAAAGAGTAAAACAAATGAATAATTTTCAAGTAATCAAATCAAGCCATATAGTGGACGCATTTGTTCTTTTTCTGCCTTTTGTTCATAACCATGCTTAGCATAACACTTTAGCTCCTTAATCCCTTTTCAACCACAACTCTATTGTCAGTTGCTAGTAACTGGAATTCTTTTTTTTTTTTTTCTGATGGAGTCTCGCTCTGTCACCCAGGCTTGGCGATCTTGGCTCACTGCAAGCTCCGCCTCCTGGGTTCAGGCCATTCTTCTGCCTCAGCATCCCGAGCAGCTGGGACTATAGGCACCCGCCACCACGCCCGGCTAATTTTTTTGTATTTTTAGTAGAGACAGGGTTTCACCATGTTAGCCAGGATGGTCTCCATCTCCTGACCTCATGATTCACCAGCCTCAGCCTCCAAAGTTCTGGGATTACAGGCGTGAGCCATCGCGCCCGGCCTTAGTAACTGGAATCTTGAGGGGCAGTCTGGGTGGTCATTAAAAACAGGGACTCTGGGGTTATAGGACCAGGGTTTTGGCTGTTACTAGCAGAGAGATTTGGGGCCCATTACTTGACCTTTCTGTGTCTCACAAGTTTGTTAATGAGGAGTAAATGAGTTAATACTTCTAAGTACTGAGTTTACTTGTATTTGAATGCCTGGTGTATCCTAATACAACCAGCTGTTTCTTATCAGCATCATCATTATTGCTTCTATTGTTAATAAGATTTCATTTCAACAAAGGATTCTAGACCTCAAAGCAGGGTTAAAAAAAACTGCCCTACCTTGGTGTTTCTGGCAAGCTTGGGAAGTTATTCCCTTTCATTTCTTTCAACCCTTCTCATTAGCCAGGGGGAAGCTTTCTCACCTTTCTAGTATTTGCTAATCTTCCTTATAACAAAGCGTGGGCAGGCCCCAGGCTCAGAGCCTCAGGCAGGGATCCCTTCCGGCTACAGTTTAATATCCTTTTGTTTCAAGGTTAACAGGGTTAGCTGTCTATCTGTGGCAAGTGATACTGGTTTTCCATTTATGGTACAGATAGAATGTTTCCATTTAAGTCAAAGTAATTTAAGGAGGAACTGAGCAGATGTAAAGAAGACAGACCGGAATGATAGTACAGGAGGCACAGGGATGTGAGCAAAATCATGAAGATCAACACAGATGGGGATCTGCTCCCTAGGATTTCCTCCTCTCCCTGTGGAGTCTGGAAACCTCAGTGTGACCTGGCCTTGTTTCCAGCCTGCAGGGCGATGTTGTACCATATACCAGGTTGTATGACCTCCCTGGGCTTCATTTTCCATGTTCTGTTGGGACACTGGCTCACTGAGATCTCTCTAACCGGCTTATGTGGAAAGTGTCTCATCCTCAGGAAGTACTCAAAATTGGCCAGTAGGAGTCTTTTAGCTTTAAAATTCTCATTTTTTTCTTTATTATCCATGTAGTTGGCAAAGTGAAAATAATGGGAAAATTTAGTCAAGCACTTAGACGCTTGACGTTATGTAGATATCATCACTGACTACGTATTTCATGAATGTGAAACAGTGATTCCCGGTGGTGTCCTGGGAGCCCTGCGTCCCCTTGAGGGAGGAGGTACTTTGGGCCCCAGTAGGAGGAGACAGGGCCTTAACAATTTGGTTTTAAGACATTTTATATATTTTGCCTCTGTGTAGGATTTTTGCAGGAAGTTGGAAGTAGGAGAAAGGGTGGGGAGAATGCTCTACTTCCATACAAAAAAATCTAAACTCATACCTAAATAGTGAATCTTACATTTCCTGTATGTCTTTGTTGCCAGTCTTCTATACAGTCCTTCTGCTCCTTTTATTCAAAGTGTGACATGTTTAGGGAACATTCTAGTTAAACATTGTATTTTTTTCATAATTCAGACGGTTCAAATTTGGGATATCATTTCCTCTGATCATCTTTTATAGTCGTCGCAGTTTCTGTCTTTGTAATGTGATAATCAAGGGCACAAAAATAGTACTTCCTCCTCTACCTCTTTCTTTATCATCTATAATGATTATTTCTCAGATTACAGTGTTGTGACTACCCATGTGATCATACGATTGTACTTATTAATCTTTTCCCAGTTTAACAGTGCAAGTGCAGGTTTCAAAGAAAGGTGGCTGGAGACATTCTGGGTGAGGTGTTACAAATAACACATCATATCAGTTGTGGGAGCTGAATTCTTGTTTTTCTTGTCCGGTGCCCTTATTTACCAACTGGGTGAACCTGTAAAAGTCAGTGAATCTCTCTGGACCTTAGACTTCTTGTTAATAAAGCAAAAGGATTATGTAATATAAAGTTGGAGATGGCCTCCAAGGTCAAAAAGTTGATAATTCATTTGTGCCTATTGACTCAAACTGTAATTGGGTATAATAACAAGTCTTTCCCTGTGACTCTTGGTAAGTTAATGGGATGTCACATGTGATGACACATGCAAAACCACCTTCACATTGTAGTATGTCATGTATTATAAGTATTTATAAAACCAATGTGATGTACTACTATTAGAAAAAGAGACATTTTAGTGCTAATATACTCCAGGATCTCCTGAAATACACAGAGCAGGAGTTCCACACATTGAGCAGGCATCATAATTGCCCAGAAAAGCATAATGAAAATAAGCTGTTGGGCCCACGGTATTTCTATGGGCTGTACCTGGACAAATGTGTTTCTTGAAAATTCCATGGGAAATTCTGCTGTAAAATGAGAGTTGAGAAGCATGGATGAATATTGCTAAGGTCTGAATGTTTGTGTTCTTCCAAAAGTTATATGTTGGAACCTAATACCCAACATGATTCTATTAAGAGGTAGGACCTTCTGGGAAGTGATTAAGTCACGAGGGCTCTGCCCTCATGAATGGGATTAGCACCCTCTTAAAGGAGGTTGGAGGGAGCTTCCTTGCCCCTTCTACCACTGAAGATGCTTCAAGAAGGCGCCATCTTAAAGCAGAGAGCAAGCCCTCACCAGGCTCTGAAGCTGCCAGCACCTTCATCTTGGGCTTCTCAGCCTCCAGAACTGTGAAAAATAAATTTCTATTATTTATACATCACCCAATTTAAGGCATTTTGATAGAGCAGCTTCAATAGACTGAGACAGAAATCATATTTTAAATATATACAGAGAGAGGAGATCCTCAGATTTCAGCAGTTCTCCTACAGGCTTTGGAGTTCCTCTGCCCCTTAGTTCTGGGATCTTGTGCAAGTTTTGTAACCCCTCAATGCCTGATTATGCATCTCTTAAGTGAAGATAACCTTTTAGGTGGCTATAAGAATTTTTTTTGGTTTTTTGAGACCTAGTCTTGATCTGTCACCAGGCTGGAGTACAGTGGTGCAGTTGTGGCTCTCTGCAGACTTGACCTCCGGAGTTCAAACAATACTCCTGTCTCAGCCTACTGAGTAGCTGAGACTACAGGTGTATGCCACCACGCCTGGCTATTTTTTGTATTTTAGAGATGGGGATTCACCATGTTGCCCAGGCTGATCTTGAACTCCTGAGCTCAAGTGATCTGCCTGCCCCAGCCTCCCAGAGTACTGGAATTGCAGGCATGAGCCACTGTACCTGGCCTGCTGTCAGAATGTAATGAGATACTGCCTGTCCATTCTTCGCAGGGTGGGAAGCACGTAGTAAATATTATTATAACTGTTGCTTAGAGTTGGGGAGTCCCTGAGCCTCCACAAAGGAGAGAAACAAGCATGTTTTCGGTATCTGTGATCACATGGATAACAGGTTCAAAGACCTTTTACTGTTTTCTTCAGTCTCATTAAAATTTGTAGCTCTGCCATTATGATGGCCATGTCATTTGATTTAGTGTACAATTGAACATGTTTTATTTAATAAATTAGTTAAATAGTGATCATTACGATTTGGGTTTCAATTGAGTCCTTGAGGCAATATTTGCTGATATAAAAATATTAGGTAATTTTAAAGAATTATCAGAAAGATTAAAATATTAATATGTTCCTCCATTTCAAATTTATATCTCCCTAATTGTAATTATCCATCTTTCTTATGTTACTTGTAATTTTAAATAAATTATAGCACAAGTTTTATAGAAATCTTTTCATTTTATTTGATTGGATGTTTTTGGGTAAGTTTATCATTTTTTAAAGATTTATGTGAATGTCTGACATTGATACCAGGAAGATAATTGCTACCCAATTCGAATGTGACATTCAGAGCATACCATTTTTCTCCCATTACAGTGATTGGACAAGGATTAATATTTGAATTAAAACAGAGTAAGATGCATTATGTTTAGCGTTACAGCTGTTAAAACGCACTTTATTAGCCATCGTTTATGATTTAATTGAAATCCTATTTTTTTTCCTCTCCAGTTAGCCATTTTTGTCACTTGCTATTGCTTCTTTTTGGTTTACTTCTGGCACTTAAGCCTGATTTTCAGGTTGTTGTCTTGAAAATATTTTCTTAACCACCACCTAGTCACAATAACGCTGCCGCTATCCTGCGCCACCCCCATCTGCCCCAGTTTTCCTTCAGAGAGTATGCTTTTGTCTAGAAGCTTATGTAAGAATAAACAAATTTGAAATGAAGAGGAAGCTTAACGTTGTAATTGTTTTTATACATAAACAACGTAAGAGTGTCAACGTACTTGGATAGTTTTCTCTGAATTTAAAAAGTTTATTTTAAATGGTGTAACTTAAAATGTGGTCTGGATGGTGCCTAAAGAAACTCACCTTAGAGGGATTTTGTGTGGGAGAAATTAAGATATAAGTTGTCATCCTACGGAGCGCTTTAAATTGAGGTACTGAAAGAGCCCCCAGTGACTGCGGTTTTGTGAGAGCTGCTATTGTGCATCCTCTTAGGTCGTTTTCCTGTTTTTCTTCCTGATAAAACCCTGTTTTGTGTAGGCACCTACCCTACCCCTTCCCATGAAATTAAAGAAAGATGATTCTACCCTCAGAACCAGGAGTCCATCCTGGCATGAAAAGACCAAAAGTCGGCAACCCCAAACGAACTATGGTAATTACAGTGCAACCACTGCTGGGGAGAAACAGCCCCCCTCAGTGTCTCTGGAAGCTTCCACGGTGATCACTTTATTTGTGCGGTTTCATTGTGGCTGTGCTGCTGTTTGAGTTGGGCTGTTTGCTGTTCTGGTCACGGACTTCTATGTGCTCATGAGACAAATTTCTGTATCTTCCTGTAAACACAGTTCTGCACATTCCAGAAAACCTGATACATTTCTTTGGTCCCACCTTAATGTGAATCAATGTCTCTGCCCTTTTACTGGCAGTCAGTTATCCCAATCTATATACCGTTCCATCATCTACTCTGTTCGTTGTTTTTTTTTTTTCCCTTAAAAACATCACCCTGTCAGAATGTGTACTCTGTTGCAGCAAAAATCAATTATACATATTGATCAGAACTTGTCAGCAGATCCTTTGAAGGTTTACAACACACCGTTTTGTTCTGCCATACTAGTCGGGAAGCTGTGGCCAACTCCTGTAGAGTGAGGGTGATGGGTGAGTGGGTGGGTGGATGAGTAAATGAACAAAGAATGAACTAGTATTAAGAAGAAAATCCAAAGAGATTATGGTAGGCTGAGTGATGGCCCCCAAGTATGTCCATGTCCTAATTCCTGGTACCTGTGAATGTTACCTTATGTGGCAAAAGGGACTTTGCAGATGTGATCAGGTTAAGAATCTTAAGATGGGGAAGTTATCCTGGATAAAGTGGGTGGGTGCAGGGTAGTCATAGTGTCTTTGTAAGAAGAGGAAGGCAGGAGGAAGGTCAGAATCAGAGAGCAGGCCATGTGACAACAGAGGCGGAAACTGGAGGATGCACTTTGGAGATGAGGGAAAGAACTACAAACCAAGGAGTATAGGCAGCCACTAGAAGCTGGAAAAGATGGAAATCCATTCTTCCTTCCGAATCTCTAGAAAGAATCAGCCTGCCAACAACTTGACTTTAGCTCAGTGAAACTGATTTTGTACTTCTGGCTTCCAGAACTGTAAGATAATATATTTGTATTATTTTTAACCACTCAGTTTGTGATAACTTGTTACAGCAGCAATCAAAAATGAATGCAGAGAGTCAGAAACTTTTAAAAGGTGAATTAATGAGTATTGAAGTCAAACTGGACTATACGATTCTGCTGACTCGGAGTCAAGTTCTCTGTCCATCACATCACATGATCAGGATGTCAGTCATTGTGGTCTTGACCCCTCTGATGAGGTTTACTTGTTGTGACAAGGCCCAAAGGAAGAGGGATTTGGGTAGAATTTGCTTGACCTATTTCTGTGTTTTTGTAAGTTTTTGTTTTGTTCTGTTTTGTTTTTAAACAACTGGTTTCTTTCTGTGAAGGAACATTTATTTTTTCACCCCCCAGATGCCTTTCTTTGCAACTTTTGCTGTCATTTCATTTGGTTGATTTCTATTTCACTCTTGATTCAGTGTTGTTTCTTTCACAATAAGATAAATAAAATGATCAGAAATCGAGCAAGACTTTCCTTTTGTTAGTTCTTTCTTTTGATGTCCAAAGAAAAAGGCAAGCAGTTACTGTAATTTTTGCTCCTTAATGTGATTTTTTTCTTGGTGCTTATTTTCAAACATTTTAATGTCCAGAAAAGCCCTACATTGCTTTATCACTGCATTATACCATGATGTGTTCAGGGTTTTTTGTTTTTGCTTTTGTTTAAGATGCCCAGAATGGGGCGGGGCATGGTGGCTCATGCCTGTAATCCCAGCACTTTGGGAGGCCGAGGCAGGTGGATCACTTGAGGTGAGGGGTTTGAGACCAGCCTGGCCAACATGGCAAAACCCCGTTTCTACCAAAAAATATAAAAATTGTCTGGGTGTGGTGACATGCACCTGTAGTCCCAGCTACTAGGGAGGCTAAGGCAGGAGAATTACTTGAACCTAGGAGGTGGAGGTTGCAGTGAGCAAAGACTGCACCACTGTACTACAGCCTCAGCAACAGAGTGAGACCCTGTCTCAAAATAAAAAAAAAAAAAAAGAAGAAAAACTTGCCCAGAATGGAATTTTGAACTAGTACTTCCCAGTACTAGAGTTCTGTAGCAACTGTGAAGCTTTGACAGTCTCTCCTACTTGTTGTCATGTTGGCACACTGATTTGTTAATGGGGAAAATATTATATATATATATATATACACACACACACACACACATATATAATTACATATTATATGATTATATAATGATATATATAATTATATATAATGATATATGTATATATATTTCCAATATATTAGCATCACTTTTGTGAGGATCCACCCAACACAAACTGCATGTTAGTAGCTTTGCTGTAGTTAACTACTGAAATATTTTATGAGATCTGGGGGTGAATAGTAAGCAGTGGAAAAATGTGATGAGCATCAGAGGAATTCTAATAGACCATTTGGTAAAGGGATTGTTTTATTTTACTGCTTTTTTCATTTATCAATTACAAAGATAACAATTGTCAGTCCAGGATGAATAGAATCATCAGGAAAATTTAGTTATATATGCACTTGTTATAGGGATTGATTTTCAAAAGTTCTTAAGTAGATTTTATTTTGTGGGTGTTCATACATAACTACAAGAAAAAAAAGGAATATGAACTAATATAAGCCATTTGAATTTTTAAAAATATAATGTTGAGTAACAGTTTGAACCTAAGAATGTAAGAATACATTATTCACTTAAAATGACACCCTTCTGGGCCAATATACTTTCCTGTAAAGTTTCTTTTTATTAGATTACTGTATAGCTATGGTTAACACATTTTATTGTGAATAAGGATCATTTGGAATTACTTAATAAAATCCTAGTTCTTGGGTCCCTTGTTCCAGAGATTTTATTTCAATCGATTAGGAAAGGACTACAGGATCGCTCTATTTAACAAGCTCTGCAGGTAATCCAAAGTCCTCAGACCACACTACATTGCTGTGTATAATCCATCAGTAATCAAAATATTGAGTGTGTGCTATGAAATTATTTTAAGAAATTCCTTAAAGTCTTTTCAAGTCTTTTCAGAAAAGTAGTTGTTGGAACCATGGTTTGCCATATGTAAAATATGCTGTGCTAAGTTACAGAACAGTTTTGAAAAAGACTTAATCTGTTTTGAGTGAGCCTGTGGCAGTTGTAACATTCTGGATTTCATTCAAATTTGTAGCAATGCAAATGGCATGCTTTAGATGTGGCTGTAATGCATTTAGCTCAATGACAAGGAAACTGGCAGATATTTCCATAAGACATACTGATTGAGAAATAGTGCTTGCTGCTAGTGGCTTGATCTGCATACATTTAGGATTTAATAGTTTGCATTTTTTGCTTACTCACTTGTCCTAAATGCTTAATGAATAGGCTCTAAGGCTTTAATTTTCAACCTATCCTAAGTTTATTACTAAAGTTTATCAAGCAATAAACACACTATTGCACTTATACTGTCATGTTTTTATAAAGCAGTTTATAAAAGGTGACATCTGGCAAAGAGGCAGATCTATAAAAATCATGCTGGTGGATGTAGTGTCATTTTTTCTGCCATACACCCAGAAAGAGTAATATTATTTTGACACACACATACATCCCCACTGTCAAGTTTCTATTTTTATAGTTAGCTTACTGCATGTATCCTTAAGCTATACAAAACCTTTGGGCTAATGCAAAAAGTGACATTTCTGCATATTTATTACAATGCTATTTTAGAGGTTGACTTTGCCTGATAGGATTTTTCCAAGAACAATGTCATGTTCATGACAGTAGACATCATTGAGAACAATACTATTGTGTAGTTAGTCAGGAAAGGTCAATATGGAAGGACAAATCATAAATTGCTTAATTTAATGCAGCATGATTTTGCCTCAATATTTGCTAGTTATAGGGGAGAAAACAATGATAACGTGGCCCAGATGAGCAATTCTTTGAGTAGTTGGAATATGAACTAATACTTTACCAAATGAGTGCACTGCCCTGCGATCCAGCAACTTTACTTCTAGGTATATACCCAAGAGAAATGAGTGCATTTGTCCACCAGGAAGATGTATGAGAATGTTCATAACAGCTTTATTCATAAAAGCCCCAAACTGGAAGCAACCAAATATCCATCAGCAGCAGCAGAATGGATAATTGTAGTATACTTACAAAATGCAACACTTCAGAGCAATGAAAACATACCATCTACTGCCCTGTGCAGCAGCAGTGATGAATTTCACAGATAGTATGTTGAACGGAAGAAGCTGGATGCTAGAGCGTACCTTCTATGTGATTTCCTACACATGAAATTCAAGAACTGACAAAACTTGTCTATCATAATAGAAGCTAGGATACTGGTTTCTTATTTGTGTGGGGGTAGGATGGGGATGTTTATTGAGGGAAATGTCTGGGTAGGGTCAGAGAGAGGCTTCTGGAAACATGTCTTATGACCTAGGTGGTGGTTACTCGTGTGTATACATATGCAAAAGAGCAGAGCTATACACTTAAGATTAGCCCATTTTATTGTATGTTCTGGCTATCTGTTGCTGTGTAACAAACTACTCCATAACACAATAGCTGAAGACAATTTATTATTATTATGTCTCCCAAGGTTGTGGGTGAGAGATTCCCACAGGGCATTAGGATGAATAGCTTACTGCAGTTCATTAATGTCTGGAGCCTCAGCTGGGATGACTCAGATAGCTGGAGGTTGGGTGGGCATCTTTCCCTTTCTCTCGCCACATGCTGTCTTGGGCTTCCTCATAATATGGTAGCCTCAGGGTGGCAGACTTCTTATCTTAGAGCAATTCAGGATTTGAAAGCTAGTGTTTGAAGAGAAATGCCAGTTTCTTGAGGCCTGGGCATAGTAAGTTCTGCTGAATTCTTTTATTATTATTATTTTAAATTTTAAAATAGAGACAGGCTCTCACTGTGTTGCCCAGGCTATTCTTGAACTTGGGACTCGAGTGATCCTGCTGCATTGGCCTCCTAAAGTGCTGGGATTACAGGCATGAGCCACCGCACCCAGCCTCTGCTGAATTCTCTTAGTGAAAATACTCAGTGGCCCCACCTTACTCAGGGAGAAGGAACATAGACCCCTCACTTCTGGATGGAAGGAATGTTAAAGATTTTGTGGCCATTTTTATTCTGCCACACCATATGTTGCTATATCTCAGTTAGAAAGTTTTTAACAGTTCAGATCAACCTCATTACTCTCAAAACTTTCTTCCTTATGGGTAGGGAGCCTTTTGTAAAATGTGAGTCTAGTTCTGAAAAACAAACAACAAAAGAAACCCTCCATTTGAAATCATAGTTTCTGTCACATCATACTTCTCTTCTCAGTTTCCTTTTGAGGTGAAAAATTATGATTTTTTCTTATTTTATTTGAAGTTTCTGGGCTTTGAGTTTTATTTTATCCAGGCTCGGGTGAACTTAGACTTTTATTTAATCATTCACGGCCTACAGTTAACTGTCAGATTGAAGCCAGATAAGGCTTCTGATACTACTGAAATCCCTTACTCCTTTTGATTTATGGGTAATGAATTTGCCCTCTGTAGTCAGAGCATGATTTTTTTTAAAAGAAATCCTATATCTCTTATTAATCATCTACCAGAAATATGTTGCCCAACAGGCCTCTTTGTAAAGATCTGTATTAAGACACAAGAGCAGGACAGCTGCATTTACGCAGCAAGACTTTATATGAGATTGAAGGGAAAATGTTTATGCAAGCTAAATAAAGCCAGTGTGAAAGCGAGCCTTTTAAACTATTCGGCTTCATTTGAACATGACACTGATGTAGACAGCTTGGGAAAGCAATGTGTGCACACAAAATCTGCATTATCCAACATATCAAAAGATTTCAACGCCAGTGCACCAACAGTCTCTAGCAGAGATAATTATTGCACCCTTGCCTGGCCTCATTTGGGCCAAGAGCAGCACTTGAGCCTGATCTTTAAACAACATTGTACATCTCATTTGAAGACTTTTCTGGGGCCATCTCTCAATTTTGTGCCAGTAACTTCAAAGTCCGTTTGCACAGAGTCAAGATTAGAAAGATCTAACCTCATCCTCTCAGATTTTCTTTTTTAATTAATGTGCAAAATGCTATGCTTTTGCTCCCCCCGGGAAGCCTGAAAGGATTTATGCAGTCATTTCATATCACCATATTTTCAAGACTCAGCTATCATTTGTCACTTAAAAAGCTTTGTGGAATATAAAGCCATCAACCCAGCACCACAGCAGTATCACTTTGTCAAAAGAGAGTTGTTTGCACTTTACGTGACAACCTATTTGTATAAAGTGACAGGGTTTGAACTAAATATACCACATGAAATCTAAGTTATAGGTGATGGAATCTTGTTTGTAGCTCTAGTCGTTAGCCTGCTCACACTCCTCCCCTGCCAGCCTGCTCACTCAGCCCCTGTATTCTGCTAATGTGACTGTTTTCAAGAGATCCCTTTAATGTAGACAATATAAATGCGGTTGCTTGACCTACTTGAGAAGGCACCTAATTTTAGAGAACTGGGTTTTTACATATTAGTTTCCTCTTGTGATCCCTGACTCCTGAATATTGTAGAGTGTTTATAAAAGTGTATGCCAAGGTGCTAATGCACGTATCTAAATATGTATTTATATCATATGTAATGTTTAGAGCATGTGCATAGGTGTGTGGATAACATACATCTGTGAGTCAGTGAGTATGATAGGAGTATGGCCTTAGGAATTAATTGGCTGGATGCTAATCTGTGTCCCTCCACTCTCAAGCAAGATGACCTTGGAGAAAATAAACTAATTTGGGTCTG